>NC_000004.12:189522251-190123121 GCF_000001405.40 Homo sapiens | reverse complement strand
CCGAACCCGAACCCGAACCCGAACCCGAACCCGAACCCGAACCCGAACCCTAACCCTAACCCTAACCCTAACCCTAACCCTAACCCTAACCCTAACCCTAACCCTAACCCTACCCTAACCCTAACCCTAACCCTAACCCTAACCCTAACCCTAACCCTAACCCTAACCCTAACCCTAACCACCCTAACCCTAACCCTAACCCTAACCCTAACCCTAACCCTAACCCTTAACCCTAACCCTAACCCTAACCCTAACCCTAACCCTAACCCTAACCCTAACCCTAACCCTAACCCAACCCCAACCCCAACCCCAACCCCAACCCCAACCCTAACCCAACCCTAACCCTAACCCTAACCCTAACCCTAACCCTAACCCTAACCCTAACCCTAACCCTAACCCCAACCCCAACCCTAACCCTAAAACCCTAACCCTAACCCTAACCCTGACCCTAACCCCTAACCCCTAACCCTGACCCTGACCCTGACCCTGACCCTGACCCTGACCCTAACCCTAACCCAACCCTAACCCTAACCCTAACCCTAACCCTAACCCTACCCTACCCCTGACCCTGACCCTGACCCTGACCCTGACCCTAACCCCTAACCCTAACCCTCACCCTCACCCTCACCCTCACCCTCACCCTCACCCTAACCCTAACCCTAACCCCAACCCTCATTATTCTCGGCTGCAAAGAGGAAGGATCTTTACCGTGGATGTGGCCCCCAGTTGTCCCAAAATGAAGCAGTGCCCCCAACGTCTGTGGAGAGGCATGCGCTGCTCCACCTTCGCGATGTCCCCCGCGTCTGTGCTGAGCAGAATGCAGCTCCGTCATCGCGTTCCCCCCGAAGTCTCTGCAGAGGAAAACGGAGCTCCTCCTTCGCGATGCTCTCCAGGTCTGCGCTGAGGGGAACGCAGCTCCGCCCTCGCAAAGGCATAGAGCCATCGCAGGCGCAGAAAAAAACGTCGGTGCAGCGCAGGCGCAGAGAAAAACGACGGCGCGTCCCTGGGGGGCGCGGCGCAGGCCGAGAGAGGCATGCCACCGTGGCGCCGGGGCGTGGGGCGCGGCGCAGACGCAGAGACGCACGCCGGCGCGGCGCCGGGATGGGAGCGCGGCCCAGGCGCAGACACGGACGGCAGCGTGGCGCCTGGCCCGAGGCGCGACGCAGGCCCAGAGACACACGGCGGCGCGGCGCCATGATGGGGCCCCGC
Source organism: Homo sapiens (assembly GCF_000001405.40). Lineage (NCBI taxonomy): Eukaryota > Metazoa > Chordata > Mammalia > Primates > Hominidae > Homo > Homo sapiens. The sequence continues at coordinate 190,121,912 of NC_000004.12, read as the reverse complement.
GCAGGCGCAGAGACGGATGGTGGCGCGGCGCAGGCGCAGAGAAAAACGCCAGCGCGGGGCGGGGGGCGTGGCGCAGGCACAGGCGCAGAGACGGAGGCGGGCGCGGCGCAGGCGCAGAGACGGAGGCGGGCGCGGCGCAGGCGCAGAGACGGACGCCGCCGCGGCGCAGGCGCAGAGACGGACGCCGCCGCGGCGCAGGCGCAGAGACGGACGCCGCCGCGGCGCAGGCGCAGAGACGGACGCCGCCGCGGCGCAGGCGCAGAGACGGACGCCGCCGCCGCGCAGGCGCAGAGACGGACGCCGCCGCGGCGCAGGCGCAGAGACGGACGCCGCCGCGGCGCCGTGGCGGGGGCAAGAGTCACGCGGAGAGATGCACGGCTGCGTGGCGCAGGCGCAGAGAAAAACGCCGGCGCGTCCCCGATGGGCGCGGCGGAGGCCCAGAGACGCACGCCGGCGCGGCGCCGGGGCGGGGGTCGGGGCGCAGGCGCAGAGAAAAACGCCGGCGCGGCGCCGGAGCGGGGGCGCGGCGCAGGCGCAGAGACCCACGCCGGGGCGGGGGCGCGGCGCAGGCGCAGAGACGCACGCCGGGGCGGGGGCGCGGCGCAGGCCCAGAGACGCACGCCGGCGCGGCACCGGGGCGGGAGCTCCGCGCAGGGGCAGAAAAGGACGCTGGCGCGGCGCAGACGCAGAAAAAAAATGGCGGCGCAGCGCAGGCGCCGAGAAAAGCGCCAGCGCCGGGGGTCGCGGCGCAGGCGCAGAGAAAAACGCCAGCGCGGCGCCGGCGCAAAGACGGGCGCAGGCGCAGAGTCGGGCGCTGGCGCGTCGCCGAGGTGGGGGCGCGATGCACGCGCAGAGACGCACGGCTGCGTGGCGCAGACGCAGAGAAGAACGCGAGCGCGGCGCCGAGGACAAGGCGCAGGCGCGGAGACGCACGCCAGCGCGGGGGCGAGGCGCAGGCGCGGAGATGCACTCCGCCAGGCGCGGGGAGGGGGGCGCGGCGCAGGCGCAGTGACGCACGCCGCCTGGGGCGCAGCGCAGAGATAGGCGGAACCTCAGTAATCTGAAAAGCCAGGTTGCCCCCTCCTTGCGGCCGGGCACTAAAGGGCCCACTTGCTGAAGGCGCTGTGCCAGCGTGCCCCCTGCTGGTGACTGGGGCAACTGCAGGGTTCTCTTGCTTCCATTAGTGGCCAGCGGCCCCTGCTGGCTGCGGGGCACCGCAGGGTCCTCTTGCACACAGTATAGTGGCGGCATGCCGCCTGCTGGCAGCTGGCGACATTGCAGGGCCCTCTTGCTCATAGTATAGTGACAGGACGCCCGCCTGCTGGCAGCTGGGGACACTGCCGGCCACTCTTGCTCCAAGTGTAGTGGCTGTTGGCTCCCCTGCTGGCAGCTGGGGACACTGCCGGGCCCTCTTGCTTGCAGTTTACTGGGGGCACGCCCCCTTCTGGCCGCTTGGGGCACTACAGGATGCTCTTGCTCACAGTGTAGTGGCAGCTCGCCGCCTGCTGGCAACCAGGGTACTGCAGGGTTCTCTTGCTCATGGTGTGGTGCCCGTCCACCACCTGCTGGCAGCTAAGGACACTGCAGGGCCCTCTTGCTCAGAGTGTAGTCGTCGTACACCCCCTGCTGGCAGCTGGGGATGCTGCCGGGACTTTTGCTGGCACTGTCGTGGCAGCACACTACCTGCAGGCCGATGGGGACTATGCAGGGACCTCTTGTTCAGGGTGTGAGGGCTGGCACGCCCTACTGGCCGCCTCCTGCACCACTTAAAGTCGGAGCGCCAGTTGTTAAGCACCATCAGTTCTGGAAATTGAAACTGAAATGGAGCTATTACTGAGGAGAGTTGATGTCCCAGTTCTTGTCTAACTTGGAAGAAAGATTTTTCACCAAGAGGCAGTAAAAACATGGCAGATAACTTCATTGAAAACAAATACAGTGTAAAGAGCTTATTGTAGAATAATAGGGAGGAGTGGGCTGATTGTGCAGGAAAACAGCCTGAGAGTCCTGTGCAGGGAATTTTATTTTGGACTTCTTCACATTTCTGCCTCTGTCTCAAGTCTCCACCTGTTTTCTTTGTCTGGTTTTCCTGCTACTGCCTTAGGTCCCTGAGTTGCCCCACTTAGGCTTATGGGACCTCCTCACTGTTGGTTGAGGCACATGTGTGGTGATCAATCCGAATCCACTCTGGTACCAGGCTCCTTCCCCCCATCCCAGGCAGGCTGACAGCGGTCATGTTTCTGCCTACAGCGCCTGCCTATCTCTTTTGAATGTCCTTCTCTACCCTACTCTGTACTTATGGTGCCAGGTTTCTCTTAAGAATGTCCCCTTTGTCCTTCTTATCAGCATGTAGCCAGCAATATTGTGACATTTTTACTGCAGAGTGAATGATGACTGGGGCATCTTAAATGGAGTTCTGGGGTGTTTCTTTCTGCATAGGTACCTCTGCAGTAGTAGTTTCCAAAATACTTTTGGTAATTTTTAACCTTAAAGTTAACCTTAAAGTTAAGCTAAGTAAAAGATTTGCATTAAATATCTAGACCATTTATAAATAAGATACAATACTAAAACATTACTGAAGATAAATAATTCAAGTTTACATACTTTTGGCTACTTATTTTTACAGAGAAACTAAAGATATTTTAGCCCATTAATAAACATGTTTTTGTCTACCACACTGAGAAATTGTACTATGAGGAAACACATCCCTCTAGATGTTGGGAGATGGTATACTCATACATTTTCTAACCTACTATAGAATGCTAACATATGACAGTTTATAACTGTCTACTTCCTAGTTTTCTCTGGAAAATAAAAGATTACTAAGTATTAAAATTATAATCAATATGTGTAAATAAAACTACTGGAAATAATAGAATAACTAGAAACAACTCTATGCAAAGCATGCAAGAAAAGTAGTGCATGTTTTGCAAGTAAAGTAGGACGTATTTTTTATAAGGAAAACCATACAAAAGATACAAATAAAAAGAGATACCTAGCCTTCCCTGTGTTATATTTGTATGGGTAAAATGTCATGTTTTCAGAAATTATATAAAATTCCTGGAAATTTGTCAATGTTCTCCTTATCCATGCTATGTGCCAGTATAGAGTTATGAGTCATAATTCCAATTATTATTTTAAATGTTGTGCTGGGTGCAGTGGCTCACGTCTGTAATCCCAGCACTTTGGGAGGCCTAGGCAGGTGGATCACAAGGTCAGGAGATCGAGAACATCCTGGCTGACATGGTGAAACCCCATCTCTACTAAAAATACAAAAAATTAGCCAGGCGTGGTGGTGGGCACCTGTACTCCCAGCTACTCAGGAGGCTGAGGCAGAAGAATGGCATGAACCAGGGAGGCAGAGCTTGCAGTGAGCCAAGATAGCGCCACTGCACTCCAGCATGGGCAACAGAGCGAGACTCTGTCTCTAAATAAATAAATAAATAAATAAATGTTGTATCCCACAGAAAAAATCGAATATCCTTGTCAGTTGTGGTATAATGAACTCTCATCAGATCTTTCATCACAGCCATTTCATATTCTTTATCATTTAGATATTATTTCCCCCTGATGCTTTCCTGAAAGCTCCTGCAATCAGCTACAGGTCAGAATGTTCATCTCCATCACGGGATTCCCTCTGAGACACACAGAAAAGAGTATGCAAGATAGTCTGGTTATAGGCTTCTGATGATATTGTTTAAATAACTTTAAGACCATACACTTCGCTCAGTGAAGATCTCCAGAAGTCTGCTTCAGAAATTGATGGGTTCATGACACTGCTAACCCAAGATGCAACAAGACTGGAATTGATTACATGGTACTGAATGAACTGATGAAAATTGATTATAATTTTATAGCTTTTTGGAGCATTGCTGGTTCTTTAATGTTCTAGTTTCTGGACTTAAGAAATCTCTTTCTCTTAACCTAACTGTAACATACAATTTAGTAGATTATACTTTTGAAAACAGAAGTGAAGCATTTATCTTTTTTCCCCTGCCTGATTTTTCCAGAATTTTGAAATCCTTACTGAACACTCTTATTTTCACGATGATATAGTTGTTAGCAAAAGTCCAATAAGAATCTGTTCACCTTGAACAGAGACCTCAGAAATAATGCCGCATATCTACAACCATCTGATCTTTGACAAACCTGACAAAAACAAGCAATGGGGAAAGGATTCCCTATTTAATAAATGGTGCTGGGAAAACTGGCTAGCCATATGTAGAAAGCTGAAACTGGATCCCTTCCTTACACATTATACAAAAATTAATTCAAGATGGATTAAAGACTTACATGTTAGACCTAAAACCATAAAAGCCCTAGAAGAAAACCTAGGCAATACCATTCAGGACATAGGCATGGGCAGGGACTTCATGTTTAAAACACCAAAAACAATGGCAACAAAAGCCAAAATGCACAAATGGGATCTAATTAAACTAAAGAGCTTCTGCACAGCAAAAAAAAACCTACTGTCAGAGTGAACAGGCAACCTACAAAATGGGAGAAAATTTTCACAACCTACTCATCTGACAAAGGGCTAATATCCAGAATCTACAATGAACACAAAGAAATTTACAAGAAAAAAACAAACAACCCCATCAAAAAGTGGGCGAAGGATGTGAACAGACACTTCTCAAAAGAAGACATTTATGCAGCCAAAAGACATGTGAAAGAATGCTCATCATCACTGGCCATCAGAGAAATGCAAATCAAAATCACAATGAGACACCATCTCACACCAGTGAGAATGGCGATCATTAAAAAGTCAGGAAACAACAGGTGCTGGAGAGGATGTGGAGAAATAGGAACACTTTTACACTGTTGGTGGGACTGTAAACTAGTTCAACCATTGTAGAAGATGGTGTGGCGATTCCTCAGGGATCTAGAACTAGAAATACCATTTGACCCAGCCATCCCATTACTTGGTATATACCCAAAGGAGTATAAATCATGCTGCTATAAAGACACATGCACACGTATGTTTATTGCGGCACTATTCACAATAGCAAAGACTTGGAACCAACCCAAATGTCCAACAATGATAGACTGGATTAAGAAAATGTGGCACATATACACCATGGAATACTATGCAGCCATAAAAAATGAAGAGTTCATGTCCTTTGTAGGGACATGGATGAAGCTGGAAACCATCATTCTCAGCAAACTATCACAAGGACAAAAAAACCAAACACTGCATGTTCTCACTCATAGGTGGGAATTGAACAATGAGAATACATGGACATGGGAAGGGGAACATCACACTCCAGGGACTGTTGTGGGGTGGGGGGGGAGGGGGGAGGGATAGCATTAGGAGATATACCTAATGCTAAATGACGAGTTAATGGGTACAGCACACCAACATGGCACATGTGCACATGTATACATATGTAACAAACCTGCACATTGTGCACATGTACCCTAAAACTTAAACTATAATAATAATAAAATAAAATAAATTTACCAAAATAATAATACCAATACCAATGTGCTCTAGTTTTGTCAGATCATGAATGCATCATGCATCCCAATAAAAGATTATTGAACATAAAAAAAATCTGTTTACCTTATAACAGGACATAATTGGAAATTTTTGTTATATTATCAAGGTTTTTACTGGAATATCATATTTAGGAAATGTACCTAAGATCACTTATGACCAGCAATTTTAAGGAAGTAAGGTTGACTTTTATGCAGACAGTGCTTACAAAGCACTCTGAGAAATGAGAAAATTCTTCTTCAAAAATTATAAAAAGTCACAATTTCTTACTATGAGATTGCTATCCACTATTTATATGTGTGTGTGTGTGTGTGTGTGTGTGTGTGTGTGTCTTCCAAGTCAGTTGTCCTAGCTTGCTCCAGCATGCCTGGACAGAACTAGACAAGCCCCAGCCCATAGTGCATGCCATTCCTTATTTGGAGATGCTTCCTTAACTATCCCTGGGCAACTTCCTGTTCTTTCTTTGTTCTATTCCCCTTACCTAATTAATAAAGTTTTAAACTAATAGCCAACTGGGTAAAGTGTAAAATGTGAGGTCTTATTCCAGCCAATGGAAACTGCACACAGCAGTAGGGTAGACACATAAGGTTATAAGTAACTCTGTCTCCTTTGTTCGGTGTGTTCTTCTGGCTGGACAGCTATTGAGTAGCACCCTTTCTGCAGAAAGTAAAGCTCACCTTGCTAAGAGATCATTTGTTCCCATGTTAATTCTTTTTTTTTTTTCCTTTTTTGGAACATCAAAAACTTCATTCCCAACAGCACTCTGAGAAAAGCCAGCCTGATACCTAGATTACAGGGTTCACAGCCTTACAGGTTAGTAAGGAAGGTCATTTCCTGGTAGGCCCAGGAATTTAGGGATATTTTGGGGGCCTCAAGAAGAGAGGAATTCACACAAAGCTATAAGGACTGCAGCTGAAATTTGATAGTATGTTCTTAGCTTGGCTTTTAGCCTGAATAAGGCCTTTAAAAGTCAAATCTGAGATTCTATATGAAAACTTCCAGCAAAGAAACTTGAAAGCACCTATGTGGTCATCGCCTGTTCTTGCTGCAATTACATAAATAATCAAGCAAAATCTAATAAAACAAGACTTATTTTTAAAACAAGAATAGTCTTACTTTGATTATGATAAAAAATGATGGTTACTACCAAGAGAAATTTTATATTTCAAAGGAAAACTATAACATGGCCGGGCATGGTGGCACATGCCTATAATTCCAGCACTTTGGGAGGCCAGGAGTTCAAGACCAGCCTGGGCAACATGGTAAAACCCTGTTTCTACCAAAAATACAAAAATTAGTTGGGTATGATGGCATGTGCCTGTAGTCCCAGCTAATCAGGAAGCTGAGGAGGGAAGATCGTTTGCACCCAGGAGGTAGAGGTTGCAGTGAGCTGAGATTGCACCTTTGCACTCCAGCCTGGGTGACAGAGCCAGACCCTGTCTCAAAAAAAATGTTTTTAAAGGAAAACTACAGCCTTTGTGGGTTATCAGATTCTAGTCTTGTTTCTTGTTTCTGGGCTGTTTTTACCTCTTTGTAAACTAGATCCTGCCATCTGATGAATTCTGTCCCACAATGATACTTGGGGAGCAAGAAGCCAATTATTGTCTCTCCTACTAATGTATCTATTGTCAGTTAATTTGATGGTCACCAACCCTGGAACAAAGTTAGAAGAGGAAGGTTTTGCTCCCCAAAATGCATAACCAAATTGTGGTACATTCATGCAATGGAATGCTACTTAGCCATAGAAAGGAACAAGCTATCAACTCACACAAAGACATGAGCGACTCTTGCATGCACATTGCTAAGTGGAAGAAGACAGTGTGAGGAGCATACACACAGTGTGACCTCATTTAATGAGACACTGGAGAAGGCAAACTACACAGATGGGAAGCCATTGGCTCCATGGGGTGGGGGTTAGAAGCATTCCATATTATACTTATTAGTGGGATACCTGCCACAATGCATTTGTCAAAATATGCAGAATTTTACAGCCAAATGGTTAAAGAAAACTCTATTCAAATTAAATAAAATTACTCAGGATGTGGAGTATCTCAGGACAGAATACATCATGTGAAAAAGAATTTAACTATGCTACAAATTACTATCTTTTGGATGTGGCTTGTCCCCGCAAAAACTCATATTGAAATTTGACCCCCACTGTGTCAGTGTGGGGCGATGGGGCCTAGGGGAAGATGTTTGGGTCATGGTGATGGATCTCTCATGAATAGATTAATGTACTCCGATGGGGGTGAATGAGTTCTGCTCTCACAGGAATGGATTAATTCCTGCAGGAGTAGGTAGTTAAAAAGAGTCTGGCTTCCTTGGCTTCCCTCTTGCTTTCACTTTTGCTATGTGATCTCTGGTGCACCCCTTGCTCCCCTTCCACTTTCCACCATGAGGTGAAAAAGACTGAAGCCCCCCAGATGCAAGTGCCCAATCTCAGACATTCCAGCCACAAATATTGTGGGCCAAATGAACCTTTTTTACTTATAAATTACCCAGCCTCAGGTATTCTGTTACAGAAGCACGAAATGGACTAAGACACAAATGGAGGTAAAAACTCACTGAAGGTGTAGGGAAAATGATGTTGACCTAAGTCACTTTGAAAATGAATAGAATCTGTAGGCCGAAGGCAAATGAACTATACTTCATCATTGGATTCCATTTTATAAAGTTCTTTCCAGCAGAAGCAATTGTTAACAGTTGTAAAACCACAGTATCTGTATCTGGAATAAAACAATGACTTACATAAGTTGCAGATGGTAGGAACCAGATCTCTCACTGGTGAAGTGGGAGGTTACAAATTAGCAAGGTGAGAAGGCTAGAATGATTCATGTGATAGTAGATCAGAGGTGGAGACATCAACGTTATAGGAAAAGAAAGAGAGATCAGACTGTTACTGTGTCCATGTAGAAAGGGAAGACATAAGAAATTCCATTTTGATCTGTACCTTGAAAAATTTCTTTGCTGAGATGCTGTTAATTTGTAACTTTGCCCCAGCCACTTTGCCCCAACTTTGAGCTCACAAAAACATGTGTTATATGGAATCAAGGTTTAAGGGATCTAGGGCTGTGCAGGATGTGCCTTGTTAACAAAATATTTACAAGCAGTATGCTTGGTAAAACTCATTGCCATTCTCTAGTCTCAATAAACCAGGGGCACAATGCACTGCAAAAAGCCACAGGGACCTCTGCCCTGGAAAGCCGGGTATTGTCCAAGGTTTGTCCCCATGTGATAGTCTGAAATGTGGCCTCATGGGATAAGAAAGACTTGACCATCCCCCAGCCTGACACCCATAAAGGGTCTGTGCTGAGGTGGATTAGTAAAAGAGGAAAGCCTCTTGCAGTTGAGATAGAGGAAGGCCACCATTTCCTGCCTGCCCCTGGGAACTTGATGTCTCGGTATAAAACCCGATTGTACACCTGTTCAATTCTGAGATAGGAGGAAAACCACCCTATGGTGGGAGGTGAGACATGTTGGCAGCAATGCTGTCTAGTTATTCTTTACTCCACTGAAATGTTTGGGTGGACAGTAACATAAATCTGGCCTACATGCACATCCAGGCATAGTACCTACCCTTGAACTTAATTATGACATAGATTCTTTTGCTCACATGTTTTTTTGCTGACCTCCTCCTTATTATCACCCTGCTCTCCTACAGCATTCCTCTTGCTGAGATAATGAAAATAATAATCAATAAAAACTGAGGGAACTCAGAGACCGGTGCTGGTGCATGTCCTTGGTATGCTGAGAGCCAGTCCCCTGGCCCCACTTTTCTTTCTCTATACTTTGTCTCTGAGTCTTATTTTTTTTCTCAGTCTCTCATCCCATCTGACGAGATATACCCACAGGTGTGGAGGAGCAGGCCACCCCTTCATCTGCCACCCAATGTGGGTGCCTTTCTCTAGGATGAAGGTATGCTAAGAATGTGAGCATTGAGGACAGTCGAGAGATTCCTGAGTACATCCACCATCAGCCTTGCGGTAAGCTTGTGCGCTCAGAGAAACCCAGGGTAACAATGGGGCAAACTGAAAGTAAATATGCCTCTTATCTCAGCTTCATCAAAATTCTCTTAAGAAGAGGGGGAGTTAAAGCTTCTACAGAAAATCTAATTACACTATTTCAAACAATAGAACGATTCTGCCCATGGTTTCCAGAACAGGGAACTTTAGATTTAAAAGACTGGGAAAAATTGGCAAAGAATTAAGCAAGTAGGGAAGGTAAAACCATCCCACTTACAGTATGGAATGATTGGGCCATTATTTTTTATTTATTTATTTATTTATTTATTTATTTATTTATTTATTTATTTTGAGACAGAGTCTCGCTCTGTCGCCCAGGCTGGAGTGTAGTGGCGCGATCTCAGCTCACTGCAAGCTCTGCCTCCTGGGCTCACGCCATTCTCCTGCCTCAGCCTCCCGAGTAGCTGGGACTACAGGCGCCCGCTGCGATGCTGGGCCATTGTTAAAGCAACTTTAGAATGGTTTCAAGTAGAAGAAGACAGCATTTCAGTTTCTGCTGCCTCTGAAAGCTGTGTAATAGATTGTGAAGAGGCGGGGACAAAATCTAGGAAATGAATGGAAAGTTCATATTGTAAATATGTAGCAGAGCCGGTAATGGCTCGGTCAATGCAAAATGTTGACTACAATCAATTACAGGAGGTAATATATCCTGAAACATTAAAATTAAAAGGAAAAAGTCCAGAACCATCGGGGCCATTGGGGCTAAAAGCATGATGGCCACCTCCTCCTCAGCCCAGTGACTTCTGGGGGAGGGAGCCTGAAACTAGGCTTGCTGCGACTTGGCTCGAGGCACTCATTATTGTCCAACCTACAGTTCACTGTGGTGAAGGAGCAATTCAGACTCACCCTGCAGCTTCCTGTATAGGTCAAACAGTGGCCGCTCCCTAAGGAAAAGTTGGGGGTGCTACATAAAATAGTTAAAAAGCTATTTTATAAAGGACATGTTTCACCCACTTTCTGTCTTTAGAATTCTCCTGTTTTTGTAATTCAGAAAAAATCAGGCAGATGGCGCATGCTAACTGACTTAAGAGCCATTAATGCAGTAATTCAACCTATGAGGCCTCTCCAACCCGTGTTGCCCTCTCCAGCCACGATCTCCTTTAATTATAATTGATCTGAAGGATTGCTTTTTTACCATTTCTCTGGCAAAACAGGATTTTGAAAAATTTGCTTTTACTATACCAGCCATAAATAATAAAGAACCAGCCACCAGATTTCAGTGGAAAGTGTTGCCTCAGGGAATGCTTAATAGTCCAATTATTTGTCAGACTTTTGTAGCTCAAGTTCTTCAACCAGTTAGAGACAAGTTTTCAGACTGTTATGTCATTCATTATGTTGATATTTTGTGTGCTGCAGAAACAAGAGGCAAATTAATTGACTGTTACACATTTCTGCAGAGGTTGCAAACGCAGATTCAGACCTCTACTCCTTTTCATTATTTGGGAATGCAAGTAGAGGAAAGAAAAATTAAACCACAACAAATAGAAATAAGAAAAGACACATTAAGAACATTAAATGACTTTCAAAAATTGCTAGGAGATATTAATTGGATTCGGCCAACTCTAGGCATCCCTACTTATGCCATGTCGAATTTGTTCTCTATCTTGAGAGGGTATCCAGACTTGAATAGTAAAAGAACATTAACTCCAGAGGCAGCTAAGGAAATTGAATTAGTTGAAGAAAAAATTCCGTCAGCACAAGTAAATAGAATAGATCACTTAGCCCCACTCCAACTTTTGATTTTTGCTACTGTACATTCTCCAACAGGCATTATTGTTCAAAATACAGATCTTGTGGAGTGGTCATTCTTTCCTCACAGTACAATTAAGACTTTTACATTGTACTTAGATCAAATGGCTACATTAATTGGTCAGGGAAGACTACGAATAGTAAAATTGTGTGGAAGTGACCCAGATAAAATCATTGTTCCTTTAAACAAGGAACAGGTTAGACAAGCCTTTATCAATTCTGCTGCATGGCAGATTGGTCTTGCTGCTTTTGTGGGAATTGTTGATCATCATTACCCAAGAACAAAAATCTTCCAGTTTTCAAAATTGACTACTTGGATTTTACCTAAAATTACCAGACATAAACCTTTAGAAAATGCTCTGATGGTGTTTACTGATGGTTCCAGCAATGGAAAAATGGCTTACCCCAGGCCAAAAGAATGAATCATTGAAACTCAATATCACTCAGCTCAAAGAGCAGAATTGGTTGCTGTTATTTCAGTGTTACAAGATTTTAATCAGCCTATTAACATTGTTTCAGATTCTGCATATGTAGTACAGGCTACAAAGGATGTTGAGACAGCCCTAATCAAATGTAGTATGGATGATCAGTTGAATCAGCTGTTTAATTTTTTACAATAAACTGTAAGAAAAAGAAATTTCCCATTTTATATTACTCATATTCAAGCACATACTAATTTACCAGGGCCTTAACTAAGGGAAATGAACAAGCTGACTTGCTAGTATCATCTGCCTTCATGGAAGCACAAGAACGTCATGCTCTGACTCATGTAAATGCAACAGGATTAAAAAATAAATTTGATATCACATGGAAACAGGCAAAAAATATTGTACAACATTGTACTGAGTGTCAAGTCCTACACCTGCCCACTCAGGAGGCAGGACTTAATCCCAGAGGTTTATGTCCTAATGCATTATGGCAAATGGATGTCACACATGTACCTTCATTTGGAAAATTGTCATTTGTCCATGTGATGGTTGATACTTGTTCACATTTCATATGGGCAACCTGCTAGACAGAAAATGTACTTCCCATGTTAAAAGACATTTATTATCTTGTTTTGCTGTCATGGGAGTTCCAGAAAAAATTAAAACAGATAATGGACCAGGCTACTATAGTAAAGCATTCCAAAAATTCTTAAATCAGTGGAAAATTACACATACAACAGGAATCCCTTATAATTCCCAAGGACAGGCCATAATTGAAAGAAATAATAGGACACTCAAAGCTCAATTTGTTAAACAAAAAAGGAAAAAGAGAGTAAGGAGTATAACACTCCCCAGATGCAACTTAATCTAGCACTCTATACTTTAATTTTTTTAAACATTTATAGAAATAAGACCACTACTTCTGCAGAACAACATTTTACTGGTAAAAAGAACAGCCCACATGAGGGAAAACTGATTTGGTGGAAAGATCAAAAATAAGACATGAGAAATAGGTAAGGTGATAACATGTGGGAGAGGTTTTGCTTGTGTTTCACCAGGAGAAAATCAGCTTCCTGTTTGGATACCCACTAGACATTTGAAATTCTACAATGAACCCATCAGAGATGCAAAGAAAAGTGCCTCCGTGGAGATGGAAAACCCGCAATGGAGCACCATCGACTCGCCAGGTGAACAAAATGGTGATATCAGAAGAACAGATGAAGTTGCCATCCACCAAGAAAGTGGAGCTGCTGACCTGGGCCCAGCTAAAGAAGCTGACACAGTTAGCTGAAAAAAAGCCTGAAGAATACAAGGTTAACACAAACTCCAGAGAATATGCTGCTTGCAGCTTTAATGATTGTACCAACGGTGGTAAGTCTCCCTATGTCTGCAGGAGCAGCTGCAGCTAATTATACTTACTTGGCCTATGTGCCTTTCCCACCCTTAATTCGGACAGTCACTTGGATAGATAATCCTATTGAAGTATATGTTAATAATAGTGCATGGGTACCAGGCCCCACAGATGACCGTGGCCCTGCCCAACCTGAAGAAGAAGGAATGATGATAAACATTTCCATTGGGTATCATTATCCTCCTATTTGCCTGGGGAAAGCACCAGGATGCTTAATACCTACAACCCAAAATTGGTTGGTAGAAGTACCTACTGTCAGTGCCATCAGCAGATTTACTTATCACATGGTAAGTGGAATGTCACTCAGGCCACAGATAAATAATTTACAGGATTTTTCTTATCAAAGATCATTACAATCTAGGCCTAAGGGGAAGCCTTGCCCCAAGGAAATTCCCAAAGAATCAAAAAGCCCAGAAGTCCTAGTTTGGGAAGAATGTGTGGCTGATACTGCAGTGGTACTACAAAACAATGAATTTGGAACTATTATAAACTGGGCTCCTTGAGGCCAATTATATCATAGTTGTGCAGGCCAGACTCAACCATGTTGACAGGTCCCATCCATCTGGCCCATTAATCTGGCCTATGAAAGGCTGGACCAGGTTTATAGTAGGTTAGAATCACTCTATCCATGGAAATGGGGTGTGTAAAACCCCCTTATATGCTAGTTGTAGGAAACAGAGTTATTAAACCAGATTCCCAAACTATAACCTGTGAAAATTGTAGATTGTTTACTTGCATTGATTCAACTTTGGATTGGCAACACTGTATTCTGCTAGTGAGGGCAAGAGAGGGCGTGGGGATCCCTGTGTCCATGGACCAACAGTGGGAGGGTTCCCCATCCATCCATATTTTAACAGAAGTATTAAAAGGAGTTCTAACTAGATCCAAAAGATTCATTTTTACTTTGATTGCAGTGATTATGGGTCTTATCACAGCTACTGCTGCGGCTGCTGGAATTGCTTTACACTCCTCTGTTCAAACTGCAGAATATGTGAATAATTGGCAAAAGAATTCCTCAAAATTGTGGAATTCTCATACCCAAATAGATCAAAAATTGGCAAACCAAATTAATGATCTTAGACAAACTGTAATTTGGATTGGAGATAGGCTCATGAGCTTGGAATACCTTTTTCAGTTACAGTGTGACTGGAATACATCAGATTTTTGTATTACACCTCGAGCTTATAATGAATCTGAACATCACTAGGACATGGTGAGATGCCATCTACAAGGAAGAGAAGATAATCTTACCTTAGAGATTTCAAAATTAAAAGAACAAATTTTTGAGGCATCAAAAGCCCAGTTAAATCTGGTACCAGAAACTGAGGCAATCATGAAAGCTGTTGATAGCCTCACAAATCTTAACCCTGCCACTTGGGTTGAAAACATTGGAAGTTCCACCATTGAAATTTTTGTATTAATCCTTGTATGTCCGTTCTCTCTGTTGTTAGTCTACAGGTGTATCCAGCAGCTCTGGAGAGACAGTGACCAGTGAGAATGGACCATGATGACCATGGCAGTTTTGTCAAAAAGAAAAGGGGGATATGTAGGGAAAAGAGAGATCAGACTGTTACTGTGTCTATGTAGAAAGGGAAGACATAAGAAATTCCATTTTGATCTGTACCTTGAAAAATTGTTTTGCTGAGATGCTGTTAATTTGTAACTTTGCCCCAGCCACTTTGCCCCAACTTTGAGCTCACAAAAACATGTGTTATATGGAATCAAGGTTTAAGAGATCTAGGGCTGGGCAGGATGTGCCTTGCTAACAAAATATTTACAAGCAGTATGCTTGGTAAAACTCATTGCCATTCTCTAGTCTCAATAAACCAGGGGCACAATGCACTGCAAAAAGCCACAGGGACCTCTGCCCTGGAAAGCCGGGTATTGTCCAAGGTTTGTCCCCATGTGATAGTCTGAAATGTGGCCACATGGGATGAGAAAGACCGGACTGTCCCCCAGCCTGACACCTGTAAAGGGTCTGTGCTGAGGTGGATTAGTAAAAGAGGAAAGCCACTTGCAGTTGAGATAGAGGAAGGCCACTGTTTCCTGCCTGCCCCTGGGAACTTAATGTCTCGGTATAAAACCCGATTGTACATATGTTCAATTCTGAGATAGGAGGAAAACTGCCCTATGGTGGGAGGCGAGACATGTTGGCAGCAATGCTGCCTCGTTATTCTTTACTCCACTGAGATGTTTGGGTGGGAAGAAACATAAATCTGGCCCACGTGTACATCCAGGCATAGTACCTCCCCTTGAACTTAATTATGATATAGATTCTTTTGCTCACGTGTTTTTTTGCTGACCTTCTCCTTATTATCACCCTGCTCTCCTACTGCATTCCTCTTGCTGAGATAATGAAAATAATAATCAATAAAAACTGAGGGAACTCAGAGACCGGTGCTGGTGCAGGTCCTTGGTATGCTGAGTGCAGGTCCCCTGGGCCCACTATTCTTTCTCTATAGTTTGTCTTGTATCTTATTTCTTTTCTCAGTCTCTCATCCCACCTGATGAGATATACCCACAGATGTGGAGGGCCAGGCCACCCCTTCAAACATAAACTTATGTTTAGTTTAATATAGATACACACAGTTCTACATAGAAAACTTTATAATCAGGTGTGTATAGGTAGGTTAGACACACACATATACTTCCTAGCATTGCTAATGAGGGACAAGATACAATGTGCTAATTCAACAGCCAGATGTAAGTTTTCCTACCATTCTGAAAGGAATCAGGCTCTTTGAAGAAATGTCTGATACTAGAACTGGGACAGTAAATATAGGAGCCAGGATAATCTTGAAGTATCAGAAAGTAAGTACTAAAAAAAATTAAAATATATCAAAGAAAAATAAGAGCCAATAATAACAGCTACCGAAGGCCAACACAGGAATGAATTGTGCAACACAATGCTGCAGTGTTGAATAATAACTGAAGCTTAAAGTAATTATCTAGGTGTCTGTATTTGTATACATAGGTGAATAAGCTAATGGAGTTGCATAGAAATCTCCTTTGCAAAAGAATTCCAAATAATTGATGTAGACACTCAGCCATCAGGAAGGTGGAGCCAACTCCTCACTCCATGAGTGTGGGCTCTGCATAGTGACTTGCTCCAAAAGAACACATGCAGTATGGACAAGGAGGAAAAATAACTTCACAGTGGAGAAACCTGACAAACAGTAGCTCTGCCAAATGATCCAAGTGAACATCAAAAATGACAGTTTACCTTGAGAACATGAAGTGAAAATGGGGGACATTCTACAAAATTCCTGACCAATCCTCCTCAGTACTGTCAAGGTCATCATGAGATGGAAAGCCTGACACACTGTCACAGCCAGGAAGAGCCTATGTGATGACTACATGTCGTGCGGGATCCTGGATGGGATCCTGGGTCAGAGTAAGACAGACCTAAGGGAGTCCAAATGAAATGTGAACTTTAGTTAATAATAGTCTATCAGTATTGGTTCATTAACTGTGACAAATTATGTAAGATATTAATAAGCCATGTGAGACACACTGATAGAAGATGTTAATGAGAGGAAACTAGGTTGTGGCTACATGGGAAATCTCTGCTTTTTTTTTTTTTTTTTGGTAATTTCTGTGTAAGTAAAAAAAAAAGATGTAAAATAAAACTTTATTTAAAACCTTTTTATATTTTTTAATGCTTCCTTGCTTAATTATTTATACCGTGAATTACTAGTAATTGACACTGTTAACTAGTCCTGTTTTTTTAAATAAGAGCATTTATGACACAAAAAATTAAACAGTGCAGACTGATATATAAATCAAAACAAACGCTCTGTATATGTTTTCTGTTACAGTAGTAACACATATGTGTAAACTTAATTATCGTATTTTTGTCTTGTGCTATGGTTGTGTCCTGGTTCATTCTCTAAAATGCTGATCACCTTAGACCAGGAAAAAAAATAAACTTACAGGATCTGTTTCAATTCATGGCTAAATATTTTCAAAAGAGTGACTGTAAAAATATGTTCCAATGGCAAATTGATTCATTGTGATGGGATCACTTATTCTAAAGACTTCTTGTCTTTACTTTGTTCCCATGCCTACCTTTTAGCCATAATACAACAGAATCAAATATTGGCCATTGGGAAAAAATATTCAAAGAAAGAAAGAATGTGAACAGAACTTACAACCATGATGATTCAATGTTTTACCACAATGCTTTCTAAAAATAAGAGTGTAAAAGGATATTCAAAGTCAATTTCCTCAGCGAGGCTTTGCAGAAAATGAGGAAACTAAAGAAACAAAAATGGCAGGACGTTCTACGGGTGATTTTAGATGTTGCTATGTTTTATGGGAAAAAAATACTTTACCTTTTAAAGAATCACTAAGAATTATTGGAAACCCAAACTCTGGAATGTTTGCAAATTTAGTTGAGCTTCTGTGTAATTATGTCTATGTAGCTAGGCATGAAGTTGATGATTTTTTAAAAATCTTTGCCTTATTTGTGTAATAAAATACACAATAAATAATTAATGCTCATAGGAAAACATGTTAGACCTTGTGAAGGGAAAATAAATCTTGGGGACCCAAAATCGCTAAGCTAAAGGGAAAAGTCAAGCTGGGAACTGCTTAGGGCAAATCTGCCTCCCATTCTATCCAAAGTCACCCATCTGCTCACCGAGACAAATGCATATCTGATTGCCTCATTTGGAGAGGGTAATCAGCAAAGCAAAAGAATGAAACCATTTGTCTCTTACCTACTTATGACCTGGAAGCCCCCTGTCTGGCCTTCTCACCTTTCTGGACTGAACCAATGTACATCTTGCACATATTGATTGATGTCTCATGTCTCCCTAAAGTGTATAAAACCAAGCTGTGCCTCGACCACCTTGGGCCCATGTTGTCAGGACTTCCTGAGGAGGCATCATGGGGGCGCATCCTCAAACTTGGCAAGTAAACTTTCTAAAAAATCCGAGAGCTGTTTCAGATTTTCAGGGTTCATACATGTAATATAGTATGTCAATGTTTATAAAACAGACATTATTCTGTCTACTATTACAACTATGCTGCCAATTAACCTTAGACTTTCTCAACAAAATAAAAAATGATGAGGTACCAACAATATATTTAAACTTAAATAATGTTGCAAGTTTTAATATGCCTACTTTTCAATTTTTCAATACTATTTTTACTACTTTAACACTGTAAGAAAAATGAGCAACTAAAACATGAATAAAAGTGTTTACAGGGGGTGCACATGTTTCCTCCAGCCTCTGCCCATCCCCAGCTTTCATCCCAACTCTTCTGATGGTGGCTCTAAGCATTTCCCCTGTCTCTATACCAAGATCTCTCCCCAGAAACAAGCCCAAATCTTACCATATGTTATGGCACGCTATGGTGATGAGAAGCGATGAGCAGCCGAAGCCTCAAGGAAAGGATGCTTTTGTAAAACAAGACTTGTAGAATAAAACATGTGAAAGTAAAGCCCATGGCAGAGCTCCCTCCTCAGCACATGGGGAGCAGACAGGAAGCTTTTGCCTCACCTTCCTCAATGGCCAGCAGCCACGTCTGCCCAGGTCAGTCTTAAGGACAATGAAACTCTGGTCTTCACTGTAGACATGCTACACTACCAGGTGCTCCAAAGCCATGGTGACCCACCCTCGGGTGGGTCCTGAGGAGAACAAAGCTCTGGTTCTAATCCTAACCCTAACCCTGTCCCAAGACTTTGACCCTGAACCTAAACACTGATCCCTACCCTGGGCCCCAATTCTCACCCTTACTTTGACCCTGATTTTGATCTTGACCCTGACCTTGACCCCACCTCTAACCATATTTCTGGCCCTGACTCTGACCCAGATCCTAATCCTAACCCTAACCCTAACCCTATTATTATCTTTACGATCTATCTCTAATCTTACCCTCTAGTGCTAAATAGCTGTATCCAACAGCACTTTTAAACTGTTTAACTTCTTTTCCTTGAATTCTCTAAGGATATCCTAAAGGAGATGTCATTATGTATTTTGCATTCCCTCTGAGTGGTATGGCTTCAGATATGCAGTTCTAATACTTTGCAAGACATAAAAAGTTTGGAGGGAAATAGCACCGGGTTGTTAGGGATGCATGTTTGCATTCATGATAGTCATTGGTGCTGTTCTCCAAATATTTTCAGTTCATTTGTTTGTGAATGCATTCTGACTGTTCCATCCCACCTACTTAAATTTTCCCATGGCCACATGACTTTTTTGTTTGTTTGTTTGTTTTTTGCCAACGGAGGTGAGAAGAAATAACATGTGACTTTTTCAGAAGAAATCTCCAAGAAACAGAGTTCTATTCCGCATGCTTTTTTCTTTTTTCTATAGCAATGGGGATCTTATTGATGGTCCCTCCTTCCGTCTGGATTCCTGTGTTAGGATGACACAGCACAGAGCTACCTCACATCTGACCCATGATGAGATGTAAATAAATGAGGAAAAAGATTTTTGAACCACTGAAATTTGGAGGTTGTTTGTCACCACAGTTTAACCTAGCCCCCATTGACTGATGCAGGGCTGAAGAATGAGTCTGAACTGGATCTGGACAAGACATGTGAAGAGCACTGCAGGCTGAGTAAAACTCAAGTGTTGTCTCAAAGATAACAGTGAGCACAATATGTTATTAGGGTGAGTGTGGGATAAATAAGGTATATCAGGTGAGAATAATGAGAAACTCAACTTCAAAAGATGGTGCTGATTTGGACTGTGGAGAGATTCAAATGCCCTGCTTAGCATTTGAGATTGTGATGGTTGAACAAACTAATTAAGAGCCCAAAATGAAGGCTTGGGATAAATATCTGAGGGTGTCTAATATCCCAATTTTTCATCCTAGAGTGGGCAGAGTCCTTGATCCCATTCTAGGGAGACTTCCAAAAGAAAAAAGACCTGCATTTCTTCAACAACCCACATTGAGAGACTTTCCTGCACTTTTGACCTATGGTTAACACTCCTCACCTTTCATTCTGTCATCAGTGTTTTGGGGAAACACCTTTAACTCTCTATGATTTACAGGTTATGAAGTGGCCCTTATAATTCCTTCCAGGGGTGGAAAAGACTAATGATGATGGTGTCTGAGCTCACAGCCACAAGCGGGCATGTGTGTTCAGCAGCCATGTGGCTCATGTGCTAGGAGCTTACTAAATACAATGTTCTACATCATTGCTTAACACAAGGGGAGATGCTCCTGACTCAGAGGGTTTAATTGCTCACCTGCTTCTTTTTCTGCCCTCTTGGGCTCCTAAAATGAAAAGAATCCTGGGGTGATAAAGTGAGTCAAAGGGGTGCCAGCCACATCACAGCAAAATAGATTCCTAAAAAAATCCCTGGCCTAAGATGACAGCCTTGGCTGGATAAGTTTGAATGTGCTGATAGTGGACATGGTAGAATGAAGGTGGTTGAAATGTTCATATTAAAGAACTTCTACCCAGATTGCAAGAAAAGAGAGAGGAATGGAGATGGCAGCATGATTCCCTATAATAAAAGCAGATGATTTAAGATCAGTTATCTTTGTTCTGAAAAAAATAAAGACAGAAACAAAAGTTTAGCCTGAGGCTACAATTAATTGGGCAATAAGTGAGAGGCACATATGGCATAGACAGATTTAAACATTTCTCCCTTATATTAATACAAATACTAAAATTACAAATAAATTGATTCCAAATAAAACAAATATTTAAAAAACTTAATGAATAAACACCGGAGTCTACAGTAGTGTTCGAAGGAGATCTCACAAACAAGTTTGGTTTTTGAAGGTTAGAACTGATGGTCTAGAGAATTCATATCATTCCAGAGAGAGAAAGAGAGGAATTTTTTAAAAAGAACACTTGCAGTGTTTGAAGTGACAAAGGCTGCTGTGACAAAAAGGAAGGGAAAGGGAATTTTTTTTAAAAAAGCAAGCAACAACAACAAAACCCCACAAAAAAGCAGACAACAAACAAACAAAAAACAGAGGAAGAAGTCAAAACATGCTGGGCTGTGACTACTTCCAGGAAGGGGCTACAAGAGGCAGCTGGAAATTCTATTTGCTTTGCAACTGTGAGTTTTCCGGCCTGCTTCCTTTCTAAAGTATATTACTTTGTTTTTGGTTCATGAAGTTATCCATTTCTGTTTTCTGGAACAGCTATGTATTTTCTTTATCTATCATCTATCTACCTGCCTATCATCTATCTATCTATTTACTATCTATCTTTTCTACCTTTCACTATCAAGAGCTTGGGTCAAGCAGGATAGAATTCCAGTGTATGTTCACTCTACCATTTAAAACAAGAGCTCTTGTAGGCATTCTCCAACACATCATAAACCTGAGCTTTCTAAAACAGGGTGTGGCAAACTACCATTCATGGGCCATGTCTGACATAGTCTGCGTTTGTAAGAAAAGTTGTAATGGGACACAGCCACATACATGTGTTACATAATGTCTCTGGCTACTTTCATGGTATAACGGAAGAGCTGAGTCATTGAGAGAGGGACCACATGGCTTGGAAAACTTAAAATATTTAACATTTAGCCCTTCGCAGAAAATATTTGCTGACTCTTGTTTTTAAAGATCTCTGTTTAGAATGCTAACTATTGCCTTCTGGATAGAATCACAACTCTTTACCACAATCAACACAGCTTCAACCCTGCTTCTATATCCAGCCTCATCTATTATTTCCGCTCCTCCTCCTTATTTTCCTTCTGGCCATGCTGATGGATTGCCAGCTTCCCAGATGTGCAAGAATCTCTCCTCCCTTCCCGACATTCTCATGCTCTCCCTCTGCCTCTCAAGAACTTCCTGTCCCATCTCTCATGACGAATCTCTTCTTCATTCTTTAAGATGCAGCTCCTTTGCTCCTTCCTTAAAGATGTCTGTCTGGCTCTATTTTGGGTGACATGCTCCTTCTGCATCTCCCAGAGCCAGCCTGTGTGTGTCAGCTACAGCATTTATTTGCATCTCTGTGTCATATATCACCAAATCTGCCTAAGCTTGCGTGAGTCACTGCATGACAACTTCAGCCTCCACCAGCATTGTCCCCACTAACCATGAGGCTTAGATATTTGTCCAGTATGCTCGGGGTTGTGGAGTGGTAGCAGTAACCAACTGGTGAGCATCATTTCTTACATCAGAATCAAATCTGTAGATCTCTGCAATTCATAAGTATTTGGAGTTTAAAATTAGCATAAAGATTTTCTTTAAAATAAGAACAAATGGCTTGAGTAGGCTTTTGGAATGTATAATACTTCTGCTGGCTCCTTTCAGTGTTCAGTATTCCCACATGAATCTAAACACAACTCTGCTCTTAGTAGCTGTGTGACCCTGGGAAAGTCACTCAATCTCCCTCAGCTAAATTTTGTTGTGTGAGTAATGAGAAGAGAGTTGTGATTTGTATTTAGTGAGTAATAACAAACAAAAGGCATTTAGCTTTCTGGAACCTGGTATGTAGTAGATCCTCATGAAATACTAACTCTGTTGATAAAACTAGACTGAAAGAAGCTTTCAAAGTCAACAGCAGTATCATGCAGGGAAGGATGTAGATGAGAAGCTGCTGCTGCTGCTGCTGCAGCCTACAGCTCCTGGAGGCCCGTTTTGTCCATGATTTAGCAGGAATGCACTACCTTTCCATGAGGAGACACTGCCCACAGAAACCAAGGCCATTCTTTGAAGACAAACATGTTTTAATAGCCTTTACATTATGTAATAGTGTAATATAAATAATAATTTATTTACATTATTCTGTTATAACTTTTGTACAGAGCTTTACACCTAGATATTCTGAAGTTGGTGGTCTGTGAGTGGCATCAAGTGGTGAGTGACACACTCTGACCTTGGGTAGAACAACACAAGCATTCTTATACACCAATAACAGACAAACAGAGAGCCAAATCATGAGTGAACTCCCATTCACAATTGCTTCAAAGAGAATAAAATACCTAGGAATCAAACTTACAAGGGATGTGAAGGACTTCTTCAAGGAGAACTACAAACCACTGCTCGATGAAATAAAAGAGGACACAAACAAATGGAACAACATTCCATGCTCATGGATAGGAAGAATCAATATCATGAAAATGGCCATACTGCCCAAGGTAATTTATAGATTCAATGCCATTTGCATCAAGCTACCAATGAATTTCTTTGCAGAATTGGAAAAAACTACTTTAAAGTTCATATGGAACCAAAAAAGAGTCTGCATTGCCAAGACAATCCTAAGCCAAAAGAACAAACCTGGAGGCATCACACTACCTGAATTCGAACTATACTACAAGGCTACAGTAACAAAAACAGATTGGCATTGGTACCAAAACAGAGATATACACCAATGGAACAGAGCAGAGCCATCAGAAATAATACCACACATCTACAACCATCTGATCTTTGAGAAACCTGACAAAAACAAGCAATGGGGAAAGGATTCCCTATTTAATAAATGGTGCTTGGAAAACTGGCTAGCCATACATAGAAAGCTGAAACTGGATCCCTTCCTTACACTTTATACAAAAATTAATTCAAGATGGATTAAAGACTTACATGTTAGACCTAAAACCATAAAAACCCTAGAAGAAAACCTAGGCAATACCATTCAGGACATAGGCATGGGCAAGGACTTCATGCCTAAAACACCGAAAGCAATGGCAACAAAAGCCAAAATGCACAAATGGGATCTAATTAAACTAAAGAGCTTCTGCACAGAAAAAGAAACTACCATCAGAGTGAACAGGCAACCTACAGAATGGGAGAAAATTTTTGCAATCTACCCATCTGACAAAGGACTAATATCCAGAATCTACAAAGAACTCAAATTTATAAGAAATAAAACAAACAACCTCATCAAGAAGTGGGCAAAGGATATGAACAGACACTTCTCAAAAGAAGGCATTTTGTGCAGCCAACAGACACGTGAAAAAATGCTCATCACTGGCCATCAGAGAAATGCAAATCAAAACCACAATGAGATACCATCTCACACCAGTTAGAATGGCGATCATTAAAAAGTCAGGAAACAACAAGTGCTGGAGAGGATGTGGAGAAATAGGAACACTTTTACACTGTTGGTGGGACTGTAAACTAGTTCAACCATTGTAGAAGATGGTATGGTGATTCCTCAAGGATCTAGAACTAGAAATACCATTTGATCCAGCCATCCCATTACTTGGTATATACCCAAAGGATTATAAATCATGCTGCTATAAAGACACATGCACACGTATGTTTATCGCAGTGCTATTCACAACAGCAAAGACTTGGAACCAACCCAAATGTCCATCAATGATAGACTGGATTAAGAAAATGTGGTACATATACACCATGGAATACTGTGCAGCCATAAAAAAGGATGAGTTCATTTCCTTTGTAGGGGCATGGATGAAGCTGGAAACCATCATTCTCAGCAAACTATCACAAGCACAAGAAACCAAACACTGCATGTTCTCACTCATAGGTGGGAATTGAACAATGAGAACACTTGGACACAGGAAGGGGAACATCACACACCGGGGCCTGTTGTGGGGTGGAGGAAGGGGGGAGGGAAAGCATTAGGAGATATACCTAATGTAAATGACGAGGTAATGGGTGTAGCACACCAACATGGCACATGTATACATATGTAACAAACCTGCACGTTGTGCACATGTACCCTAGAACTTAAAGTATAATAATAAAAAAAAGAGTGAAAAAAATAAAGAAGCCCATGAGAAAGATCTCCATCAAGTTCACGCGGAATGAACTCCAGCAAGACCTGGAAAATGCTCAGTTCCACAAAATATCTGCGTCCAAATACTTTGAGTGCACAGCTCTGGCATCAGGTTACTGTGAGGACAGACCCTGAGATGGATTTCTGGATGGAGGCTGCTGCTGGAGGAGACAATGTCACTGCAGATGGCTCATGCTGCTCCCATGCTGCAGGGGCCAGTGATTTGGGGCTCCCACCTGCTGTCCCGTTGGGGAACTGCGGAGATTCACCCCAGCTGGGTGGACTCTGCTGTGTCTCCTGTCAAGAATCTCCTCAGCTTACCTTGGTTTTTCCTTTTTAAATACTCTCTGGTGTTTTCCTCTCCAGTGGGGGCTGCATCTCACCTTAGAAGAAAAGATTTTCCAACTAGGGGCTGTCTTGGTAGCTGGTCCAGAAGAAGGTCTCCTCTCTCTGGAGTGAGGTCCAGCCAAGTAACTCCAGCCAGAACTCTCACTGAGTGCGGCTGGATCTGCCCTGCTCTCCTCCCATCCTCCTGTGGACTGTGGAAACCCATCCATGCCCTATGCAAAGTCCTGCATCTCAGACTGTAAAATGGCAGAAGCTGAATTTAAAATAAATGATTATATTGACTCTATGAGGGAAACAGAGTTCTGAGGTAGGCAATTGGTAAGCAAGCAATTATGTGTAACTTGTTAGAACACTAGGGTGTTTTTTGTCTTACTGATTATTTTCTGGTTAACAGGCTGGCTAGGAGCCAGAGGGAGAGAAAGCTGGCTGGGAATTGAGAGGCATGAAGTCACCTCAGTCCCAACATTTCCATGTAAATGATGATGCGAGATGGGCTGGTGGCAGGAGTCCCTGGAAATCCTCACAATCTCAGCTTTTAACTTCTGTAAAATATTATGTCATTTATGATCTCTTTAACAAATAACTTTTTTTCTAATTATAAAAGTGTATATTCTCTTTGGAGGATCTTTGGTGAATATAAAATGAGTTATAAGAAAAAGAAAAATTCATAATTTTATCACTCAAATTTTGATAATTATATTCCTGCACTTTTAATGAAATGTAGA
Organism: Homo sapiens; assembly: GCF_000001405.40. Classification (NCBI taxonomy): domain Eukaryota; kingdom Metazoa; phylum Chordata; class Mammalia; order Primates; family Hominidae; genus Homo; species Homo sapiens. Next base: position 190,096,070 of record NC_000004.12, on the reverse strand, counting down.
AATTTTAGATTATACTGTACATAAAATGTTTCTGTTTTTTCATCCAATATTGGATCATAAACGTCTTACATGGCATAAACTATATATGTAAATCAACTATTTCCACACCTGGATGCTTGATTTAACCCTCCTTATACTGTTAGCCATTTAAATGATTTCTACTTTATCCTATGAATAACACTTCCACCAGTTATTATTCTTATATATAACTCATTCAATCATTTCATAATCTTGTTGAGCATTTATTTATAATTTGGTTGCCTATTACCTGAGTGGATTGTGGTTATATGTTTATATGCTTATTCCAAATATAGTGCTAAGATTAGCATTAGAGACAACAAAATATTTACAGGTTTTGAAACTAGAAGGAGCCAAACAAATCCATGATCCAGCTCTGCATACTCTCACCCAGCCTTAGTTCTCTCACACAGAAAGTGAAGACAGTGCTATTTGCCTTGTGGCATTGCTGTGAACTTAAAGAAGGCACCGATTGTACACACAGCAGTGCGCAGACCGTGGAAGGCTGGGCTCCGACCAACTCTAAGGACAATCACCATCGGATGCCCCACGATCCTACTCTCAGGATGCCCATATGCCATATGCCATGTGAGTGTCACTCAGTGAACACATATTTGTTGATTATAAATTACTCCCATGCTGTTTTCTTTGTTTTACATGTTCACAAATCTGTAAAAACAAAGTTACAATTATGAAATTAAAAGTTAACTAAAGGAGGAGATTTTCATTATCTCTGAAATGTAACCCCCCAAATCCAGATTATAAAGCAAGGAAATGTCTTATGGCCCAACACTTGCCATCAATACTTTTTTTATGTTAGTGGGCAGGGGAGGGTAGTGAAAATGAAGGAATCAGAGCTCCGATGGGTGCACATTGTCTTCCCTACAAATCCATTGCTTGTCCAGCCTTCCTTCCTCATTGGGGCTGCTCTATCCTTTTCCACACATTTGAACTGCTCCCCTGTAGGCCTTTCTCATTTGCTTTACTTCCTAGTCTGAATTCCATGGGACCCACATTTAAGGAGAGGGGAACAACTCTGGGACTGGAGGAAGATCACCTTATGAGTTATACCTGCCTCCTTCCTCTACAGTGAACGGTCTCTGGTGTCCCTGGGTGTTCAGTTTCTTTCCACTCATGTGTTACTGACTGTTCAGGTGGCAAATGGCCCATGACCTTTATGGGATTAAAAAGAAAAAAAATAAAAAGCTGTGTTTCTTTTTTTTTAACTTTTATTTTAGGTTAGGGGGTACACGGGAGGGTTTGTTATACAGTTAAATACGTGTCACAGGGGTTTGTTGTACCTGTTATTTCATCATCCAGGTATTAGGCCCAGTATCCAATAGTTATCTTTTCTGCTCCTCTCCCTCCTCCCACCCTCCCCCCATCAAGTAGACCCCAGTGTCTTTTGTTTCCTTCTTTGTGTTCACAAGTTCTTATCATTTAGCTCCCACTTATAAGTTAGAACATGCTGTATTTGGTTTTCTGTTCCTGCGTTAGTTTGCTAAGGATAATACCCTTCAGCTTCATCCATACTAATGCAAAAGACATAATCTCATTCTTTTTTATGGCTGCATATTATTCCATGGTGTATATGTAGCACATTTTCTTTATCCAATCCGTGACTGATGAGTATTTGGGTTGATTCTATGTCTTTGCTATTGTGAATAGTGCTGCAATGAACATTTGCATGCATGTAACTTCATGGTAGAATGATTTATATTCATCTGGGTATATAACCAGTAATGGGATTGCTAGGTCAAATGTTGTAGTTCTGCTTTTAGCTCTTTGAGGAATCACCATACTGCTTTCCACCACAGTTGAATTAACTTACACTCCCACCAATGGTGTATACATGTTCACTTTTCCCTGCAATCTTGCCAACTTCTGTTAGTTTTTTAGTTTTTAGTAATAGCCATTCTGACTGGTGTGAGATGGTGCCTCACTGTGGTTTTGATGAGCATTTCTCTAGTGATCAGTGATCTAGAGCTTTTTTCCATATGTTTGTTTGCCACGTTTGCCTTTTTTTTTTTTTTTTTTCTTAGCCCGAGTCTCGCTCTGTCACCCAGGCCAGAGTGCAGTGGTGCGATCTCAGCTAACTGCAAGCTCTGCCTCCTTGGTTCACGCCATTCTCCTGCCTCAGCCTCCCAAGTAGCTGGGACTACAGGTGCCTGCCACCACACCCGGCTAATTTTTTGTATTTTTAGTAGAGACGGGGTTTCACCATGTTAGTCAGGATGGTCTCAATCTCCTGACGTTGTGATCCACCCTCCTTGGCCTCCCAAAATGCAGGAATTACAGGCGTGAGCCACCACGCCCGGCACACATGTTTGTCTCCTTTGGAGAAGTGTCTCTTTATGTCCTTGGCCCACTTTTTAATGGGGTTGTTTTTCTCTTGTAAATTTGTTTAAGTTCCTTATAGATGCTGGATATTAGACCTTTGTCAGATGCATAGTTTGTAAATACTTTCTCCCAATCTGCAAGTTGCCTGTTTACTTTGTTGATAGTTTCTTTTGCTGTGTAGAAGCTCTTTAGTTTAACTAGATCCCACGTCAATTTTTGCTTTCATTGCTATTGCTTTTGTTGTCTTTGTCATGAAATCTTTGCCTGTCCTTATGTCCAGGATGGTATTGCCTAGGTTGTCTTCCAGGGTTTTTATATTTTTGGGTTTTACACTTAAGTCTTTAATCCATCCTGAGTTCATTTTTGTGTATGGTGTAAGAAAGGGGCCCAGTTCAATCTTCAGCATGTGGCTAGCCAGTTATCCCAGCACCATTTATTGAACGGAGTCTCGAGTCCCGGTCTTTTGTCCCGGAGGAAACCGCCCACTCCCTGGGCCCCGGAACCGGGGCGAATGGGTGGTGCCCCGCCGGCCGGCGCGGCGGCTGTGGGCCCAGCCCTCAGCCCGCGCCGGACGCTGACCGTTTTCCCGGAGGGCGGGGGTCCCGCTACTCCCGGAGGCCGAGGACCGCTTTTCCTCCCTGCCTTCCTCCCCCCGTCCGTCCCCGGCTCCCTCCCGCCCGCCCCCAGTCCCTGCGTCGCTCTGTCTCTCCCTCCGTTCCTCCCTGCCTCCCTGCCTCCCTGCCTCCCTCCTAACGTCCCTCCGCCCGTCCTTCCGCCCCTCTAGGTCTCCCGTTCCTCTCTCCATCTCTGCCCGCCTTCCCTCCCGCCTGGAACGCTCAGCGTCCCCGGTGTGCGCCGGGCCTGGGGTCTGCGTTCCGCCGCCAGGCGCTCCGTGCTGGCAGCTGGGCGGCTGCAGGGGCCCGGGCGGGCGGGCGACGGTGGCGCGGGGGCGCAGAGGAGGCGAGCCGCCGGAGCGGTGTCAGGCCCGGACGCTGCGCGGGGCCCGGTGTTTCGCGGGACGGGGGTCTCCACCCAGCCCAGGGGACGACGCGTTTTCCGGGGGTGGGGGGTGGGGGTGGGGAGGGGGCGGTCAGGCGGCGGGGTGGGCTGGTGGAGAGGCAGGAGAGCTCTGCCCGGGCTGCTCCCACAGCCCAGGCGGCTGCCCGCAAACCCGCGCGTGCGCAGTAGGCGGCCCACCTGCTGGTACCTGGGCCGGCTCTGGGATCCCCGGGATGCCCAGGAAAGAATGGCAGTTCTCCGCGGTGTGGAGTCTCTCACCGGGCCTGGACCTAGAAGGCAGGAATCCCAGGCCGGTCAGCCCGGTGGAGGGGGCGGGGCGGAGACACGCCCCTCCGTAGCCAGCCAGGTGTTCCCCGCGAAAGAGAGGCCACCGCCCTGCCCCGAACCACCCGACCCCGTCCCAACCCCGCGTCCTAAAGCTCCTCCAGCAGAGCCCGGTATTCTTCCTCGCTGAGGGGTGCTTCCAGCGAGGCGGCCTCTTCCGAGGCCTCCAGCTCCCCCGGGGCCTCCGTTTCTAGGAGAGGTTGCGCCTGCTGCAGAAACTCCGGGCTCGCCAGGAGCTCATCCAGCAGCAGGCCGCAGGGGAGTGCAGACCAGGGCGCCGGCTCCTGGAGCGCCTGGGAGGGCGCCGGGATGCCTTGCATCTGCCCCTGCCGCGCGGAGGCGGAGGCGTCCGGGGGCGCGGGCTGGGGAGGTGGAGCTGCCCCGGCTTGGGGTTCCCACGCCGCCCCGGCGACCTGGGGACCCCGGCCCCAGCCCCACCACGGACTCCCCTGGGACGTGGGTGGCGCAAGCACCCCTTGGCCCTGCGGCCCCGCTTGAGCGGGCCCAGGCTGTGCCACCGCGCAGGGGCCCGGCAGGCCGTCGCGCTGCGGGTCCCGGTCCTCCCGGCTTTTGCCCGGGTGCGGAGGCCACCGAGGAGCCTGAGGGTGGGAGAGCGCCCCGTCCGGAGGAGCCGGGGCGGCGTAGGCGAAATCCCCGCGCGCCGGGGCAGGTTGGGAGACCCCCTCTGCCGGCGCGGCCTGGCTGGGCTGCAGCGCGGGGGCGGCCCTCGCTGCCTGGCTCACGAAAGCCCCCTGTGGGAGAGCCCCAGGCGCGCAGGGCACGTGGGGTGCGGGAAGCCCCGTTCCCCACGCGCCGGTGTGGGCGAAGGCGACCCACGAGGGAGCAGGGTGACCCCCGCCGGGGGCCGCGCTGCACAGGCCGCCTGCCTGCGCGGGCGCCCTGCCACCCTGTCCCGGGTGCCTGGCCCTTCGATTCTGAAACCAGATCTGAATCCTGGACTCCGGGAGGCCCGTCTCTCTGGCCAGCTCCTCCCGGGCGGCGATGCCTGGAAAGCGATCCTTCTCAAAGGCTCGGAGGAGCAGGGCGGTCTGGGATCCGGTGACGGCGGTCCGCTTTCGCCGGCCTTCTGGCGGGCCGCGTCTCCCGGGCCAGGGCCGAGATTCCCGCCGGTGCTGCCTCAGCTGGCGTGACCTCTCATTCTGAAACCAAATCTGGACCCTGGGCTCCGGAATGCCGATGGCCTGGGCCAGCCGTTCTCTGGTGGCGATGCCCGGGTACGGGTTCCGCTCAAAGCAGGCTCGCAGGGCCTCGCTTTGGCTCGGGGTCCAAACGAGTCTCCGTCGCCGTCCTCGTCCCCGGGCTTCCGCGGGGAGGGTGCTGTCCGAGGGTGTCGGGAGGGCCATCGCGGTGAGCCCCGGCCGGAATTTCACGGACGGACGCGGGCAGAGAGAGGCCGGCGGGCTCCCGTGCACCTCAGCCGGACTGTGCACTGCGGCAGGTGCAGCCAGGAGGCCTGCCCGGACAGCCAGCCAGCCAGCCAGCCGCCCTTGTAAAGGCCCACAGGCAGGCAGGCTCCACCCCTTCATGAATGGCGGTGAGCCCCCCTGGGACAGCCCGCCCCACCCCGGAAGGGACCCAGGGCGTCGAGGCCTGGGGCCGGCCGGCGGGGTGGTGGTGGTGGTGGTGGTGGGGGGGGGGGGTGGTGGGGGAGGGCGTGGTGGCGGTGGTGGTGGTGGGGCCGGAGAGACGAAGAGGAAGGGGGAGAGGGGGGAGGGGGGAGGGGGGCGCGTTTCGGGGGCCGGCTCTCCGGACCTCTCCAGGGATCCCGCGGGAACGGGAAGCCGCTCTCTGGGCTCCCACGCGTCGGCAGCAGGGAGAAACCAGCCTGGGAGGGTGGAGGGGAGTGTGGAACTGAACCTCCGTGGGAGTCTTGAGTGTGCCAGGCCCTCTCTCCGTGAAGGAGGCAATGCCTGTGGGCGTCGCCGTTGCCGGGACGGTCTCGCACACGCAGGCGTGTGGCTCTCGTTCATTTCCACGTAGAAGACCAGAGCGAGACCCCAGAGAGGAGATGCCTCCCCGGCGTGATGGCCTGACGATGGATTCCCGCGTGCGGCAACGTGGGGAGTCTGCAGTGTGGCCGGTTTGGAACCTGGCAAGGAGAGCGAAGGCACCATGCCGGGCTTGCACCCTTCCCTGCATGTTTCCGGGTGCCCGCAGAGCTCCGGGAGCAAACAGTCGGCATGGCCAGCCTTTCGGGGGCCGGAGAGACGTGAGCAACAGGCCGCCTTGCGGAGGGCAAAGCCACGCGGAAACCAAAATCACGCCTCCGTCGTCCTGCGTGTGGCTCCTCCGTGGCCGGGGCTGTCGGCCTCGCGCCGCGTTGCAGGGCTCAGCCTGGGGATGTGCGGTCTGTGAACCGCGCGGGTGAAGACCCGACGGCAACCCGAGTCCCGGTCTTTTGTCCCGGAGGAAACCGCCCACTCCCTGGGCCCCGGAACCGGGGCGAATGGGTGGTGCCCCGCCGGCCGGCGCGGCGGCTGTGGGCCCAGCCCTCAGCCCGCGCCGGACGCTGACCGTTTTCCCGGAGGGCGGGGGTCCCGCTACTCCCGGAGGCCGAGGACCGCTTTTCCTCCCTGCCTTCCTCCCCCCGTCCGTCCCCGGCTCCCTCCCGCCCGCCCCCAGTCCCTGCGTCGCTCTGTCTCTCCCTCCGTTCCTCCCTGCCTCCCTGCCTCCCTGCCTCCCTCCTAACGTCCCTCCGCCCGTCCTTCCGCCCCTCTAGGTCTCCCGTTCCTCTCTCCATCTCTGCCCGCCTTCCCTCCCGCCTGGAACGCTCAGCGTCCCCGGTGTGCGCCGGGCCTGGGGTCTGCGTTCCGCCGCCAGGCGCTCCGTGCTGGCAGCTGGGCGGCTGCAGGGGCCCGGGCGGGCGGGCGACGGTGGCGCGGGGGCGCAGAGGAGGCGAGCCGCCGGAGCGGTGTCAGGCCCGGACGCTGCGCGGGGCCCGGTGTTTCGCGGGACGGGGGTCTCCACCCAGCCCAGGGGACGACGCGTTTTCCGGGGGTGGGGGGTGGGGGTGGGGAGGGGGCGGTCAGGCGGCGGGGTGGGCTGGTGGAGAGGCAGGAGAGCTCTGCCCGGGCTGCTCCCACAGCCCAGGCGGCTGCCCGCAAACCCGCGCGTGCGCAGTAGGCGGCCCACCTGCTGGTACCTGGGCCGGCTCTGGGATCCCCGGGATGCCCAGGAAAGAATGGCAGTTCTCCGCGGTGTGGAGTCTCTCACCGGGCCTGGACCTAGAAGGCAGGAATCCCAGGCCGGTCAGCCCGGTGGAGGGGGCGGGGCGGAGACACGCCCCTCCGTAGCCAGCCAGGTGTTCCCCGCGAAAGAGAGGCCACCGCCCTGCCCCGAACCACCCGACCCCGTCCCAACCCCGCGTCCTAAAGCTCCTCCAGCAGAGCCCGGTATTCTTCCTCGCTGAGGGGTGCTTCCAGCGAGGCGGCCTCTTCCGAGGCCTCCAGCTCCCCCGGGGCCTCCGTTTCTAGGAGAGGTTGCGCCTGCTGCAGAAACTCCGGGCTCGCCAGGAGCTCATCCAGCAGCAGGCCGCAGGGGAGTGCAGACCAGGGCGCCGGCTCCTGGAGCGCCTGGGAGGGCGCCGGGATGCCTTGCATCTGCCCCTGCCGCGCGGAGGCGGAGGCGTCCGGGGGCGCGGGCTGGGGAGGTGGAGCTGCCCCGGCTTGGGGTTCCCACGCCGCCCCGGCGACCTGGGGACCCCGGCCCCAGCCCCACCACGGACTCCCCTGGGACGTGGGTGGCGCAAGCACCCCTTGGCCCTGCGGCCCCGCTTGAGCGGGCCCAGGCTGTGCCACCGCGCAGGGGCCCGGCAGGCCGTCGCGCTGCGGGTCCCGGTCCTCCCGGCTTTTGCCCGGGTGCGGAGGCCACCGAGGAGCCTGAGGGTGGGAGAGCGCCCCGTCCGGAGGAGCCGGGGCGGCGTAGGCGAAATCCCCGCGCGCCGGGGCAGGTTGGGAGACCCCCTCTGCCGGCGCGGCCTGGCTGGGCTGCAGCGCGGGGGCGGCCCTCGCTGCCTGGCTCACGAAAGCCCCCTGTGGGAGAGCCCCAGGCGCGCAGGGCACGTGGGGTGCGGGAAGCCCCGTTCCCCACGCGCCGGTGTGGGCGAAGGCGACCCACGAGGGAGCAGGGTGACCCCCGCCGGGGGCCGCGCTGCACAGGCCGCCTGCCTGCGCGGGCGCCCTGCCACCCTGTCCCGGGTGCCTGGCCCTTCGATTCTGAAACCAGATCTGAATCCTGGACTCCGGGAGGCCCGTCTCTCTGGCCAGCTCCTCCCGGGCGGCGATGCCTGGAAAGCGATCCTTCTCAAAGGCTCGGAGGAGCAGGGCGGTCTGGGATCCGGTGACGGCGGTCCGCTTTCGCCGGCCTTCTGGCGGGCCGCGTCTCCCGGGCCAGGGCCGAGATTCCCGCCGGTGCTGCCTCAGCTGGCGTGACCTCTCATTCTGAAACCAAATCTGGACCCTGGGCTCCGGAATGCCGATGGCCTGGGCCAGCCGTTCTCTGGTGGCGATGCCCGGGTACGGGTTCCGCTCAAAGCAGGCTCGCAGGGCCTCGCTTTGGCTCGGGGTCCAAACGAGTCTCCGTCGCCGTCCTCGTCCCCGGGCTTCCGCGGGGAGGGTGCTGTCCGAGGGTGTCGGGAGGGCCATCGCGGTGAGCCCCGGCCGGAATTTCACGGACGGACGCGGGCAGAGAGAGGCCGGCGGGCTCCCGTGCACCTCAGCCGGACTGTGCACTGCGGCAGGTGCAGCCAGGAGGCCTGCCCGGACAGCCAGCCAGCCAGCCAGCCGCCCTTGTAAAGGCCCACAGGCAGGCAGGCTCCACCCCTTCATGAATGGCGGTGAGCCCCCCTGGGACAGCCCGCCCCACCCCGGAAGGGACCCAGGGCGTCGAGGCCTGGGGCCGGCCGGCGGGGTGGTGGTGGTGGTGGTGGGGGGGGGGGGTGGTGGGGGAGGGCGTGGTGGCGGTGGTGGTGGTGGGGCCGGAGAGACGAAGAGGAAGGGGGAGAGGGGGGAGGGGGGAGGGGGGCGCGTTTCGGGGGCCGGCTCTCCGGACCTCTCCAGGGATCCCGCGGGAACGGGAAGCCGCTCTCTGGGCTCCCACGCGTCGGCAGCAGGGAGAAACCAGCCTGGGAGGGTGGAGGGGAGTGTGGAACTGAACCTCCGTGGGAGTCTTGAGTGTGCCAGGCCCTCTCTCCGTGAAGGAGGCAATGCCTGTGGGCGTCGCCGTTGCCGGGACGGTCTCGCACACGCAGGCGTGTGGCTCTCGTTCATTTCCACGTAGAAGACCAGAGCGAGACCCCAGAGAGGAGATGCCTCCCCGGCGTGATGGCCTGACGATGGATTCCCGCGTGCGGCAACGTGGGGAGTCTGCAGTGTGGCCGGTTTGGAACCTGGCAAGGAGAGCGAAGGCACCATGCCGGGCTTGCACCCTTCCCTGCATGTTTCCGGGTGCCCGCAGAGCTCCGGGAGCAAACAGTCGGCATGGCCAGCCTTTCGGGGGCCGGAGAGACGTGAGCAACAGGCCGCCTTGCGGAGGGCAAAGCCACGCGGAAACCAAAATCACGCCTCCGTCGTCCTGCGTGTGGCTCCTCCGTGGCCGGGGCTGTCGGCCTCGCGCCGCGTTGCAGGGCTCAGCCTGGGGATGTGCGGTCTGTGAACCGCGCGGGTGAAGACCCGACGGCAACCCGAGTCCCGGTCTTTTGTCCCGGAGGAAACCGCCCACTCCCTGGGCCCCGGAACCGGGGCGAATGGGTGGTGCCCCGCCGGCCGGCGCGGCGGCTGTGGGCCCAGCCCTCAGCCCGCGCCGGACGCTGACCGTTTTCCCGGAGGGCGGGGGTCCCGCTACTCCCGGAGGCCGAGGACCGCTTTTCCTCCCTGCCTTCCTCCCCCCGTCCCCGGCTCCCTCCCGCCCGCCCCCAGTCCCTGCGTCGCTCTGTCTCTCCCTCCGTTCCTCCCTGCCTCCCTGCCTCCCTGCCTCCCTCCTAACGTCCCTCCGCCCATCCTTCCGCCCCTCTAGGTCTCCCGTTCCTCTCTCCATCTCTGCCCGCCTTCCCTCCCGCCTGGAACGCTCAGCGTCCCCGGTGTGCGCCGGGCCTGGGGTCTGCGTTCCGCCGCCAGGCGCTCCGTGCTGGCAGCTGGGCGGCTGCAGGGGCCCGGGCGGGCGGGCGACGGTGGCGCGGGGGCGCAGAGGAGGCGAGCCGCCGGAGCGGTGTCAGGCCCGGACGCTGCGCGGGGCCCGGTGTTTCGCGGGACGGGGGTCTCCACCCAGCCCAGGGGACGACGCGTTTTCCGGGGGTGGGGGGTGGGGGTGGGGAGGGGGCGGTCAGGCGGCGGGGTGGGCTGGTGGAGAGGCAGGAGAGCTCTGCCCGGGCTGCTCCCACAGCCCAGGCGGCTGCCCGCAAACCCGCGCGTGCGCAGTAGGCGGCCCACCTGCTGGTACCTGGGCCGGCTCTGGGATCCCCGGGATGCCCAGGAAAGAATGGCAGTTCTCCGCGGTGTGGAGTCTCTCACCGGGCCTGGACCTAGAAGGCAGGAATCCCAGGCCGGTCAGCCCGGTGGAGGGGGCGGGGCGGAGACACGCCCCTCCGTAGCCAGCCAGGTGTTCCCCGCGAAAGAGAGGCCACCGCCCTGCCCCGAACCACCCGACCCCGTCCCAACCCCGCGTCCTAAAGCTCCTCCAGCAGAGCCCGGTATTCTTCCTCGCTGAGGGGTGCTTCCAGCGAGGCGGCCTCTTCCGAGGCCTCCAGCTCCCCCGGGGCCTCCGTTTCTAGGAGAGGTTGCGCCTGCTGCAGAAACTCCGGGCTCGCCAGGAGCTCATCCAGCAGCAGGCCGCAGGGGAGTGCAGACCAGGGCGCCGGCTCCTGGAGCGCCTGGGAGGGCGCCGGGATGCCTTGCATCTGCCCCTGCCGCGCGGAGGCGGAGGCGTCCGGGGGCGCGGGCTGGGGAGGTGGAGCTGCCCCGGCTTGGGGTTCCCACGCCGCCCCGGCGACCTGGGGACCCCGGCCCCAGCCCCACCACGGACTCCCCTGGGACGTGGGTGGCGCAAGCACCCCTTGGCCCTGCGGCCCCGCTTGAGCGGGCCCAGGCTGTGCCACCGCGCAGGGGCCCGGCAGGCCGTCGCGCTGCGGGTCCCGGTCCTCCCGGCTTTTGCCCGGGTGCGGAGGCCACCGAGGAGCCTGAGGGTGGGAGAGCGCCCCGTCCGGAGGAGCCGGGGCGGCGTAGGCGAAATCCCCGCGCGCCGGGGCAGGTTGGGAGACCCCCTCTGCCGGCGCGGCCTGGCTGGGCTGCAGCGCGGGGGCGGCCCTCGCTGCCTGGCTCACGAAAGCCCCCTGTGGGAGAGCCCCAGGCGCGCAGGGCACGTGGGGTGCGGGAAGCCCCGTTCCCCACGCGCCGGTGTGGGCGAAGGCGACCCACGAGGGAGCAGGGTGACCCCCGCCGGGGGCCGCGCTGCACAGGCCGCCTGCCTGCGCGGGCGCCCTGCCACCCTGTCCCGGGTGCCTGGCCCTTCGATTCTGAAACCAGATCTGAATCCTGGACTCCGGGAGGCCCGTCTCTCTGGCCAGCTCCTCCCGGGCGGCGATGCCTGGAAAGCGATCCTTCTCAAAGGCTCGGAGGAGCAGGGCGGTCTGGGATCCGGTGACGGCGGTCCGCTTTCGCCGGCCTTCTGGCGGGCCGCGTCTCCCGGGCCAGGGCCGAGATTCCCGCCGGTGCTGCCTCAGCTGGCGTGACCTCTCATTCTGAAACCAAATCTGGACCCTGGGCTCCGGAATGCCGATGGCCTGGGCCAGCCGTTCTCTGGTGGCGATGCCCGGGTACGGGTTCCGCTCAAAGCAGGCTCGCAGGGCCTCGCTTTGGCTCGGGGTCCAAACGAGTCTCCGTCGCCGTCCTCGTCCCCGGGCTTCCGCGGGGAGGGTGCTGTCCGAGGGTGTCGGGAGGGCCATCGCGGTGAGCCCCGGCCGGAATTTCACGGACGGACGCGGGCAGAGAGAGGCCGGCGGGCTCCCGTGCACCTCAGCCGGACTGTGCACTGCGGCAGGTGCAGCCAGGAGGCCTGCCCGGACAGCCAGCCAGCCAGCCAGCCGCCCTTGTAAAGGCCCACAGGCAGGCAGGCTCCACCCCTTCATGAATGGCGGTGAGCCCCCCTGGGACAGCCCGCCCCACCCCGGAAGGGACCCAGGGCGTCGAGGCCTGGGGCCGGCCGGCGGGGTGGTGGTGGTGGTGGTGGTGGGGGGGGGGGGTGGTGGGGGAGGGCGTGGTGGCGGTGGTGGTGGTGGGGCCGGAGAGACGAAGAGGAAGGGGGAGAGGGGGGAGGGGGGAGGGGGGCGCGTTTCGGGGGCCGGCTCTCCGGACCTCTCCAGGGATCCCGCGGGAACGGGAAGCCGCTCTCTGGGCTCCCACGCGTCGGCAGCAGGGAGAAACCAGCCTGGGAGGGTGGAGGGGAGTGTGGAACTGAACCTCCGTGGGAGTCTTGAGTGTGCCAGGCCCTCTCTCCGTGAAGGAGGCAATGCCTGTGGGCGTCGCCGTTGCCGGGACGGTCTCGCACACGCAGGCGTGTGGCTCTCGTTCATTTCCACGTAGAAGACCAGAGCGAGACCCCAGAGAGGAGATGCCTCCCCGGCGTGATGGCCTGACGATGGATTCCCGCGTGCGGCAACGTGGGGAGTCTGCAGTGTGGCCGGTTTGGAACCTGGCAAGGAGAGCGAAGGCACCATGCCGGGCTTGCACCCTTCCCTGCATGTTTCCGGGTGCCCGCAGAGCTCCGGGAGCAAACAGTCGGCATGGCCAGCCTTTCGGGGGCCGGAGAGACGTGAGCAACAGGCCGCCTTGCGGAGGGCAAAGCCACGCGGAAACCAAAATCACGCCTCCGTCGTCCTGCGTGTGGCTCCTCCGTGGCCGGGTCTGTCGGCCTCGCGCCGCGTTGCAGGGCTCAGCCTGGGGATGTGCGGTCTGTGAACCGCGCGGGTGAAGACCCGACGGCAACCCGAGTCCCGGTCTTTTGTCCCGGAGGAAACCGCCCACTCCCTGGGCCCCGGAACCGGGGCGAATGGGTGGTGCCCCGCCGGCCGGCGCGGCGGCTGTGGGCCCAGCCCTCAGCCCGCGCCGGACGCTGACCGTTTTCCCGGAGGGCGGGGGTCCCGCTACTCCCGGAGGCCGAGGACCGCTTTTCCTCCCTGCCTTCCTCCCCCCGTCCGTCCCCGGCTCCCTCCCGCCCGCCCCCAGTCCCTGCGTCGCTCTGTCTCTCCCTCCGTTCCTCCCTGCCTCCCTGCCTCCCTGCCTCCCTCCTAACGTCCCTCCGCCCGTCCTTCCGCCCCTCTAGGTCTCCCGTTCCTCTCTCCATCTCTGCCCGCCTTCCCTCCCGCCTGGAACGCTCAGCGTCCCCGGTGTGCGCCGGGCCTGGGGTCTGCGTTCCGCCGCCAGGCGCTCCGTGCTGGCAGCTGGGCGGCTGCAGGGGCCCGGGCGGGCGGGCGACGGTGGCGCGGGGGCGCAGAGGAGGCGAGCCGCCGGAGCGGTGTCAGGCCCGGACGCTGCGCGGGGCCCGGTGTTTCGCGGGACGGGGGTCTCCACCCAGCCCAGGGGACGACGCGTTTTCCGGGGGTGGGGGGTGGGGGTGGGGAGGGGGCGGTCAGGCGGCGGGGTGGGCTGGTGGAGAGGCAGGAGAGCTCTGCCCGGGCTGCTCCCACAGCCCAGGCGGCTGCCCGCAAACCCGCGCGTGCGCAGTAGGCGGCCCACCTGCTGGTACCTGGGCCGGCTCTGGGATCCCCGGGATGCCCAGGAAAGAATGGCAGTTCTCCGCGGTGTGGAGTCTCTCACCGGGCCTAGACCTAGAAGGCAGGAATCCCAGGCCGGTCAGCCCGGTGGAGGGGGCGGGGCGGAGACACGCCCCTCCGTAGCCAGCCAGGTGTTCCCCGCGAAAGAGAGGCCACCGCCCTGCCCCGAACCACCCGACCCCGTCCCAACCCCGCGTCCTAAAGCTCCTCCAGCAGAGCCCGGTATTCTTCCTCGCTGAGGGGTGCTTCCAGCGAGGCGGCCTCTTCCGAGGCCTCCAGCTCCCCCGGGGCCTCCGTTTCTAGGAGAGGTTGCGCCTGCTGCAGAAACTCCGGGCTCGCCAGGAGCTCATCCAGCAGCAGGCCGCAGGGGAGTGCAGACCAGGGCGCCGGCTCCTGGAGCGCCTGGGAGGGCGCCGGGATGCCTTGCATCTGCCCCTGCCGCGCGGAGGCGTCCGGGGGCGCGGGCTGGGGAGGTGGAGCTTCCCCGGCTTGGGGTTCCCACGCCGCCCCAGCGACCTGGGGACCCCGGCCCCAGCCCCACCACGGACTCCCCTGGGACGTGGGTGGCGCAAGCACCCCTTGGCCCTGCGGCCCCGCTTGAGCGGGCCCAGGCTGTGCCACCGCGCAGGGGCCCGGCAGGCCGTCGCGCTGCGGGTCCCGGTCCTCCCGGCTTTTGCCCGGGTGCGGAGGCCACCGAGGAGCCTGAGGGTGGGAGAGCGCCCCGTCCGGAGGAGCCGGGGCGGCGTAGGCGAAATCCCCGCGCGCCGGGGCAGGTTGGGAGACCCCCTCTGCCGGCGCGGCCTGGCTGGGCTGCAGCGCGGGGGCGGCCCTCGCTGCCTGGCTCACGAAAGCCCCCTGTGGGAGAGCCCCAGGCGCGCAGGGCACGTGGGGTGCGGGAAGCCCCGTTCCCCACGCGCCGGTGTGGGCGAAGGCGACCCACGAGGGAGCAGGGTGACCCCCGCCGGGGGCCGCGCTGCACAGGCCGCCTGCCTGCGCGGGCGCCCTGCCACCCTGTCCCGGGTGCCTGGCCCTTCGATTCTGAAACCAGATCTGAATCCTGGACTCCGGGAGGCCCGTCTCTCTGGCCAGCTCCTCCCGGGCGGCGATGCCTGGAAAGCGATCCTTCTCAAAGGCTCGGAGGAGCAGGGCGGTCTGGGATCCGGTGACGGCGGTCCGCTTTCGCCGGCCTTCTGGCGGGCCGCGTCTCCCGGGCCAGGGCCGAGATTCCCGCCGGTGCTGCCTCAGCTGGCGTGACCTCTCATTCTGAAACCAAATCTGGACCCTGGGCTCCGGAATGCCGATGGCCTGGGCCAGCCGTTCTCTGGTGGCGATGCCCGGGTACGGGTTCCGCTCAAAGCAGGCTCGCAGGGCCTCGCTTTGGCTCGGGGTCCAAACGAGTCTCCGTCGCCGTCCTCGTCCCCGGGCTTCCGCGGGGAGGGTGCTGTCCGAAGGTGTCGGGAGGGCCATCGCGGTGAGCCCCGGCCGGAATTTCACGGACGGACGCGGGCAGAGAGAGGCCGGCGGGCTCCCGTGCACCTCAGCCGGACTGTGCACTGCGGCAGGTGCAGCCAGGAGGCCTGCCCGGACAGCCAGCCAGCCAGCCAGCCGCCCTTGTAAAGGCCCACAGGCAGGCAGGCTCCACCCCTTCATGAATGGCGGTGAGCCCCCCTGGGACAGCCCGCCCCACCCCGGAAGGGACCCAGGGCGTCGAGGCCTGGGGCCGGCCGGCGGGGTGGTGGTGGTGGTGGTGGTGGGGGGGGGGGGTGGGGGGGGAGGGCGTGGTGGCGGTGGTGGTGGTGGGGCCGGAGAGACGAAGAGGAAGGGGGAGAGGGGGGAGGGGGGAGGGGGGCGCGTTTCGGGGGCCGGCTCTTCTGACCTCTCCAGGGATCCCGCGGGAACGGGAAGCCGCTCTCTGGGCTCCCACGCGTCGGCAGCAGGGAGAAACCAGCCTGGGAGGGTGGAGGGGAGTGTGGAACTGAACCTCCGTGGGAGTCTTGAGTGTGCCAGGCCCTCTCTCCGTGAAGGAGGCAATGCCTGTGGGCGTCGCCGTTGCCGGGACGGTCTCGCACACGCAGGCGTGTGGCTCTCGTTCATTTCCACGTAGAAGACCAGAGCGAGACCCCAGAGAGGAGATGCCTCCCCGGCGTGATGGCCTGACGATGGATTCCCGCGTGCGGCAACGTGGGGAGTCTGCAGTGTGGCCGGTTTGGAACCTGGCAAGGAGAGCGAAGGCACCATGCCGGGCTTGCACCCTTCCCTGCATGTTTCCGGGTGCCCGCAGAGCTCCGGGAGCAAACAGTCGGCATGGCCAGCCTTTCGGGGGCCGGAGAGACGTGAGCAACAGGCCGCCTTGCGGAGGGCAAAGCCACGCGGAAACCAAAATCACGCCTCCGTCGTCCTGCGTGTGGCTCCTCCGTGGCCGGGTCTGTCGGCCTCGCGCCGCGTTGCAGGGCTCAGCCTGGGGATGTGCGGTCTGTGAACCGCGCGGGTGAAGACCCGACGGCAACCCGAGTCCCGGTCTTTTGTCCCGGAGGAAACCGCCCACTCCCTGGGCCCCGGAACCGGGGCGAATGGGTGGTGCCCCGCCGGCCGGCGCGGCGGCTGTGGGCCCAGCCCTCAGCCCGCGCCGGACGCTGACCGTTTTCCCGGAGGGCGGGGGTCCCGCTACTCCCGGAGGCCGAGGACCGCTTTTCCTCCCTGCCTTCCTCCCCCCGTCCGTCCCCGGCTCCCTCCCGCCCGCCCCCAGTCCCTGCGTCGCTCTGTCTCTCCCTCCGTTCCTCCCTGCCTCCCTGCCTCCCTCCCTCCCTCCTAACGTCCCTCCGCCCATCCTTCCGCCCCTCTAGGTCTCCCGTTCCTCTCTCCATCTCTGCCCGCCTTCCCTCCCGCCTGGAACGCTCAGCGTCCCCGGTGTGCGCCGGGCCTGGGGTCTGCGTTCCGCCGCCAGGCGCTCCGTGCTGGCAGCTGGGCGGCTGCAGGGGCCCGGGCGGGCGGGCGACGGTGGCGCGGGGGCGCAGAGGAGGCGAGCCGCCGGAGCGGTGTCAGGCCCGGACGCTGCGCGGGGCCCGGTGTTTCGCGGGACGGGGGTCTCCACCCAGCCCAGGGGACGACGCGTTTTCCGGGGGTGGGGGGTGGGGGTGGGGAGGGGGCGGTCAGGCGGCGGGGTGGGCTGGTGGAGAGGCAGGAGAGCTCTGCCCGGGCTGCTCCCACAGCCCAGGCGGCTGCCCGCAAACCCGCGCGTGCGCAGTAGGCGGCCCACCTGCTGGTACCTGGGCCGGCTCTGGGATCCCCGGGATGCCCAGGAAAGAATGGCAGTTCTCCGCGGTGTGGAGTCTCTCACCGGGCCTGGACCTAGAAGGCAGGAATCCCAGGCCGGTCAGCCCGGTGGAGGGGGCGGGGCGGAGACACGCCCCTCCGTAGCCAGCCAGGTGTTCCCCGCGAAAGAGAGGCCACCGCCCTGCCCCGAACCACCCGACCCCGTCCCAACCCCGCGTCCTAAAGCTCCTCCAGCAGAGCCCGGTATTCTTCCTCGCTGAGGGGTGCTTCCAGCGAGGCGGCCTCTTCCGAGGCCTCCAGCTCCCCCGGGGCCTCCGTTTCTAGGAGAGGTTGCGCCTGCTGCAGAAACTCCGGGCTCGCCAGGAGCTCATCCAGCAGCAGGCCGCAGGGGAGTGCAGACCAGGGCGCCGGCTCCTGGAGCGCCTGGGAGGGCGCCGGGATGCCTTGCATCTGCCCCTGCCGCGCGGAGGCGGAGGCGTCCGGGGGCGCGGGCTGGGGAGGTGGAGCTGCCCCGGCTTGGGGTTCCCACGCCGCCCCGGCGACCTGGGGACCCCGGCCCCAGCCCCACCACGGACTCCCCTGGGACGTGGGTGGCGCAAGCACCCCTTGGCCCTGCGGCCCCGCTTGAGCGGGCCCAGGCTGTGCCACCGCGCAGGGGCCCGGCAGGCCGTCGCGCTGCGGGTCCCGGTCCTCCCGGCTTTTGCCCGGGTGCGGAGGCCACCGAGGAGCCTGAGGGTGGGAGAGCGCCCCGTCCGGAGGAGCCGGGGCGGCGTAGGCGAAATCCCCGCGCGCCGGGGCAGGTTGGGAGACCCCCTCTGCCGGCGCGGCCTGGCTGGGCTGCAGCGCGGGGGCGGCCCTCGCTGCCTGGCTCACGAAAGCCCCCTGTGGGAGAGCCCCAGGCGCGCAGGGCACGTGGGGTGCGGGAAGCCCCGTTCCCCACGCGCCGGTGTGGGCGAAGGCGACCCACGAGGGAGCAGGGTGACCCCCGCCGGGGGCCGCGCTGCACAGGCCGCCTGCCTGCGCGGGCGCCCTGCCACCCTGTCCCGGGTGCCTGGCCCTTCGATTCTGAAACCAGATCTGAATCCTGGACTCCGGGAGGCCCGTCTCTCTGGCCAGCTCCTCCCGGGCGGCGATGCCTGGAAAGCGATCCTTCTCAAAGGCTCGGAGGAGCAGGGCGGTCTGGGATCCGGTGACGGCGGTCCGCTTTCGCCGGCCTTCTGGCGGGCCGCGTCTCCCGGGCCAGGGCCGAGATTCCCGCCGGTGCTGCCTCAGCTGGCGTGACCTCTCATTCTGAAACCAAATCTGGACCCTGGGCTCCGGAATGCCGATGGCCTGGGCCAGCCGTTCTCTGGTGGCGATGCCCGGGTACGGGTTCCGCTCAAAGCAGGCTCGCAGGGCCTCGCTTTGGCTCGGGGTCCAAACGAGTCTCCGTCGCCGTCCTCGTCCCCGGGCTTCCGCGGGGAGGGTGCTGTCCGAGGGTGTCGGGAGGGCCATCGCGGTGAGCCCCGGCCGGAATTTCACGGACGGACGCGGGCAGAGAGAGGCCGGCGGGCTCCCGTGCACCTCAGCCGGACTGTGCACTGCGGCAGGTGCAGCCAGGAGGCCTGCCCGGACAGCCAGCCAGCCAGCCAGCCGCCCTTGTAAAGGCCCACAGGCAGGCAGGCTCCACCCCTTCATGAATGGCGGTGAGCCCCCCT
Organism: Homo sapiens; assembly: GCF_000001405.40. Lineage (NCBI taxonomy): Eukaryota > Metazoa > Chordata > Mammalia > Primates > Hominidae > Homo > Homo sapiens. The sequence goes on along the minus strand of NC_000004.12, from coordinate 190,077,614 downwards.
GGGACAGCCCGCCCCACCCCGGAAGGGACCCAGGGCGTCGAGGCCTGGGGCCGGCCGGCGGGGTGGTGGTGGTGGTGGTGGGGGGGGGGGGTGGTGGGGGAGGGCGTGGTGGCGGTGGTGGTGGTGGGGCCGGAGAGACGAAGAGGAAGGGGGAGAGGGGGGAGGGGGGAGGGGGGCGCGTTTCGGGGGCCGGCTCTCCGGACCTCTCCAGGGATCCCGCGGGAACGGGAAGCCGCTCTCTGGGCTCCCACGCGTCGGCAGCAGGGAGAAACCAGCCTGGGAGGGTGGAGGGGAGTGTGGAACTGAACCTCCGTGGGAGTCTTGAGTGTGCCAGGCCCTCTCTCCGTGAAGGAGGCAATGCCTGTGGGCGTCGCCGTTGCCGGGACGGTCTCGCACACGCAGGCGTGTGGCTCTCGTTCATTTCCACGTAGAAGACCAGAGCGAGACCCCAGAGAGGAGATGCCTCCCCGGCGTGATGGCCTGACGATGGATTCCCGCGTGCGGCAACGTGGGGAGTCTGCAGTGTGGCCGGTTTGGAACCTGGCAAGGAGAGCGAAGGCACCATGCCGGGCTTGCACCCTTCCCTGCATGTTTCCGGGTGCCCGCAGAGCTCCGGGAGCAAACAGTCGGCATGGCCAGCCTTTCGGGGGCCGGAGAGACGTGAGCAACAGGCCGCCTTGCGGAGGGCAAAGCCACGCGGAAACCAAAATCACGCCTCCGTCGTCCTGCGTGTGGCTCCTCCGTGGCCGGGTCTGTCGGCCTCGCGCCGCGTTGCAGGGCTCAGCCTGGGGATGTGGGGTCTGTGAACCGCGCGGGTGAAGACCCGACGGCAACCCGAGTCCCGGTCTTTTGTCCCGGAGGAAACCGCCCACTCCCTGGGCCCCGGAACCGGGGCGAATGGGTGGTGCCCCGCCGGCCGGCGCGGCGGCTGTGGGCCCAGCCCTCAGCCCGCGCCGGACGCTGACCGTTTTCCCGGAGGGCGGGGGTCCCGCTACTCCCGGAGGCCGAGGACCGCTTTTCCTCCCTGCCTTCCTCCCCCCGTCCCCGGCTCCCTCCCGCCCGCCCCCAGTCCCTGCGTCGCTCTGTCTCTCCCTCCGTTCCTCCCTGCCTCCCTGCCTCCCTGCCTCCCTCCTAACGTCCCTCCGCCCATCCTTCCGCCCCTCTAGGTCTCCCGTTCCTCTCTCCATCTCTGCCCGCCTTCCCTCCCGCCTGGAACGCTCAGCGTCCCCGGTGTGCGCCGGGCCTGGGGTCTGCGTTCCGCCGCCAGGCGCTCCGTGCTGGCAGCTGGGCGGCTGCAGGGGCCCGGGCGGGCGGGCGACGGTGGCGCGGGGGCGCAGAGGAGGCGAGCCGCCGGAGCGGTGTCAGGCCCGGACGCTGCGCGGGGCCCGGTGTTTCGCGGGACGGGGGTCTCCACCCAGCCCAGGGGACGACGCGTTTTCCGGGGGTGGGGGGTGGGGGTGGGGAGGGGGCGGTCAGGCGGCGGGGTGGGCTGGTGGAGAGGCAGGAGAGCTCTGCCCGGGCTGCTCCCACAGCCCAGGCGGCTGCCCGCAAACCCGCGCGTGCGCAGTAGGCGGCCCACCTGCTGGTACCTGGGCCGGCTCTGGGATCCCCGGGATGCCCAGGAAAGAATGGCAGTTCTCCGCGGTGTGGAGTCTCTCACCGGGCCTGGACCTAGAAGGCAGGAATCCCAGGCCGGTCAGCCCGGTGGAGGGGGCGGGGCGGAGACACGCCCCTCCGTAGCCAGCCAGGTGTTCCCCGCGAAAGAGAGGCCACCGCCCTGCCCCGAACCACCCGACCCCGTCCCAACCCCGCGTCCTAAAGCTCCTCCAGCAGAGCCCGGTATTCTTCCTCGCTGAGGGGTGCTTCCAGCGAGGCGGCCTCTTCCGAGGCCTCCAGCTCCCCCGGGGCCTCCGTTTCTAGGAGAGGTTGCGCCTGCTGCAGAAACTCCGGGCTCGCCAGGAGCTCATCCAGCAGCAGGCCGCAGGGGAGTGCAGACCAGGGCGCCGGCTCCTGGAGCGCCTGGGAGGGCGCCGGGATGCCTTGCATCTGCCCCTGCCGCGCGGAGGCGGAGGCGTCCGGGGGCGCGGGCTGGGGAGGTGGAGCTGCCCCGGCTTGGGGTTCCCACGCCGCCCCGGCGACCTGGGGACCCCGGCCCCAGCCCCACCACGGACTCCCCTGGGACGTGGGTGGCGCAAGCACCCCTTGGCCCTGCGGCCCCGCTTGAGCGGGCCCAGGCTGTGCCACCGCGCAGGGGCCCGGCAGGCCGTCGCGCTGCGGGTCCCGGTCCTCCCGGCTTTTGCCCGGGTGCGGAGGCCACCGAGGAGCCTGAGGGTGGGAGAGCGCCCCGTCCGGAGGAGCCGGGGCGGCGTAGGCGAAATCCCCGCGCGCCGGGGCAGGTTGGGAGACCCCCTCTGCCGGCGCGGCCTGGCTGGGCTGCAGCGCGGGGGCGGCCCTCGCTGCCTGGCTCACGAAAGCCCCCTGTGGGAGAGCCCCAGGCGCGCAGGGCACGTGGGGTGCGGGAAGCCCCGTTCCCCACGCGCCGGTGTGGGCGAAGGCGACCCACGAGGGAGCAGGGTGACCCCCGCCGGGGGCCGCGCTGCACAGGCCGCCTGCCTGCGCGGGCGCCCTGCCACCCTGTCCCGGGTGCCTGGCCCTTCGATTCTGAAACCAGATCTGAATCCTGGACTCCGGGAGGCCCGTCTCTCTGGCCAGCTCCTCCCGGGCGGCGATGCCTGGAAAGCGATCCTTCTCAAAGGCTCGGAGGAGCAGGGCGGTCTGGGATCCGGTGACGGCGGTCCGCTTTCGCCGGCCTTCTGGCGGGCCGCGTCTCCCGGGCCAGGGCCGAGATTCCCGCCGGTGCTGCCTCAGCTGGCGTGACCTCTCATTCTGAAACCAAATCTGGACCCTGGGCTCCGGAATGCCGATGGCCTGGGCCAGCCGTTCTCTGGTGGCGATGCCCGGGTACGGGTTCCGCTCAAAGCAGGCTCGCAGGGCCTCGCTTTGGCTCGGGGTCCAAACGAGTCTCCGTCGCCGTCCTCGTCCCCGGGCTTCCGCGGGGAGGGTGCTGTCCGAGGGTGTCGGGAGGGCCATCGCGGTGAGCCCCGGCCGGAATTTCACGGACGGACGCGGGCAGAGAGAGGCCGGCGGGCTCCCGTGCACCTCAGCCGGACTGTGCACTGCGGCAGGTGCAGCCAGGAGGCCTGCCCGGACAGCCAGCCAGCCAGCCAGCCGCCCTTGTAAAGGCCCACAGGCAGGCAGGCTCCACCCCTTCATGAATGGCGGTGAGCCCCCCTGGGACAGCCCGCCCCACCCCGGAAGGGACCCAGGGCGTCGAGGCCTGGGGCCGGCCGGCGGGGTGGTGGTGGTGGTGGTGGGGGGGGGGGGTGGTGGGGGAGGGCGTGGTGGCGGTGGTGGTGGTGGGGCCGGAGAGACGAAGAGGAAGGGGGAGAGGGGGGAGGGGGGAGGGGGGCGCGTTTCGGGGGCCGGCTCTCCGGACCTCTCCAGGGATCCCGCGGGAACGGGAAGCCGCTCTCTGGGCTCCCACGCGTCGGCAGCAGGGAGAAACCAGCCTGGGAGGGTGGAGGGGAGTGTGGAACTGAACCTCCGTGGGAGTCTTGAGTGTGCCAGGCCCTCTCTCCGTGAAGGAGGCAATGCCTGTGGGCGTCGCCGTTGCCGGGACGGTCTCGCACACGCAGGCGTGTGGCTCTCGTTCATTTCCACGTAGAAGACCAGAGCGAGACCCCAGAGAGGAGATGCCTCCCCGGCGTGATGGCCTGACGATGGATTCCCGCGTGCGGCAACGTGGGGAGTCTGCAGTGTGGCCGGTTTGGAACCTGGCAAGGAGAGCGAAGGCACCATGCCGGGCTTGCACCCTTCCCTGCATGTTTCCGGGTGCCCGCAGAGCTCCGGGAGCAAACAGTCGGCATGGCCAGCCTTTCGGGGGCCGGAGAGACGTGAGCAACAGGCCGCCTTGCGGAGGGCAAAGCCACGCGGAAACCAAAATCACGCCTCCGTCGTCCTGCGTGTGGCTCCTCCGTGGCCGGGGCTGTCGGCCTCGCGCCGCGTTGCAGGGCTCAGCCTGGGGATGTGGGGTCTGTGAACCGCGCGGGTGAAGACCCGACGGCAACCCGAGTCCCGGTCTTTTGTCCCGGAGGAAACCGCCCACTCCCTGGGCCCCGGAACCGGGGCGAATGGGTGGTGCCCCGCCGGCCGGCGCGGCGGCTGTGGGCCCAGCCCTCAGCCCGCGCCGGACGCTGACCGTTTTCCCGGAGGGCGGGGGTCCCGCTACTCCCGGAGGCCGAGGACCGCTTTTCCTCCCTGCCTTCCTCCCCCCGTCCCCGGCTCCCTCCCGCCCGCCCCCAGTCCCTGCGTCGCTCTGTCTCTCCCTCCGTTCCTCCCTGCCTCCCTGCCTCCCTCCCTCCCTCCTAACGTCCCTCCGCCCATCCTTCCGCCCCTCTAGGTCTCCCGTTCCTCTCTCCATCTCTGCCCGCCTTCCCTCCCGCCTGGAACGCTCAGCGTCCCCGGTGTGCGCCGGGCCTGGGGTCTGCGTTCCGCCGCCAGGCGCTCCGTGCTGGCAGCTGGGCGGCTGCAGGGGCCCGGGCGGGCGGGCGACGGTGGCGCGGGGGCGCAGAGGAGGCGAGCCGCCGGAGCGGTGTCAGGCCCGGACGCTGCGCGGGGCCCGGTGTTTCGCGGGACGGGGGTCTCCACCCAGCCCAGGGGACGACGCGTTTTCCGGGGGTGGGGGGTGGGGGTGGGGAGGGGGCGGTCAGGCGGCGGGGTGGGCTGGTGGAGAGGCAGGAGAGCTCTGCCCGGGCTGCTCCCACAGCCCAGGCGGCTGCCCGCAAACCCGCGCGTGCGCAGTAGGCGGCCCACCTGCTGGTACCTGGGCCGGCTCTGGGATCCCCGGGATGCCCAGGAAAGAATGGCAGTTCTCCGCGGTGTGGAGTCTCTCACCGGGCCTGGACCTAGAAGGCAGGAATCCCAGGCCGGTCAGCCCGGTGGAGGGGGCGGGGCGGAGACACGCCCCTCCGTAGCCAGCCAGGTGTTCCCCGCGAAAGAGAGGCCACCGCCCTGCCCCGAACCACCCGACCCCGTCCCAACCCCGCGTCCTAAAGCTCCTCCAGCAGAGCCCGGTATTCTTCCTCGCTGAGGGGTGCTTCCAGCGAGGCGGCCTCTTCCGAGGCCTCCAGCTCCCCCGGGGCCTCCGTTTCTAGGAGAGGTTGCGCCTGCTGCAGAAACTCCGGGCTCGCCAGGAGCTCATCCAGCAGCAGGCCGCAGGGGAGTGCAGACCAGGGCGCCGGCTCCTGGAGCGCCTGGGAGGGCGCCGGGATGCCTTGCATCTGCCCCTGCCGCGCGGAGGCGGAGGCGTCCGGGGGCGCGGGCTGGGGAGGTGGAGCTGCCCCGGCTTGGGGTTCCCACGCCGCCCCGGCGACCTGGGGACCCCGGCCCCAGCCCCACCACGGACTCCCCTGGGACGTGGGTGGCGCAAGCACCCCTTGGCCCTGCGGCCCCGCTTGAGCGGGCCCAGGCTGTGCCACCGCGCAGGGGCCCGGCAGGCCGTCGCGCTGCGGGTCCCGGTCCTCCCGGCTTTTGCCCGGGTGCGGAGGCCACCGAGGAGCCTGAGGGTGGGAGAGCGCCCCGTCCGGAGGAGCCGGGGCGGCGTAGGCGAAATCCCCGCGCGCCGGGGCAGGTTGGGAGACCCCCTCTGCCGGCGCGGCCTGGCTGGGCTGCAGCGCGGGGGCGGCCCTCGCTGCCTGGCTCACGAAAGCCCCCTGTGGGAGAGCCCCAGGCGCGCAGGGCACGTGGGGTGCGGGAAGCCCCGTTCCCCACGCGCCGGTGTGGGCGAAGGCGACCCACGAGGGAGCAGGGTGACCCCCGCCGGGGGCCGCGCTGCACAGGCCGCCTGCCTGCGCGGGCGCCCTGCCACCCTGTCCCGGGTGCCTGGCCCTTCGATTCTGAAACCAGATCTGAATCCTGGACTCCGGGAGGCCCGTCTCTCTGGCCAGCTCCTCCCGGGCGGCGATGCCTGGAAAGCGATCCTTCTCAAAGGCTCGGAGGAGCAGGGCGGTCTGGGATCCGGTGACGGCGGTCCGCTTTCGCCGGCCTTCTGGCGGGCCGCGTCTCCCGGGCCAGGGCCGAGATTCCCGCCGGTGCTGCCTCAGCTGGCGTGACCTCTCATTCTGAAACCAAATCTGGACCCTGGGCTCCGGAATGCCGATGGCCTGGGCCAGCCGTTCTCTGGTGGCGATGCCCGGGTACGGGTTCCGCTCAAAGCAGGCTCGCAGGGCCTCGCTTTGGCTCGGGGTCCAAACGAGTCTCCGTCGCCGTCCTCGTCCCCGGGCTTCCGCGGGGAGGGTGCTGTCCGAAGGTGTCGGGAGGGCCATCGCGGTGAGCCCCGGCCGGAATTTCACGGACGGACGCGGGCAGAGAGAGGCCGGCGGGCTCCCGTGCACCTCAGCCGGACTGTGCACTGCGGCAGGTGCAGCCAGGAGGCCTGCCCGGACAGCCAGCCAGCCAGCCAGCCGCCCTTGTAAAGGCCCACAGGCAGGCAGGCTCCACCCCTTCATGAATGGCGGTGAGCCCCCCTGGGACAGCCCGCCCCACCCCGGAAGGGACCCAGGGCGTCGAGGCCTGGGGCCGGCCGGCGGGGTGGTGGTGGTGGTGGTGGGGGGGGGGGGTGGTGGGGGAGGGCGTGGTGGCGGTGGTGGTGGTGGGGCCGGAGAGACGAAGAGGAAGGGGGAGAGGGGGGAGGGGGGAGGGGGGCGCGTTTCGGGGGCCGGCTCTTCTGACCTCTCCAGGGATCCCGCGGGAACGGGAAGCCGCTCTCTGGGCTCCCACGCGTCGGCAGCAGGGAGAAACCAGCCTGGGAGGGTGGAGGGGAGTGTGGAACTGAACCTCCGTGGGAGTCTTGAGTGTGCCAGGCCCTCTCTCCGTGAAGGAGGCAATGCCTGTGGGCGTCGCCGTTGCCGGGACGGTCTCGCACACGCAGGCGTGTGGCTCTCGTTCATTTCCACGTAGAAGACCAGAGCGAGACCCCAGAGAGGAGATGCCTCCCCGGCGTGATGGCCTGACGATGGATTCCCGCGTGCGGCAACGTGGGGAGTCTGCAGTGTGGCCGGTTTGGAACCTGGCAAGGAGAGCGAAGGCACCATGCCGGGCTTGCACCCTTCCCTGCATGTTTCCGGGTGCCCGCAGAGCTCCGGGAGCAAACAGTCGGCATGGCCAGCCTTTCGGGGGCCGGAGAGACGTGAGCAACAGGCCGCCTTGCGGAGGGCAAAGCCACGCGGAAACCAAAATCACGCCTCCGTCGTCCTGCGTGTGGCTCCTCCGTGGCCGGGTCTGTCGGCCTCGCGCCGCGTTGCAGGGCTCAGCCTGGGGATGTGGGGTCTGTGAACCGCGCGGGTGAAGACCCGACGGCAACCCGAGTCCCGGTCTTTTGTCCCGGAGGAAACCGCCCACTCCCTGGGCCCCGGAACCGGGGCGAATGGGTGGTGCCCCGCCGGCCGGCGCGGCGGCTGTGGGCCCAGCCCTCAGCCCGCGCCGGACGCTGACCGTTTTCCCGGAGGGCGGGGGTCCCGCTACTCCCGGAGGCCGAGGACCGCTTTTCCTCCCTGCCTTCCTCCCCCCGTCCGTCCCCGGCTCCCTCCCGCCCGCCCCCAGTCCCTGCGTCGCTCTGTCTCTCCCTCCGTTCCTCCCTGCCTCCCTGCCTCCCTGCCTCCCTCCTAACGTCCCTCCGCCCATCCTTCCGCCCCTCTAGGTCTCCCGTTCCTCTCTCCATCTCTGCCCGCCTTCCCTCCCGCCTGGAACGCTCAGCGTCCCCGGTGTGCGCCGGGCCTGGGGTCTGCGTTCCGCCGCCAGGCGCTCCGTGCTGGCACCTGGGCGGCTGCAGGGGCCCGGGCGGGCGGGCGACGGTGGCGCGGGGGCGCAGAGGAGGCGAGCCGCCGGAGCGGTGTCAGGCCCGGACGCTGCGCGGGGCCCGGTGTTTCGCGGGACGGGGGTCTCCACCCAGCCCAGGGGACGACGCGTTTTCCGGGGGTGGGGGGTGGGGGTGGGGATGGGGCGGTCAGGCGGCGGGGTGGGCTGGTGGAGAGGCAGGAGAGCTCTGCCCGGGCTGCTCCCACAGCCCAGGCGGCTGCCCGCAAACCCGCGCGTGCGCAGTAGGCGGCCCACCTGCTGGTACCTGGGCCGGCTCTGGGATCCCCGGGATGCCCAGGAAAGAATGGCAGTTCTCCGCGGTGTGGAGTCTCTCACCGGGCCTAGACCTAGAAGGCAGGAATCCCAGGCCGGTCAGCCCGGTGGAGGGGGCGGGGCGGAGACACGCCCCTCCGTAGCCAGCCAGGTGTTCCCCGCGAAAGAGAGGCCACCGCCCTGCCCCGAACCACCCGACCCCGTCCCAACCCCGCGTCCTAAAGCTCCTCCAGCAGAGCCCGGTATTCTTCCTCGCTGAGGGGTGCTTCCAGCGAGGCGGCCTCTTCCGAGGCCTCCAGCTCCCCCGGGGCCTCCGTTTCTAGGAGAGGTTGCGCCTGCTGCAGAAACTCCGGGCTCGCCAGGAGCTCATCCAGCAGCAGGCCGCAGGGGAGTGCAGACCAGGGCGCCGGCTCCTGGAGCGCCTGGGAGGGCGCCGGGATGCCTTGCATCTGCCCCTGCCGCGCGGAGGCGGAGGCGTCCGGGGGCGCGGGCTGGGGAGGTGGAGCTGCCCCGGCTTGGGGTTCCCACGCCGCCCCGGCGACCTGGGGACCCCGGCCCCAGCCCCACCACGGACTCCCCTGGGACGTGGGTGGCGCAAGCACCCCTTGGCCCTGCGGCCCCGCTTGAGCGGGCCCAGGCTGTGCCACCGCGCAGGGGCCCGGCAGGCCGTCGCGCTGCGGGTCCCGGTCCTCCCGGCTTTTGCCCGGGTGCGGAGGCCACCGAGGAGCCTGAGGGTGGGAGAGCGCCCCGTCCGGAGGAGCCGGGGCGGCGTAGGCGAAATCCCCGCGCGCCGGGGCAGGTTGGGAGACCCCCTCTGCCGTCGCGGCCTGGCTGGGCTGCAGCGCGGGGGCGGCCCTCGCTGCCTGGCTCACGAAAGCCCCCTGTGGGAGAGCCCCAGGCGCGCAGGGCACGTGGGGTGCGGGAAGCCCCGTTCCCCACTCGCCGGTGTGGGCGAAGGCGACCCACGAGGGAGCAGGGTGACCCCCGCCGGGGGCCGCGCTGCACAGGCCGCCTGCCTGCGCGGGCGCCCTGCCACCCTGTCCCGGGTGCCTGGCCCTTCGATTCTGAAACCAGATCTGAATCCTGGACTCCGGGAGGCCCGTCTCTCTGGCCAGCTCCTCCCGGGCGGCGATGCCTGGAAAGCGATCCTTCTCAAAGGCTCGGAGGAGCAGGGCGGTCTGGGATCCGGTGACGGCGGTCCGCTTTCGCCGGCCTTCTGGCGGGCCGCGTCTCCCGGGCCAGGGCCGAGATTCCCGCCGGTGCTGCCTCAGCTGGCGTGACCTCTCATTCTGAAACCAAATCTGGACCCTGGGCTCCGGAATGCCGATGGCCTGGGCCAGCCGTTCTCTGGTGGCGATGCCCGGGTACGGGTTCCGCTCAAAGCAGGCTCGCAGGGCCTCGCTTTGGCTCGGGGTCCAAACGAGTCTCCGTCGCCGTCCTCGTCCCCGGGCTTCCGCGGGGAGGGTGCTGTCCGAGGGTGTCGGGAGGGCCATCGCGGTGAGCCCCGGCCGGAATTTCACGGACGGACGCGGGCAGAGAGAGGCCGGCGGGCTCCCGTGCACCTCAGCCGGACTGTGCACTGCGGCAGGTGCAGCCAGGAGGCCTGCCCGGACAGCCAGCCAGCCAGCCAGCCGCCCTTGTAAAGGCCCACAGGCAGGCAGGCTCCACCCCTTCATGAATGGCGGTGAGCCCCCCTGGGACAGCCCGCCCCACCCCGGAAGGGACCCAGGGCGTCGAGGCCTGGGGCCGGCCGGCGGGGTGGTGGTGGTGGGGGGGGGGGGGGGGGGGGGAGGGCGTGGTGGCGGTGGTGGTGGTGGGGCCGGAGAGACGAAGAGGAAGGGGGAGAGGGGGGAGGGGGGAGGGGGGCGCGTTTCGGGGGCCGGCTCTCCGGACCTCTCCAGGGATCCCGCGGGAACGGGAAGCCGCTCTCTGGGCTCCCACGCGTCGGCAGCAGGGAGAAACCAGCCTGGGAGGGTGGAGGGGAGTGTGGAACTGAACCTCCGTGGGAGTCTTGAGTGTGCCAGGCCCTCTCTCCGTGAAGGAGGCAATGCCTGTGGGCGTCGCCGTTGCCGGGACGGTCTCGCACACGCAGGCGTGTGGCTCTCGTTCATTTCCACGTAGAAGACCAGAGCGAGACCCCAGAGAGGAGATGCCTCCCCGGCGTGATGGCCTGACGATGGATTCCCGCGTGCGGCAACGTGGGGGAGTCTGCAGTGTGGCCGGTTTGGAACCTGGCAAGGAGAGCGAAGGCACCATGCCGGGCTTGCACCCTTCCCTGCATGTTTCCGGGTGCCCGCAGAGCTCCGGGAGCAAACAGTCGGCATGGCCAGCCTTTCGGGGGCCGGAGAGACGTGAGCAACAGGCCGCCTTGCGGAGGGCAAAGCCACGCGGAAACCAAAATCACGCCTCCGTCGTCCTGCGTGTGGCTCCTCCGTGGCCGGGTCTGTCGGCCTCGCGCCGCGTTGCAGGGCTCAGCCTGGGGATGTGCGGTCTGTGAACCGCGCGGGTGAAAACCCGACGGCAACCCGAGTCCCGGTCTTTTGTCCCGGAGGAAACCGCCCACTCCCTGGGCCCCGGAACCGGGGCGAATGGGTGGTGCCCCGCCGGCCGGCGCGGCGGCTGTGGGCCCAGCCCTCAGCCCGCGCCGGACGCTGACCGTTTTCCCGGAGGGCGGGGGTCCCGCTACTCCCGGAGGCCGAGGACCGCTTTTCCTCCCTGCCTTCCTCCCCCCGTCCGTCCCCGGCTCCCTCCCGCCCGCCCCCAGTCCCTGCGTCGCTCTGTCTCTCCCTCCGTTCCTCCCTGCCTCCCTGCCTCCCTGCCTCCCTCCTAACGTCCCTCCGCCCATCCTTCCGCCCCTCTAGGTCTCCCGTTCCTCTCTCCATCTCTGCCCGCCTTCCCTCCCGCCTGGAACGCTCAGCGTCCCGGTGTGCGCCGGGCCTGGGGTCTGCGTTCCGCCGCCAGGCGCTCCGTGCTGGCAGCTGGGCGGCTGCAGGGGCCCGGGCGGCGGGCGACGGTGGCCCGGGGGCGACAGGGAGGAGGCGAGCCGCCGGAGCGGTGTCAGGCCCGGACGCTGCGCGGGGCCCGGTGTTTCGCGGGACGGGGGTCTCCACCCAGCCCAGGGGACGACGCGTTTTCCGGGGGTGGGGGGTGGGGGGTGGGGATGGGGCGGTCAGGCGGCGGGGTGGGCTGGTGGAGAGGCAGGAGAGCTCTGCCCGGGCTGCTCCCACAGCCCAGGCGGCTGCCCGCAAACCCGCGCGTGCGCAGTAGGCGGCCCACCTGCTGGTACCTGGGCCGGCTCTGGGATCCCCGGGATGCCCAGGAAAGAATGGCAGTTCTCCGCGGTGTGGAGTCTCTCACCGGCCTGGACCTAGAAGGCAGGAATCCCAGGCCGGTCAGCCCGGTGGAGGGGGCGGGGCGGAGACACGCCCCTCCGTAGCCAGCCAGGTGTTCCCCGCGAAAGAGAGGCCACCGCCCTGCCCCGAACCACCCGACCCCGTCCCAACCCCGCGTCCTAAAGCTCCTCCAGCAGAGCCCGGTATTCTTCCTCGCTGAGGGGTGCTTCCAGCGAGGCGCCTCTTCCGAGGCCTCCAGCTCCCCCGGGGCCTCCGTTTCTAGGAGAGGTTGCGCCTGCTGCAGAAACTCCGGGCTCGCCAGGAGCTCATCCAGCAGCAGGCCGCAGGGGAGTGCAGACCAGGGCGCCGGCTCCTGGAGCGCCTGGGAGGGCGCCGGGATGCCTTGCATCTGCCCCTGCCGCGCGGAGGCGGAGGCGTCCGGGGGGCGCGGGCTGGGGAGGTGGAGCTGCCCCGGCTTGGGGTTCCCACGCCGCCCCGGCGACCTGGGGACCCCGGCCCCAGCCCCACCACGGACTCCCCTGGGACGTGGGTGGCGCAAGCACCCCTTGGCCCTGCGGCCCCGCTTGAGCGGGCCCAGGCTGTGCCACCGCGCAGGGGCCCGGCAGGCCGTCGCGCTGCGGGTCCCGGTCCTCCCGGCTTTTGCCCGGGTGCGGAGGCCACCGAGGAGCCTGAGGGTGGGAGAGCGCCCCGGCTCCGGAGGAGCCGGGGCGGCGTAGGCGAAATCCCCGCGCGCCGGGGCAGGTTGGGAGATCCCCTCTGCCGGCGCGGCCTGGCTGGGCTGCAGCGCGGGGGCGGCCCTCGCTGCCTGGCTCACGAAAGCCCCCTGTGGGAGAGCCCCAGGCGCGCGCATCCCAATGTCTCCCCATCTCCCCTCACACACTTCTGACTTGAGGCACAATAGATTTATAAATAATGGCATGACAAGGGTCTCCAGAAGTGTGCACAGATTTTCCCAGATCCCCAAAAGCAATGCCAAACTAGTCAGATCATTTATGTTCTCACAAGATTCTGGGAGGATTTTGCCTGTGAGTTCGAATGCACTTTAAGATTCTGGGAGGGAGAGAAAAAGCCTTAGGGGATTGCAGAGTAGAATAAGCATAAGACAGGAAATGTTCCTCTGTTACAGCAAGGAAAATAGAAGTAGGCTTTCTGAAAACAGTTTGCACTGGAGCAGAGATGACCACAGTATATTCAAACTCTGGCCTTGTCCGTGACGTTTAATAGGGTTTTTTGTTTTTCTCTTGTAAATTTTTTTTTCATTGGTGCAGAAATTTGATGAAGTCTGGCTTACAGCCTGTCCACTGCAGTTTATTTTTTCACCCAGAACAGTAACTGGGCTAATGAGAAAATGCCCAACTCCCAGTATCTCCTTCAGGAGAGAATTAAAACAGTAGAATATGTGTTGAAATGTTTGGCTTTTTGATAAATTGTCTAATGACTAGATTCTTTCTCTCCTGATGTGGAGTGCTGAAGGACATGATGGAGTCATATAGATGACAGTTTGTGTCTGCTGAGAAGAAAGATGAGTGTTTGCTACAGCACTAGTGAAACTGCAATACCACAGACAGCCAACTGGGGAAGAAAATAGACAATAGAATCTAAAATACATTGAGAAAAAATTCTCTTTAACTTGGAAACACAGCGAAGTCCAGAGAAAATATATTTGGGAATGTGTTTGTGAAGCACCTAGAATCTATAGCCTGGACTATTGCTGTCGGTATCCCCCTTTACTGAGCCAGTCTTTAAATGCTAGATTTGATGAGTGCTGTATAGATCCCCAGATCTCTTTAAAAAAAAAAAATCACAAGGCACACAGAGAAGGCAGAAAATATTCCCCATTGGAAGAAAAACATAAATATTCAGAAACTGAATTTTAACAAATAAAGATTTTTTGCATATCTGATGGAGAACTTAAAATAATCATCTTATGCATTCTCAGTGAGCAAAACTATAACAGAAAGAGACAACTGAGTGAAATTTAAAAATAACGAATGAGCAAAATATCAACAAAGAGATAAAAACTATTTTTAAAAACCCAACAGAAATCATAGAGTTGAAGAATATAATAACTGAGTTTTATAAATTCACTACAGAGACACAACAGCGAACAATGGAGCAGAAAAAAGAAAATTGAACATATATTATTCACAAATATTGAGTCCTGGAAACTAATATTTTAAAGAATGGGAAAATTACGGGTGAAATATAAGACTTACTGGACACCATCAAGTAGACCAATACATTCAGAGATAGAGTCTTTTAAAAAGAATAGAGGGAGAAAATGGCATAAACATTATTTCAGAGAAAAAGCGGGGATGCTAAGAACTTTCCAGATTTCAAAGCGATGAAAGAAAAAATACTAGCAACCAATAATAATTGATCTGGGAAATACTGTATTTCAAAATTAGAAAAAAATAAAGACTTTCAAAGATTAAAATAAAAAAGCTGAGGTTGTTAACTACTAGAATAACCCTAGGAAAAAAAATGCTAAAGAGAGTTAATTATGTTGAAAAATTAAATGATGCTGGACAGCATCATAAAACCACATGAAAATATAAAGCTCTCTGTTCAATGTAAATATATACACAGATATACAATTTTCTACTATAATGGTGCATTAAATTCTTAAATCTCTGTGAAAATACAAATCATATATAAAGATACAATTTGTAATGTTAAGAAAGTGACGGAAGTAAAAATGAATATATTTTGTATGTTGTTAAGGTGAAGTTGAAGGCAAAAGCCATTTGCCCTGGGGACCTTAGCAATGGGCAAGGGAGGAGGCAAGGCTGCCATTTTCTCTCCCTCATTTCTTCCATCTCCCCTTACTCTGCATAGGGATTTTTCTTGGTCTGCAGGAATAGTCAATGGGCCAGGCTCTGTCCTGCGTGCACAAACACACACACACACACAGGTGCAGGTGGGCATGGCATGTATACGCGGAACCTGGGATTTTAATTTTAAAATTTTTAAAAAGTGGGAAACCAAGGATTTTTGGCATGATTCTCAGGACTTTGGGCTGGGGAAAGGGTAAGTCTTTGCTTTCTGCCATGTGGCATGCCATCAGTTGTTGGGGCTTTCTCCCTCAAGGTGTCCCCCAAGGAGATTGTGCAGGAGATTTACCCGGTGCTCATGGTCCGTGAAGACATGTGTCACCGCACCTGCTTCTCACTGCCCCTGGACAGCAACATGCTGGACCACTTCTCAGAGATGTGCAACATTGAGGAGCGGCAGGAGGGCTCAGGGCTGTGTGTGAGGGAAGGCTGTTTTGGAAGTTCGGTGGACTGCCTTGGGGACGGCCCCCAGAAGCAGGGCCAGGAAGCACTTCCCCACTTCTCTGAGGGCTCTGCGTCAGATGAGAGCATGAAGGTGGGATTGGAGCTGCGCTCTGCTTGTCAGGCTGTCACACCAGCACCTTCTAACTTCACAACCCGTGAGTTAAAGAACAGCGTTCTGATTCCAAAAAAAATGAGGCAGTACCAAGCCAGGCTTGATATCAGCCCAACAAAATTCTATAAAGAAAAATAATGTTTAAAAAAAAAGAAAGAAAAGCTTCACAGCCTTTGAGTAGGGAAGTCTGCCCCGTGCAGCACTGCCAACTGCTGAGGTGAGATTGGCATGGTTGTAAAGCAAAAGTTCTCATGCACTCAAGTTACCTGCGGGGAAGCTACTCATGTTCTCAGGGTCTACCTGCTTGTTAAGAGCAATTGTGAAAAAGATCTGTAGCTCAATGTGTCCCATAATTGATCACAGAACCTTTCCTTTTTCCCAAAAGAACCACCATTAAAATATCGTGAAACACACATTGGAAGACAGTGCTGAACTTGTGCATCCTGAAAAGTTCTTAGGACACCCCTGCATGAGGGCTGCCCCTGGACAGCAGGGCAAGGTTGTGGAGGCCCCAGAGCTCTGAAAGCTATGCCTACCCAAGACACTAGTGCACAAAGAGGAAGTGGCCTTGTGGCTCCCCAAGACCTGCCTGTGCTTCAGAGGCATTTGGCAGAAGGTTTCTTGTTAACAAGGATCCTTGCAGGAAGGAGAGAGAGAGAGACAGAAAGAGACATACAGAGAGAGAGACTGTGTGTGTGTGTGTGTGTGTGTTTGTGTGTGTGTGTGTGTGTGCTGAAACCAGAACTCCACCTTATGTGTTTATTGTGGAATTTGAAAATGAAAGCCTAAAGTTGAAAACTAAAATCACACATGACCGCACCCTGCCAACTATTTACTGTCTGAGAAGGGTCGTTCCAGGGTGTAGGACCCGGGTAACACCCTTTTCCCTTCCTTCCTGAAAGAGCTACACACACTGCTCAAAGCCTGTATCCACATGTTCCATGTCCAAGACGAGCTCAAGAGCCTGGACCCATCTGCCACTTTCAGCAGGGTTAACTGCAGCTGCTTGTTCTTCCTGAGCATCTTCTCCAATGGTGACCTGAGAGTTGAGGGAGGCATTGGCGCCAGGATTGAACAGAGGAAAAGGGAGCACGGACACTCAGGTGGTGAGGACCAGGCCATCTCACCTGGAGGGTTCTGGCCCTGAGACATCCAGACAAGCATCACATTTAGGTGCAGACAGCTGGCCTTGGGTGGCTCTGTGCTTGTCACCGGCCTCGGGTCCCTCAAACAGTGGAAATGGAAGAATGGCTTGGGAAATGGCCCCATCAACTGTGTGTCACCTGAGCACATTCTCCCAGGGGTCCAGGAGGGGCCATCGTGTCTCCAGAACCAGAACTGGAAGGTCCAACTTCCAGGGGAAGCAAGGAAGAGTGTTCTTAGTGAAGTGGAGGGCCTCACAGCAAGATGCCTGGCTTAATCAAGCTTGGACATGCCTGAAGCATGTTCAGTGACTAAAAGTGCCTACCATGAGCAGCTGGAACCCACTCCCTGAGAGCTTCAAGATGCATGGGTACCTCATGTACCTGTTTGTAATTACAGCCAAGGACCAGCAGGCAGCATTACTGCATCCACATGGGGCTTTTACTGGAACCAGTAAGTCTCTGCCAGCCCCTCACAGGCTCCTGGGATGCCACTCATTCTGCGTCTATGGACAGACAACCAGGACACTTGCTCAGTGCCCACCCACTCCTTGTGGCCCACAGCCCATCACTCAACCCCAGCCCCACCATCCCCTGCTTCCTAAGCCATTCCTCATGCCAGAAGAAAAGGCAATACCTTTGTCCCACAGCCTCTGCCTTGTGTCATGTCATGTGGGCGTATGGAATGAACTGGCCAGCCTAAACTCCAGTGCTTATGCCTGAGGAATCTGTCCCCACTGTCTGAGTCCCCCTCTAGGGAGCTGTCAGTGGGGGAGAGAGCAGCCCTGGAAGAGAGGCCCACGTGCTTCTGTTTGACTTCAGGGCAGCCTCTCAGGGCAAGAACCCAGAGAAGATGGTGGCCTCACAGAAGCCTGTGGCAGGGCTCTGGGCTTGGTGGCTGAACATCTCCCTCTTTGCTGCCAGCCATGGGGCCCAGAACCACCCATTCATGAGGGTCACCACCACATTGCAGGTGTGCAGCTGGACGGCTCCCCAGGCAGAGCCTGCCATGGACTCCATGCACACAGAGGATGCACACCTTGAGGCTGGACTATGAGGAGAACATTCCTGAAGAGGTGCATGAAGCCTGGTCCTGCCCTCACTGGGAACCCCCTTCCCTCTGGGTACCAGATAGAATTCTATGCACTTTCCTGGAGGCTCCATGCTGGTCTGTTCATTTGGAAGTTTGAGGCTGTCCATGAGGAAGTAACAAAAAGAGATATCTCAGAGCAGGTTGTGAGGCACAGGCTGAGCCCTTGCCTAGTCCCTCCCTAGTCCCTTTGCAGAGCCGGGGCTGGAACAAGGACCTGTGGATAATGAGGGAACTGCTCTGCAATAACCGGCCTGAGCAGCTGCTTCAAGAAACAGCCACAATCGAGGCACCTATAGCCTCTGGTGAGTGACTGGCAGCCTCAGGCCCACCTGCCATCTGTGAGCAGGTTTTCTTGCTAACAGAATGAAAGCAAAGAAAGCTGGAATAAGCCCAGCCCTCTCAGGCACCTTGAAGTCTGTTGGGGTTCCTTGCAAAGCCTTCTAGCCTTCTGCTTCTTGGCAGCCCACACAAGCACCTTTTTCCAGCCTCTAATGCTTTGATGCTCTGGAAGGAGAGGGCCCTAGTTTTCACTAGGCTATGGGGCCAGGCCTATCCAGCTCCCTACTTCCACTAACAACCACAGGGCTCTCACCTGGGCACACACTGCCCAGCCATAGCCCTTCTAAGGCAGAAGATCATTTGTCTTGCAGTTTCAGCTTGCTAGGGCTTAAAAGTTATCAGTGCTGTTATTAAGATAGAGAAGTGAGATCATCAGCACAGGTGACAGCACAGCCCGGGCTGCTGGGGAGGCTGAGGGAGAGTGTCCAGCCTATTCTGCCAGCTGGGCCTTGCCAGGGGTGTCTCGTGACCCAGTCCCTTAGAGAAACATGCAGACATCTCAGCAAGGAGCTGGAAGGTGCAGATCAGGGCAGCCCAGCACCACTGATGGTGGAGTGGGGCTACCTCCCATCAAGCTGTGTCTCCACAGCTGACCCGTGGAGCCAGGAGGTGATTTACAACATCTGCAAGGCAGTCAGCCCCATCAGCTCTATGCCCTTCAACATTCACTTCAACTCAAACATCCCACCAGAAAGCAGTGGGGACTGGCCAATGCAGCAGCCCTGCAAAGTGGAACAGATCATCCTGGGGTGGGGAATCTGGGGCCTGCCTGCTCATCTGAGCACTGCTCCCTGGGTGTGTGCTCTGCAGGACCCCTGAAGGAGGGCTGTGAGCTCATCAGGGAGACCCTGAGCCTGTGGAACATGCCTGAGGCCATGTCCATGGGGATTTGTGCCTACTTGCACCTCCTTGCTCATCTCACTACGCTATTGGTGACTGTGCTGAGGTGGGCCTCGAGCATCCCCTGGGCTGTGTCAGCACAGGGCTCTGGGCCTGGCCTGGCATTGAGGGACGGCAAATAAGGGGCCTGGGTTTGCATTGTCGCCTCCTGTGGTTCCAGAAAATGAGGAGGTCCAGACCTGCAGTACTGGAACCCTATCAAAGGGGTTAGGAGGCCGCTCACTTTCCCTCAGGGCCCCATGTGGAGGAGCTGAGGGAGGTTAAGGAGACCCTGGGGACTCACTTGTTCTGTCTGGGCTTCCCCCAGCTCCACCCTTTGATAACCATTTTCTGGGAAGAGCTCAGGAACCTCTCGTGCTGTAGTGAGGTGGGGCCTTCCCTCACAGGGTATTGGTGAGGAGGCATTCTGAGACTCTGTGAGTGAGAAGCTAACACAGTGCCTGAGAATACTCATGGGAGCTGTCATCCTCTGTGACCATCACGTGACCTTGTAGTGTTCAGACTGCCTGGCCTGGCCTTGGGCTTGGTAAGGCTGTTTTGGGGTTAGCTGCTTTAGACTCCCACTTTTTTTGCATTCAAACAGTGACTGTTTTAGTGTTTGTCTATGGGTTTAAAAAATCCTAATATTTCATTTATAGTAGTTTCAGCTTGTATGTATGTATTTGTATAAATTTTATTAGAAGAAAGAGGGCTTAAGGCAACAGCATTTTAAGAAGGTCTTAATGGGGCATAGACTTTTATGTCACAACAGCTAATACTGACCTCTTTTTCTACCTTTGCATAAAGTATACGTAGGAAGTGTAGCCAGAGGTGGTGAGGCTAAGTGTCTAGAGCTGAGCTGCTGGGCTTGCTTGCTGGCCTGCAGTCAGGTGGACTCTGGCTGTGAGGCAGTGCCCACCCTGGATCTACATCCCCCACCCCCTCTCCTTAGTCCCTGAGTAACCAACACAAGGCAGTGCTAATAAGCAGGGGAGTGATGGGCATTGGGAACCCCAATACTATCCGGGAAGATCTGAAGGCCATCTGGGCTGGGGCTGTTGGGGGTAGGGGCTGTGGCTGCCTTGGCTTGTCAGGGTGCCACCCACAGATGTGCCTGCCCTGTGCTGCTTCTCCAGCAGCCGGCTGCCTATGGCCCTGAGCCTGTCACACCATGCTTGCTACCTCATGCTACTTGTGTTTGAAAAACCATCCCAAGATGGTGCTGCTGGATGTGAGTGCTGAAAAGGGGGCAGCACCTTTGTCCTGGGGGATTAGGAGCTGACCAGATTCCTCCTGACTCCCTCCCGAAACAAGTGGGGCTGGTGCTGCAATCAATGATGCCCCCCAGAAGATGTGTTTGCACTGGCTGAACAAATACATGATGCAGAGGCCTAAATGAAGACACATGAATGGGGTGTGTAGACATCAGCTAGCAGCTGGGAAACAGGTGTCTCTCAGGCCTCTCATTCTTCAGCAAGTGTGGAATGTGCCCATGCCCTTGAGTGTATACATCTGGAGTGTATACATCTGGCTGTTGCTTTTGCTGCCACTATCCCCAGGCCCAATCTGGCTTAAAGTCCAGGTTTTAAGTAAAAAAGATAAGAGGATTTTCTGTGTTCTGGGATAGGAAGCCAGGGATCTGTGTAGGGCTGCAGTTGGGTGCACATTAGTTTTGTGACAGGATGAGAGCTGCAGTGGTTTTATTAATCGTGATAGCCTGGGCTGGTTGTAGCTTCAGGTGAGGGGAGGGAGTCAGCAGTGGTGGTCCCGGAGACATCCATGTGCCCAGCCCTGGCCTTCCTGCCCTCAGGCACAGCAAAAGGCACCGCCACAGGCCCCGACTTCCTTCTCTACTCTCTGCAGCCCAGATGGGAAAACTTGGAGGCTACAATCTGAATATATTTTTCTCCCATTTTAACCCGAGCTGCCTAACACACAGTGGGGGCAGGGTGGGTGAAGGGCCTGGGGGAAAGCAGGGCTGGATCATGGATCCCGGGGGAAATTTAGAGATACAGAAGTGGCTGTCACCTCTCTGTGGAACCCAGCTCCATACCTGGTCCTTGCCACACCGCCCTTTCTACAGAGAATAGTTCCGGGGCGTTTGGGGATCCCTATGGCCCCGGGTGGCTTCCTGTCCCCCGCTGCCTGTGCTGCTTCCCTTGGCTGCTGGCAGAGCCCAACATGGAGGAGGAGGTTGCAGCCCTGGGAGCCTGAGGGAGCTCTTCCCTTGCCTGCTGGCAGAGCCCAACATGGAGGAGGAGGTTGCAGCCCTGGGAGCCTGAGGGAGCTCTTCCCTTGGCCTGCTGGCAGAGCCCAACATGGAGGAGGAGGTTGCAGCCCTGGGAGCCTGAGGGAGCTCTTCCCTTGACCTGCTGGCAGAGCCCAACATGGAGGAGGAGGTTGCCGCCCTGGGAGCCTGAGGGAGCTGCGTCTGACTGGGGCTTCTGCCTGGGGGTTTGCAAAGAGCTACTTATGAATATAGTCTCTCCAGATTCCTTGTTTCAAAGGAAGTGAGCATGAGCTAGCAAGTGTAGCAACCCCACAGCTGATAAACAACTTTGTCTTGGTTTTAAACCATCACATCTTCATTTCACATTGGAATAAAGTAAGTGAAACCTGCTACTCCAGCCTTGCCCATGTGTTCTGTAACCCAGTCTCCTTTGGTTGTGAGGGCTATTGTCAGAAATGTTATAAGAAAAGATTATGCCATAAATTAAATCAAATGTAAAATTATGCTTATAATGTCACTTGAGTGAAAGGTAAGAGGGTAGAGTCACAGGCACTCAGCTGGGGTTTACCCACCCATCACTTACCACACTCATAAGAGTGTGACACAGGTGAATGTCACTTGACATTGGTGACAGAAGAGAAAAGGCTGGCATGAAGGCCAGGTAGGGGAGAGGTGCCAGGCTGTGGGGCCAGGCCCTGGGCGATGCTGGACCTGTGAGGTCACTGAACATCTAACTGCCCAGGCACTGGCCCTTTTCACATCAGTTGAGGTAAGAGGATGGGGGAGCACTCTCTGGAAGTCACACTGCACTGGGAGAATGGAGGAGAGTCTACAACTCACCATCCTAGTGTAGGTTTTAGAGTGAGATGGACTGTCTTGGAGAGCTAATGAAATGGGAGGAAAGCAGTCCCCCAGGTGCATCTGAGGGCCACAGCCTATGAAGTAAGCAGTGTGTGTGGGAGTGGCCTGTCCCTGTGAGAGGAGAAGTTTAAAGTTATTACAGCTGGTGGCTGCTGCTCAGCCATCCCTCTGCAGAGCAGGCAGGTCCTCAGCTGCATGTATATCTGAATGTCTTTTGGAGTGTTTAGAGAGTCCTCTATGTCTTAGAAATTTTGAAAAGAAAAACAAATTTCAATTCTAATGTTTATTAGTTTCCCTGAGCCAACTGGAAAAAAAATGTCCTTCACCTTGAAGTTTTAAGTGACACCCAAGGGTAGCCACCAGTGTCTCAGCCACTGAAGCCTTGTGCATGCTCCCACTACCAGTTTGATTTGCAGCCTCATGGTTGTGTTGTACTAAATGTTCTTTCTTCTGGCCTTGTCCAGTGAAAACGGTTCACATGGCTAACACCACTTCTTGAGATACGGGCACCATGTAAAGCTGAGAATGGATTGGGTTAGTTACTATTGTGCCTCCTCCTCACCCGAGAGGCCCATTTCTCCTGGTTGATTCATTAAGTGTATTAGTGCTGTCAGTCGCCTTTGGACAACTCAAATGACAAGTGGCTGTTGTTTCATAAAGAAAATGAAGGCTTTAGATGTGAAACACTCCTTTTCTCTTCTGCTTCTCTTAGGTGAAAGATTTTATTTTTTTAAAAAGGGTACATAGTCGTATCCCAGCAGGTGTAGTGTGATAACTGGCATGTGCTAGGCTATGGTTTCAGTGTGTATGGGCAATTCTTCAAGATGGAAAACCAAGTTTCACTGAGTTGCTGGAGCCGCACTCACCTTCCCTCCACATCCCCACCATGGGCTTCCACTTTCCTCCCGGGCTTGAATTTTTTTCACATCCATATTGTTTATACACACACACACACACACACACACACACACACACACACACACACATCTGTCTGTCAGTGCAGTGGCTGAATCATGGGTCAGTGCAGCCTCAAACTCTTAGGCTCGAGTGATCCTTTCACATCAGCTTCTCAAATAGCGAGGACTACACTACAGGCATGCAATGCTACACCCAGCCAATTAAAAAAAATTTTTTGTAGAAACTGAGCCTACTTATGTTGCCCAAACTGGTCTTGAACTCATAGGATCCAGCGATCATCCCACCTTGGCCTCCCAAATTGTTTACATTACAGGTGTGAGCTACCAAACTCAGCCAAAAATATTTTTTAAAGAACAGTTACAACCAAATTATGAGTTATGATTGTGCCACTGCCCTCCAGCCTGGGCACCAGAGCAAGACCTTGTATCCAAAAATAAAGCAAAACAAAACAAGAACAAAAAACCTTATAACCAAATTAAACTTCGAAGATTGTGTCATCTGTGTCCCTCTCTGCCCTCCAGTTATCACCGTTAAATATAATGGTTATTGAGAAAACGGTTAGATATTATTAAGAAATTTCTATATCTACTCCAGCTGAGAATAGGTATTCTGATGTGGCCAAAACATTTTCTCACTGCTACCTTCAGGGTCTAAACTAGCAGACAAAATCAGGACACCTGCAGAGGACAGTTGGCCATTTTCAAATAGAAACAGAAATACCCCCATTAATGAGAGTAATCCAGTGATTTTCAGAAAGACAAGTCAGACTGACATGCAGCACAGTCAGGGCACAATTACCCTGGAATAATCACTTCACACAGAATGGTTGTGGAGCCTTTCTAAGATGAGCAAATATGGGCAACATCATTCTTGCTTATTTATTCCCAGCCCCCGCTGCCCGCCTTATTCTGGCCTGATTCTGGCCCGCCTGATAATGGCCACCCCACAATGTGGTCAGCAGTGAGGTGCAGCGTGGTGAGAGAGGGGCTTCAGGGATGGGATGAGGGTCTTTCCTGCATTATGAAAATGCCTAATAAGTTGTTGAAAAGATGTCCAAATGTTCTACTTCCTACCCTTAAATAGCTGCTAAGATGCATGACTCAACAGATCCTGGTAAGGGAAAGAGCATGCGCATTTCAAGTCTCAGCTCACTTCTTAATTAGCTGTGATACTCTGCGCATGTGACCCCAACTATTCGAGCCTGTTTGCCTGTCCACCCAAGACAATCCTAAGCAAAAACAACTGGTAGCTGGAGGCATCATGCTACCAGACTTCAAACTATACTTCAAGGCTACAGTAACCAAAACACCACGGTACTGGTACCAAACAGATATATAGACCAATGGAACAGAACAAAGACCTCAGAAATAACACCACACATCTACAACCATCTGATCTTCGACAAGCCTGACAAAAACAAGCAATGGGGAAAGATTTTCTATTTAACAAATGGTGCTGAAAAAACTGGCTAGCCATATGCAGAAAACAGAAACTGCACCCCTTCCTTACACCTTAAACATTATCTCAAGATGGATTAAAGTCTTAAATGTAAAACCCCAAACCATAAAAACCCTAGAAGAAAACCTAGGCAATACCATTCAGGACATAGGTATGAGCAAAGACTTCATGACTAAAATACCAAAAGCAATTGCAACAAAAGCCAAAATTGACAAATGAGATCTAATTAAAGAGCTTCTGCACAGCAAAAGAAGCTATCATCAGAGTGAAAGGCAACCTACAGAATGAGAAAATTTTTGCAATCTATCCATCTGACAAAGGTCTAACATCTGGAATCTACAAGGAACTCAAATGAATTCACAAGAAAAAAAAAACCATCAAAAAGTGGGCAGAGGATATGAACAGACTCTTCTCAAAAGAAGATATTTGACTGAGTGTGGTGGCTCACACCTGTAATCCCAGCACTTTGGAACGTGGAGGCAGGTGGATCATGAGGTCAGGAGTTTGAGACCAGCCTGGCCAACATGCTGAAATCTTGTCTCTACTGAAAACACAAAAAATTAGCCAGACATATTGGCAGGTGCCTGTAATCCCAGCTTCTCGGGAGGCTGAAGCAGGAGAATCACTTGAACCCGGGAAACAGATGTTGCAGTGAGCCAAGATCCTGCCACTGCATTCCAGCCTGGGTGACAGAGCAAGACTTCGTCTCAAAGAAGAAGAAGAAGAAGGAGAAGAAGGAGAAGAAGAAGACATTTATGTGGCCAAA
Organism: Homo sapiens; assembly: GCF_000001405.40. Lineage (NCBI taxonomy): Eukaryota > Metazoa > Chordata > Mammalia > Primates > Hominidae > Homo > Homo sapiens. The sequence goes on along the minus strand of NC_000004.12, from coordinate 190,052,998 downwards.
AAATATTTTAAAAAATCTCATCATCACTGGTTATTAGAGAAAGGCAAATCAAAACCACAATGAGATACCATCTCACACCAGTTGGAATGGCAATTATTAAAAAGTCAGGAAACAACAGATGCTGGTGAGGCTGTGGAGAAACAGAAACGTTTTTACACTGCTGGAGGGAGGGTAAATTAGTTCAACCATTGTGGAAGACAGTGTGGTGATTCCTCAAGGATCTACAAGCAGAAATACCATTTGACCCAGCAATCCCATTACTGGGTATATATCCAAAGGAATATAAATCATTCTACTATAAAGACACATGCACATTTACGTTTATTGCAGCACTGTTTACAATAGCAAAGACTTGGAACCAACCCAAATGCCCATCAATGATAGACTGGAAAAAGAAAATGTGGCACATATACACCATGGAATACTATGCAGCCATAAAAAAGAATAAGTTCATGTCCTTTGCAGGGACGTGAGTGAAGCTGGAAACCATTATCCTCAGCAAACTAACACAGGGAACAGGAAACCAAACACCATATGTTCTCACTCATATGTGGGAGTTGAACAATGAGAACAGATGTACACCGGAAGGAAACATCACACGCTGGGGCCTGTTAGGGGGTTGGGGTCAAGGGGAGGGAGAGCATTAGGACAAATATCTAATGCACGTGGGGCTTAAAACCTAAATGGCAAGGTTGACGGTGCAGAAAACCACCATGGCACATGTAAACCTCTGTAACAAACCTGCACGTTCTGCACATGTATCCCAAAACTTAAAGTAAAACAAAGAAACAAACAAAAATGCACTAACGCTCAGGGTGAGTGGGGCAGGGGCCGGGGTGGGGTGCGGATGGGTGGGTCCTGGCGTTTTATTCAATCAGTGGCGCTGGTGTGGGAACCACCCAATCGGGCGCACAGTTTGAGAAGAGAGGAGGGCGTGGCTTCCGGCGTTTGGCGGGGCCTTTGTCTCTCGCTGGTGCTGGTGCAGGAGCTTGGGATCCATCTCCTCTTTCGCCTCCTCCACCTTGGGAAATCCAGACAACTCCCTCACAGCCCCTGTTGCCCTGTGAATCTGTAGGTCCTTGGGGACACACAGTTAAGGTGCTGTTACCATGGGGTGGTCTTTGCTCCCAGAGCGCCCAAGATGGTGGCGGGCCACTTCCATAATTTTGGCAGGCCACTTCCAAGATGGTGGCAAGCCTCCTGTTCTCTGACCTGGGGCTCTTGGCCTCACGGATTCCAAGGAATGGAATCTTGAGCCATGCGGTGAGTGTTATAGCTCTATTAGAAGCTGTGGGTCACGGAAGAGAACCGTGGAACCCAGTGACTAGTGTTCAGCTTGATTAGGATGAACCCAGGCGCTTAGCTGTGCAGGAACAATGGCAAGCCTTCAGCCCGATCGGGAGTGGCAATGGATGCCTCGCTGGATCAGGAGCAGAGCGGACACCTTGCTAGCCAGGATGGTCTTGATCTCCTGACCTTGTGATCCGCCCGCCTCGGCCTCCCAAAGTGCTGGGATTACAGGTGTGAGCCATCGTGCCCAGCCAAGAACTGTCTTCACAACAACTGGTGCTGGGGAAATTAGGTACCCACATGTAAAAGAATGAACCTGTGCCCTTCACTTATACTGTAAGAAAAAATTAACTAACTGGATCAAATACCTAAATGTAAGAGCTAAAACTACAAAATTCTTAGAATAAAATATAGGGGAAACACGTCATAACACTGGATTTGGCAGTTTTTTTTTTTTAAACAGGACACCCACAACACAAGAAACAAAAGAAAAATAGACGAATAGGAATCTATCCAGAATATGCAAAGAACAATTCAGCAACAATAAAACAAACTACTTGTTTAAAATATTGGCAAAAACTTAAGCAGACATTTCTCTAAAAATTATGTAAAGTAGCTAATAAGCACATGAAAAGACACTCAACAAAACTCATCATTAGTGAAATGCAAATCTAACCCCAAATGACATATCACTTAATACCCATCAGCATAGCTACTACCAAAAGAAAAAAAAAAACAGAAAATCCGAAGTGTTGGTGAGGACGTGGAGCAATTAGAATCCTTGTACACTGTTGGTGGAAATGTAAAATGCTGCAGCTGCTATAAAATAACAACACAGTAACTAAAAAATTTACACATAAAATCACCATACGATCCAGCAATTTCACATCTGGGTATGCAGCAAAAGATATGAAAGCAAAGACACAAAATAATATACATACACCTAGGTTCATAGCAGCATTACTCACATCACCAAAAAGGTGTTTGAATTACTCAAGTGTTGTTTGAATTACCATCAATGATTAATAGATAAAATGTGATTTATACATAGAGTGGAATGTTATTCAGTTATGTAAAATAAGGAAATTCTGACACATGGTACGTCATGCATGAACCTTAAGGACATTGTGCAAAGTGACATGAGCCAGTCATAAAAGGACAAATACTGAATCATTCCACTTATGAGATACTTAGAGTAGTTAAATTCTAGAAACCCAAATAGAAGAGTAGTTCTTAGGAGCTAGAGGGGGAGTAACAAGGAGCTTATTTAATGGGTATAGAGTTTTGTTTCTGCAAGTTGAAAGAAGGTCCCTATGAGTGGTAATGACAGTTGCAAAACAATGTGAAAGTAGTTAATTTTTCTGAGCTGCACACTTAAAATAGCTAAAATGGTTAATTTTATGTATACTTTACCACAATGTAAAAAATAATTTTAAAATAAACTATAGCTATCTGCAATATCATGAATTAATATCATAAATATAATGTTGCATAGAAGAAAGTAGATGTAAAAGTATACATATTACACAATCTCACTGTTATAAAATCCAAAAAGTGAACACAACTGAGCTTCTGGCTTCCAGTAATAATGAAGTAAAGTAGTTTGTTGAACACTTCACAGATAACTATAACAAAGCTCTTTGGTCACAGGGCTGCAGCACTGCAATCCCAGCATGCACCAGGCTCAGGGAGAGTGCGCTAATCACTGGAGGAAGGGACGAGGCTCCGCGCCTCTCGCTGGTCTTGCTGGGAGATGCAGTCTCATAAACACTCCCAGCCCTTTGGTCACAGGGCTGCGAGCACTGCAATCCCAGCATGCACCAGGCTCAGGGAGAGTGCGCTAATCACTGGAGGAAGGGACGAGGCTCCGCGCCTCTCGCTGGTCTTGCTGGGAGATGCAGTCTCATAAACACTCCCAGCCCTTTGGTCACAGGGCTGCAGCACTACAATCCTAGCATGCACCGGGCTCCGGGAAAGTGCGCGTCACCGGAGGAAGAGGCAGGGCTGTGCGCGCCTCCCTAGGATTGTTGGAAGATGCATTCTCATAAACACTCCCAACCCTTTGGTCAAAGGGCTACAGGACTACAATCCCAGCATGCACCAGGCTCCAGGGCGAGGCGCAGCCCTGGAAGAAGGGGCAGAGTGGTACCCGCCCCACCTAATATGCTGGGAGCTGTAGTCCGTTACCTACTCTCAGCCTGTTTGTCGGTAAGCTTCAGAGCTATAATCCCAGCATGTACCGGGATCCGGGGTCCATAGCCCTGGAGGGAGGGGCAGAGCGGTGTGGACTTCCCGGTGTCCAAAGCACTGCTGAGTTCTGATGCTATGCCGACTCTTTGCAAGGAGAGTGAGTACAGAGGTGCACCTGGAGGGCAGGTCTGGGCTGAGCATTGAGGAGGGTATTACCCTACAAAGATACCTTACCTTTTCCCAAATCGGGCGGGTTGTCCTCACCCGCTTGGCCCTATCCTTCTCAGGTTCCTCTTTCAGTTGCACCCAGGGTTCTTTCCAGAGGAGTACGTCTTCTGCAGCCCAGGGTGCTGCCTTCTTTCCTAAACTGCGTGAGAACTTTCCTGATGTCCAAGACACTGTCATTGTGCCGCAGCCCTCTTTTTTCTCTAGCCAGAGCACGCACTCAACCGTTTTTGAGAGAAATCTTCCACCTGGCCTGCTTGTGAGCAGCTTCAGAGCTCTGCAGGGGTGACAAGGGCTGTGGCTTCTTGGAAAGGTCACTTTCAATGGCGCCTTTTTCACGAATGTGAAAGTCTAGGCATCAGAAAGGTTAATTATTGGGTTGCATAAAATCTGCTAAGAGCAAAGGAAAAAACCCCATTTCTGAGGCGTGAGTCTTGTGAGCCATTTTCATCAACCCACTTAAGTGGACAAGCTCCAAAATGCAACCTGAAGCTACTGAGTATTTAGGCATTTTACACTTGAAATCATTGGTCTCATCTCAAGTCAGGCCTGGCTTGCCAGTGGCTCAGAGCCACAAATGGGACCTGATACCTCAGGAACAGATAGTGTTCCAGCTTTACCGGAGGAACTTTTAAGACGTGGAGCACTTGGGGTCATTTGAAACCCGCTATCTTCAGTAGGGACTTTTAATTCTACAGAGCATGTGCATTTTGATTTTATGTGTCCTCAAGCTGACCCTTTGTTCATTTTAATAGTAAAAAACACATTCCTGGGTGGAGATTTAAGATGCTAGTGAGGCATGCAATGTATGCACAAATATGTACAGCTACTGCACATGTATAACCAGAAGACCAGTCAGAACATGCTTACCGTAACACTTCTTTCCACCTTCTTATGAAATAATCATGCAAAACTCCCATAAAGAGGGTTTCTCCAGCAATAATTAATGCTGTCTCACTTTTATGAGCAGGCTGCCCTGGAATCTCTTTCTCAGACTGTACCGGCTATTCTGCACTTAATTTTCAAAATATTCTTTTTTGGGCAATAAATTATGCTGTACTTCTTTTGCTGTGTGTCTCTTGTTTAAATTATTTTAAACTAAGAAGATAAGAACCAAGGTATTACATCAGCCATCAACATTTCTGGTGCCATGACCTGCGGAGACGTTTGTCTGCTTCATTAATTTCAGTTTCCCTTTACTTGCAGTGAATACTATGGCAGTTTCAGACTACCTGGTTAACTATCGCTGCTGGTTCCAGCGCTGTTCCAGTAAAGTTCTGGGGGAAACGTTTTTAAGTCACCCGCATTCTTTAGAGAGAGAATATATGTCCGCTCTCCTTTTCTCTGCGGCTTCTGTAGTATCGATAAATACGCTAACCACATGGGTTGCCCTCAACATTTCATATTTGGGCTATTTGCCGCTCATTTTCACATCTTTCTGGCCACAGTTTAGACTCAGCTTGTCGTTTGCTGTCCGTTCAGCAATACTCGATCGCCACCTAGTGGCTATTGTAATTTATTTTCTGGTCAGGTTTTCTGTTTACAAAATTTTTGTTTTGTTTTGAGCAGCACATTAAGAGAACCCTGTCCCTTCAGGCTTTATGCATTTCCCAGCTCCTTGAAATTGTTCTTCAACCGGCTTTCTTTGCTGAACAAAAGATGCACAGTCAAGCAGATGCCAAGTCGTAGGGATTGCATCTGAGCATTCCAGGTGTTGTAACTGGGCATCACAAATGGCAAACCAGTGAATTAGAGCAAGGCTTGTCAGCCAGACATCTGCCCCCCAGCCCGCAGTGGGGGTCATCTCCGTAGGGCTGGAGATGTCCACCGCTGGGGGAGCTAGGACGGTGTATGGCAAATGCCTATGACCTCCTAGAGCTTCAGTTAATGGGGTTTCGAGGGGATGCGCTGGACCCCTTGGTGTTTTCACTTGGCTCATGAGGACGCCCACAGCCTCCTGGACTTCAGTAAATGTTCTGTCATTGCAGGATTCTCTCGGCACCATGGGAGCTGCTTCCTCTACTGTCACTGAAACACCCCTGGGATGTATATCTAAAAATTAGAACAGCTTTTGGCTAAATGAACTTAGAAAAAAGAAAACCTTATCTTCTTTTGTAATACTATTTAGCCTGCCTACAGATTAGCTGACAAAACATGGCTGGAGAATGAGACTGTGAGCTTTAACTCCATCCTACAGCTAGATCTTTTCTGTAGCAATCAGGGAAAATGGTCTGAAGTACCCTATGTGCAAGCCGTTCTGGCCTGACAACAAAATCCAGCTCTACGCAGCACCTGTGGGCTAAAGCCTAGTAAGCCAGAAAGCCCCTCAGAACAATTGGAAGATCATCTCTTATTAAGGGGAAGGGACCCCAGACCCCACAGCCCAACACCAGCTCCAGACAGGGGCACTCAGGGGTCCACACCTCCTTTAGAATCCCCAGCATCCCCACACTATCAGAGTCTTCTGTAGAATCTAAGCTTGTTTCACCTCCTCCTTATGCTCCTTTCTATCGGCCTTTGCCAGGTACAATAGAGACCAGCCCAGCTGCAGTTACTCACAGTGGGACTTCACACCATCCAGGGCCAGAGAAATTTCTCCCCTTACAGAAAGTCCCAAATGGAGAGAGGACCATCAGAGTGCTTGTTCTACTCTCAATAAATAATCTAATCCAATATAAGCAACAACTCTGATGGCCCTCAGACAACTTCAGCGCATTTACTGAAGGCTTCCAGGCTCTAACTTTGACCACCATTCAACTGTACCGTCCATAAATGGACCGAATGACTGCTGCCAACTTAGCTGCACAAAATTTTGCTTATTAGCAAAAAATAGAAAATACTTAAAACGTTTGTTGCTTTCACCATTTTAATGCAAAATACTTTTGCAGCATAAATGTCACCATAAGGTGGAGCCTTGGGAATCCAGTATAAACTATCTCAGAAAACCTCAATGGGTCTGCAACAAGCAGCAGAGGGCCTCAATAGACTTCAACAATGTCTGGACTCCATGGCCACTGTAGTCCGACAAAAGCAAAAAGCCTGGGATCTTCTCCCAGCCGGGCAAGGAGGAACATGTTTATATCTAAAAGAGGAATGCTGTTTTTGAGATCAATCAGCCCGGCTTAGTCCAAGAAAATATTAAAAATATCATCACCCAGGCAGACAAAATTGAATCTCTATGAACTTCCATGGGACCATGAAAGCAACGTCTATTACCTGCCTTACTCTCTTTAATAGTAACAGCCATTACTATACTTTCAGCTTTTACTTTTGTTCCAATTTTGTTTAAAATGTTAACTGATTTCTTGCTCTCTTGCTTACGGCAACTCCATGTTTGCATGATGGTTTTGCAAGGCTTTCAACATTTGGCTGCCAACATCTTGCCCACTGGTTCCACGAATTACATGGTTTACACCCAGTTAGATCACACAGGAAGAAACTTTAGGGCCCAGACTAGGTAGAAATAACACCCACTCAGCAGGAAACAGCTCCAGAAAAAGTGACCTAGCCCCTCAACCTCCAATATGATTATGACCCTAAGATCTCTTAGGGGGAAACTGAGGCAGAATAGATCAGAATAGTCAAGAAAATGACCATGATCTCGGGATACAGAAATGTGGGGAAATTATAAATAGAACTACCATATGATGCAGCAATCTCATTGCTGGGTTTATATCAAAAGGAAACAAAATAAGCATGTCAAAAAAGATAACTGCACTCTCATGTTTATTAAGCAGTATTCAAAATAACCCAAACCACTATTTCTTCTAAGTATTTCTAAATTTACCTTTTTTTCATATATTACACCCTAAACTTTTAAAGGTTTCATGTCTGGTTTCCAATTTCTGAAACTTACAAGTCACTGATTCTTTGTTGCCTTCCTATTTAGAGTCTGGTAAAACAATTAAATGCTTTTTATTTCTTCTCAATCTAATCTTCATATATAAATATATTTATATTTTCTATTAATTTGCCTTCTATAACATATATGACTACATTAATTGTGATCAGCATTTCACTTTACTAGCCCTCTTTTTGGCTCAGCCTATTTTAATATGTAATTTGTATGTTGTACATTAAATTGTTTTACAACCCTTTCAATACTTTACTTTTCATTTGCCTCTTTTCCAAAGATAGCTTGACAAGCTCGTAGTTTCTTTCCACATTATTTTGGTTTCTTGTTTTTCCATTATATTGACTTAAACATTTAAATATAAATTCAATATCTGAGATTTATGTGCCATATAATTTCTTCTGATGCTTCACCCCAGTAGCTCATCTCCTTGTGTGTGACATAATTTATAATTTAATCCTCACATATGGGAGACACCGCATTCCAATGCCTGCAGGCAGTTTCTCTTTGTTTATTCCATTTGCCTTGTCAGAAGGGAACAACCCACACGGACCTGACATTCTTGTAATCAGGCACATCTGAGTGGAGCCCTGGTCTCTTAGGTTGATTACTTCTCTGGATCATTACCTTTATTTACTTCCAGTCCTGGGAGGTTTTCTTAATTTCCTTTCAACTATATTAGGCATTCTGTGAATTCTTGTAACTTCTTGGTGATTTTAATTGTCTGCATTAAGTGTTTAAAGTATATTATTTTTCTGAAAAGCAGAAATATCAATAATTGCATATATGAGTGAAATATTTTACATAGATTTTCTATGGCATCTATCACCATGAGAAATTCCAAGTTTTTTTCATTTGAAACACCCCTCTCATCAATAGACCATATTGTAATAATTTGTAGAGTGTGATTACTTTTATACCATTAGAAAATTAATTATATATTATGTACATATTTTTGAAATACTCCACTGCAATAAATAGTATATGGTCAGAAGTATTGTTTTCTCTAACCTAAAACTAATATGAGTAAAATTATCTACCTGAATTCAGACCTTTTGGCTTCAATGGCCATTCTGTCTCATTAGCACTTCCCTGATCCATAAAAGACATCATTCGTACTTTCTGCTTAATTCATAATTTATTGAAATGAGTAATTTAATGTTATAATGTTTTATGGCAATTTAGGACATTTTCAATAAATATATTGAGCTCAAGGCCCTGGCTAAGTATTCCTTTTGTGCTCAAAATCAGATTTTTCTGGCACAACTTCATTGCCTGCAATGGTATTTATAAAAAGTATGAATGCCAGCACATGGACTATTTCAATACTGTACTCATTTTTTCATGTATAAACATTTCATTAGCTATGAAACAAACCAAATACAAATGCTGAATGTACAGTATATATCAACAAATGCAGATTCTTCACCTAAGAAAACAATAAAAGACGAATTTTCTGTGACATGTCACCTGTTCATTAGTTCTTTAATATGATTTAGGCTATTCCAAATATAAGAAAATGTATGCATCACTATTTATGTTGTCTCAACACATTTTTTATCTAGGTCCTGAAGGACAGAAAAAAGAATGTATATTGTCAGATTTATTTTTATAGATTTTAGATGTTTCTTTTGCTGTATTTTCTGTGCATACTACTATGAATATATGGAGACAAGGACAAATGAGCATTTAAGTGGTTATATGAATTTTGCTTATATGGCTAATTGCTTATATGGATGTTGTAAATGACAAGATAAAATAGTAAAGTTTGGTAAACTTATCTGTGCCCTGTGAACTTTAGTTCACTTACTGTATAACTTAATTCAGTCACTAATAATTAATTTAAAAAGTGTTTTTTAAAAACTGCAAACCACATTTTATTACACATTTCTGAATCAGGAAGGGGTAAACTGTGACACAGCTTTCTCATGCCACTGACTTTTTTGGGGAGAAACATTCTGCAATAAAATAAGAGTTTCCAAACTCTATTTATAAAAAAGCTTGAGTTTTCTTCTGTGATTAACCTTCACTCCTCAGTCCCTTTTACCCAAGGAATGGTTCCTAGGTCATCTTTTGGAAGTTTAGTTTCTGGAAAGTTTTCGGCAAACCTCTCCTGAGCTTTGTCCCAGTTGTTGTTGTTCTTGTTTTGGAGAAGGTGAGTCTCTTTAATTGAGGATGGTTTGTCTGTCTCCAATCCTGCATGTGTTTGCCAAGGCTGAAGCTGTACTGGAGTTTTTATTCTCCCACCATCCTTCCCCAGGCCTTCTCCTGTTTTCAACACATCTTTTTCAACATCTTCTGACCTTTGTTGCTATCAGTAATTTCAGAATGAACAGATGCAGGAGCATCATCTCTTTGGAAATTTCCTTCACTTCCAATCTGCTCCCTATGTTTTCCAGCTCTATCTTTATATTTTTGATTCTCCAGTATCTTATCATCTTTGTAGTCTGTATTCTGTAAACCATATTTTACTCGTATATTTTTAAAATCCTTTTCTTCTTTCCAACTCGTTTCCTTCTTAGTTAATGATGGACCAACAAATGATTCATCTTTCTTGTCAAGGAAAAGGTGAGCTCTAACCTGCCCTGGTTCACATCCAACACAGCTATTACTGCCAGTGTGAATGTAATAAGATAACACAGTGTCTCCAACTTTCACTTTATCTCCATGCTCAGGTTCATAAGGCTCACATTTAGTTTTCAGCTGAACAATCCATTTTACATTAACAATTGTTCCATTTTGACTGTCTGATCCAAAAGGACATAACTTTGTAAGTCAAGGTCAAAATAGATTTCTGCATGAAACTTACACCAACTTCAGGGATTTGGAAAGTATGCTCCATATCATTTTCTCTTCCAATTGTAGCAGGTTTTGCAGCAGTAATGATGAAGAATGATCCTGTCTGTAGCACAGGTGATCTAATGACAATCACTCTCATATATGAGGCCACACTTTTTCCTCATCTTCCTCCTCAGTATCTTTTGCAGTTGCATTGCCTTTACTGGTAATGCCTTCATCATAACTACCCTCGGTCTGAGAGTCTGTAATTTCACCTTCTTCTGGTTCACTATCAGTCTCTGTGATTTTCTCATCCTTAAAGATGAATTGAGATGTTTTCATTAAAAGGAGATTCCATAGGATTTCCACTAAATGGAACAGTGAATTTTGGGGATTATTTTTGTGATGAATGCCTATTTTGGCTTTTTTTTTTTCACATTTGTGAAATTGTCTTTCCCGTTGCAGCTTGTATGTTCAACACTGAAGGCTTCTTGATCCTCTGAATTCAAATCCTTTTCCTCATCGTTTTTTTGTAGAAGAATCCTTTCTTTTCTCAATTTTTCGTTTTTGTTTCGTGCTATAAGTCTGATAAGGTTGCAAATCTACTCGAGAATGAAATCGATAGCGACAACTTTCCACATCACAGTGGTAATAAATTAAATCATAATATATTTGATTCTCAGAATCTTAATAGAAACCAGTGCTGTGGTCAAAATACAGTCCAGTATTTTCATCATCACTAAATCCAGTCTGTGACAAAGCCGCTTCCGCTGCAGCTCTCAAACTTCCAGCTAATGACGAACCTTCTAAGGACGTATCTTGTGCTGCTAATGCAGATGCTGGCTCCTGTGAATTGGAGGCAGATGACCCTCTTGTCTACACTTAACATTTGCTGTCCTATCAGTACCAGGGTGAGTGTCATTTTCTACTTATAACTGGTCGTTAGAATTCAAAGCAGGACTTTCAATATCCTGATCTTGCTGATTTGACAGTTCAGTCACTCACTTTATTTGGAAGACTAACGTCATTAGGGTAGGTCTGATAATAATAATCTGAGATTGACCAAGGAGCATGGTTCTCTGCGAGTACTTCTACATCAGACTTTTATTACCTCCATGTCTCCCACAGCGGAGTACGTTACTGAGTTCTTCCAGCTGCGTGCGGAGCTCCTGGCGGTTGCTCGTGTCGCTCTGAGCAGCCGTCCTGGGCGAGGCCATAGCTTCTCCCGTTCCCGCACCTGCCGCCTGCAGCTCCGCGTTCGGGTTCCAGCTTCTCCGCCCTCCTTCTCCGCTGGGCCAGCTCGGGCTCGGGGAGGGGGAGGAGCGGCCACAGCGAAGGCGCTGGCGGCGGCTACGGGCAGAGGCCGCGAGTTCGGGACCAGACGGCTGCGTTCTCGGAGGGGCTGCGCGGGGCCGGAGCGGGGGCCGGCGGAGCCACAGCCCCGGGGGCGCGCGGGCAGCCACAGGCAGCCTCCCCGGCCAGGAGGCCCCGAAACGCGGAGCCTGACGGGGCTGCGGCAAGAGCAGGGGGACGGCGATGGCCCTGCCGGATCTGCGTGCCTGGAATCCGGGGAACGACTGCGCCTTCCCCAGCCCCGGGGGCGCGGGAGGAGCGTCGAAGTCCAGGGGCCAGAAGCGCTCCGGCCGTTCCCGAGTTGAGCTGCGAACAGCGGCCAAGCGTGTTTTAAATCGAGCTTCCGTGTGGCGAGCTATGACCTGCTGGTTACTCTTATTTTTTTTCTCCATTCGTTGAGCTATGATTGACAAATTGAAAAGTGTGTATTTTTAGGGTGTACAATAGAGTGTTTTGAGATGTCAGTGGTCTTTAAATCACCTCAGTTAAGCTAGTTAGCCTGTCTATCCCCTCACATAGTGAATACGCCTCTGTGTGTGGTGAGAGCACCTGAGATCTACTCTTGCAGCAAATTTCAAGTACACAGTATTGTTAACTATAGTCACTATTCTGTACGTTAGGTCCCCAGCAGTTACTCACCTTGTAACTGAAGGTGCGCCCCTTCCATGGAAATCTTCCCACTTTCCCCACTTCCTAGCCCATGGGAACCAGCGTTCTACTGTTTCCATGGCTTTTTTAAATTTTTATTTACTTTTTTAGATTTTACATACAAACGAGATCATGCAGTAGTTGTCTTTCTGTATTCAGCTTATTTCACTTAGCATAATGTCTTCAAGATTTATCAATATTGTTGTGGATGAAAGAGTTTCATTTTTATTAAAGCTGAAATTATGTCTCTCAGTTTATCTGTATCAGAGGAATGCAGATACCCTTGATGATCCTGATTTTATGTCCTTTGGCTATATACTCCTAATTGGGATTAATGGTAGTTCTAGTTTAACAATTTTAAGGAACCTCCATACTGTTTTTCATAATAGCTGCACCAATTGACATCCTCAGCAACAGTGCACAAGTGTTCTCTTTTTCCACACCCTAACACTTTTTATCTTTTGACTTTTTGATAATAGGTATCCAAACACCACGATAAGGTGATACCTCATTGTGATTTTAATTACTGTGATAATTAGTGATGTTGAGCATTTTTTATATACCTGCTGGCCATTTGTATATCTTTGGAAAAATTGCTATTTATATATTTTGCCCAATTATTAATCAAGAAATTGCTTTTAATTCTGCTGTGGGTTTTTTGTATTGATTACTATGACATATATTTTGGATAGTAACATATTATCCTACATATGGTTTACAAATATTTTCTCCCATTCCATATAATGCCTTTATATTTTGCTGATTGTTTCCTTTATTGTGCAGAAAATTTTTACTTTGACATAGTTCCACTTGTTTATTTTTGCTTTTGTTGACTGCGCTCCTGGTGTCAAATCCGAAACATCATTGCCATGACCAGTGTCAAGGAGGCTTTTCCCCATTTTTTTTTTTAGAGGATTCATGATTTCAGTTCTTATGTTTAAGTCTTTATTTCATTTCAAATTCATTTTGTGATGACATGAGAGAAAGGTTTACTTTTTGTCTGTGCATATCGAGTTTTTCCTACACCACTCCTTGATGTGTTTATCCTTTCTCCATTCTGTGGGATTGGTCGAATGTATATTTGTGAGTTTATTTCTGGGTCCTCTATTCTGTTCTATTGGTTTTTATGTAGGTACTATACTGTATTAATGACTACAGCTTTGTAATATAGTTTGAAATCAGGAAGTGTGAGGCTTTCAGCCTTTTTGTTCTTCTCAGTATTTGGCTATTTGAGGTCTTTTGTGGTTCCATACTAATTTTAAAATTGTCGTTCTACATTTTAATAAAATGGCATTAAAATTTTGATAAAAATTTAACTCTGTAGATCACTTTGTGTAGTATGGATATTTTAACAATATTAATTTTTAGAATCCATGAACACATATTTCCCATTTTGTATTCTTCATTTTCTTTCCTCAACATTTTATAGTTTTCAGTATGCAGATCTTTCATATTCTTTGTTAACTCATTCCTAAGTATTTCATTCTATTTGATAATATTGTAAATGGAACTATCTTTATTCCTGTTTCAGATATTTTGTTGTTACTGTAAAAAAAATGCAACTGATGTTCATATGTTAATATTGTATCCTGAGAATTTACTGACTTAGTTGGTTAGTTATAACAGGTTTTTTTTTTTCTGGTAAAATGGTGGTTATTCTGAATTCTGGTTAAACTTTAAATTGATAATTGCTATTATCATTTCAAAATTATTTAAAATATGACCAGATGGATTCCTGCTTTCATGAATTCAATGGAATTCAAATCTTCCCATTTAAAATAATTTTGTCTGGTTGACCTAGACCCCGGGGATCGGGGGCACCCCGTGGGAGCCCGGAGATTCGCCTGGGGGTGGGAGGGAGAAGCCGTCAGAGAGGGGGCTGAGCTGGGGAAGCAGAGAGGGGCTCGGGGACAGCCGGGAGGAGAGAGGGTCGTGTCGGAGACCCAGTGGGGAGAGAGAATGGGCCGGAAAAGGAGGAAGGGTGAGAGTGGGCAACAGGACGGCTTCCCGGCGCGGCAGGGAACTTTGCTGAAACTGCGGGCCCCAGGGACCAGCGCGGGCAGGGTGGGAGGGAGTGGAGAGGACCCAGCAGACCCGAAGGTCAGTGTGGAGAAAGGGACGTTTCCCGGTTCCTTCGTCTCTGCCCAGCGTTCTGCGGGCGTGGCCCCCTCCAGGGGCAGGGGAGGAGGTGGCTCCCGGCGGGCTCGGAGAACTAAGGGGCGCACACCCGCTTCGCAGGGCCGGGGTGACAGGGGAAGCCTGAGACGGCTGCGGATCTCGCTGGCCCCGTGGGTGGGCGCGGGGGACGCGGGAGGGGCCGAGCTCACGGGGCCAGCGCCGGGGCCTGCAGGTGGCCCTGGAGGAATCTGCAAGCACCCGCCCGTGCAGCGGGCCTTCCGGGAGACCAGTGTGGACAGCGCCCTGGACACGCCCTTCCCAGCTGGAACATCTGTGAGGCTGGAATTTAAGCTCCGGCAGACAGGGAAGCGGCTGGAGGAAGGCCTGGAAGAAACCCAAGTGCAAAGCCCAGCCCGAGAGGAGGAAGCAGAAATGCCTGACCTGCGTCAAAATGGACTGTGAGGATAAGGTTCTGGGCAGGATGGTTCGCTGCCCTCCAGAGACGCAGACTCGGCGGGAGCCTGAGGAGCACCAGGGGGCCGGGTGCAGCCCGGCGGAGCGGGCGGTGAGGACCCCACGGCTGCCGCTTCCCTGCACGGTTCGCCTCCTCCAAGGCCCGGCCCCCAGCGGAGCCCAGCGCTGAATCGCATGGCGCCCCCTGGAGCCCTGGCGGGGAAAACCAGTGGAAGACCCACCTCCCAGGGAGAGGACCCCACTGTATCCCCAGATAATAAAACTGTCCTCTCCCCCAAAAAATAAATAAATAATTTTGTCTGGTCTTTGAAAATGTGTATCCCCTGTGTACTGGTCAAAATGCTGCCCATTTATCTATATGCCTAATTAGCCAACTTTTTAATGAAGTTATTTAACATTCTTTTTTATTATGAAACAAAACAGTAAATTTGTTAATGGTTTTAATATCATCTAATATGATTGAAAATATGTCAATTTTTCATTGCCAAAGAATCTTTGTGTTATTTATTTTACTCTGTTATGTATTCTGTCCATAAAGGTCTAAGTGGCTTAGAATCTTGCCTAACATATTGTATGTGCTAAGTACTAACTACTCTAATTCATCAAATTATCTTTCTATACCATTCTTAAAATACAATATTATTTTCTATTTATTTTTATTAAAATTTTTTGCCTAATCTAATTATTTATGAAAATTATGAGGTCTATTCAGTTTGTCCTCTTGATAAAAGCCAAAGTTTTTTTTTTTCTCTCTTTTTTTTTTTTTTGAGACGGAGTCTCCCTCTGTTCCCCAGGCTGGAGTGCAGTGACACAATCTCGGCTCACCACAACCTCCGCTTCCCGGGTTCAAGTGATTCTCCTGCCTCAGCCTCCCAAGTAGCTAGGACTACAGGCATGTGCCACCACGCCTGGCTAATTTTTGTATTTTTAGTAGAGATGGGGTTTCACTATATTGGCCAGGCTGGTCTTGAACTCCTGACCACGTGATCCGCCCTCCTCAGCCTCCCAAAGTGCTGGGATTATAGGCTTGAGCCACCTCACCAGGCCTTTTTTTTTATCTCTTTATTAATACGTGAGAGAGTACAAATGCCGCTCCCTTACAGAAGCATGTTGCATAGTGATGAAGTATGGGCTTTTGGTGTGACAATCATCTGAATGTTGTTTATTGTCCCAATTAGTTATTTTCTCATTCCTAAACCCTCTCCAACCTCCCATCTTTCTGAGTCTCCAGTGTCTATTTTTCCAGTCTCTATATCCAAGTGTATGCTTAATTGAGTTCCCACTTACAACTGAGAAAATACTGAATTTGATTTTCTGTTTCTGAGTTTTTTCACTTACAGTAATGGCCTCCGGTTTTATTCATGTTGTTGCAAAAGACATGATTTTATTCTTCATGGCTGAGTAGCATTCCATGGTATACTTGTATAGCACATTTTCTTTATTCGATTATTGATTGATAAATTTAAATTGATTTCATATATCGGCTATTATGAATAGTGCTGTGATAAACATGTCAGCATGGGTATTTTCTTTATGTAACAAATTGTTTTCCTTTGGGTAGATACCAAGTAGTGGGAGTGCTGAATCAAATGGAAGTTCTATTTTTAGTCTATTTTGAAATCTCCATACTGTTTTCCAGAGGTTGTAGAAAGTTACTTTCCCACAAACAATGTATAAGTGTTCTCTTTTCCCTGTATCCTTGCCGATAGCTCATTTTTCTGCTTTTTAGTAATAGCCATTCTGCAGGGTGTAAGTTGGTATCTCATTGTGGTTTTTAATTGGCATTTCTCTGATCATTGACAAGGTTGAGCATCTTTTACGTGCTTGTTGACCATTGACCATCAGTGTCTTTCTTTTTTTTAATGTTCATGTTCTTTGCTTGCTTTTTAATGAGGTTACTTGTTTTATTTTTGTTGAGTTGTTTGAGTTCCTTGCATATTCTGGACATTAGATCTTTGTCACATGCAAAACTCGTAAACATTTATCTCATTCCATAGGTTTTCTGTTCACTGTGTTAATTAGGAAGCTCATTTTCAGGAGCTTTTTAGTTTAATTGAGTTGCTGTTGTCTATTTTTGTTATTGTTACATCTGCTTTTGAGATCTTAGTCATAAATTCTTTGTCCAAGTCAATGTCTAGAAGAGTTTATCCTAGAGTTTCTTCTAGCATTTTTATAGTTTCAGGTCTTACATTTTAGTCTTTTAATCCATATTGAGTTGATTTTTGTATATGGTGGGACATAGGGGTCCCATTCCATTCTTCTGCATACGGAAATATAATTTTTCCAGCACAATTTGTTGAATAGGATGTCATTTCTCCAGTGTGTGTTTTTGTTGACTTTGTAAAAGATCAGTCATTTGTAGGTATGTGGCTTTATTTCTAGGTTCTCTATTCTGTACCATTGATCTATGTGTCGATTTATATCAGTACCATGCTGTTTTGGTTACTACAGCCTTCTAGCATAATTTTAAGTCAGATAATGTAATATCTCCAGCTTTATTCTCTTTGCTTAGATTTGCTTTGACTATTCAGGCTCTTTTTGTGGTTCCATAAGAATTTTAGTGGGTTTTTTTTCTAATTTTATAAAAAATACCATTGGCATTTTGGTAGGAATTGCATTTAATATGTAGATTGTTTTGGGCAGTAGAGTCATTTTATTGATCATAATTCTTCCAATCCATAAGCATGGGATGTTTTTCTCATTTGTGTCATGTACAATTTCTTTCATCAGTGTTTTGTAGTTTTCCTTGAAGGGATCGTTCATCTCTTTGACCAATTGTATTTCTAAGCATTTTACCTTTTTTTGTAGCTATTGTAAAAGGAAGTGACTTTTTAATTCAGTTCTCAGCTTGATCATCATTAGTGTATAAAAATGCTATCAACTTTTGTACGTTGATTTTTGCATCCTGAAACATTATTAAATTTATTTATCAAATCTGAGTTTTTTGGTGGTCTTTAGAATTTTTGTATATATGATATTATATTATCATCAAAGAGGGACAATTTGACTTTCTAATTACAACCACATAGATGCTCCCACCAAGATCAATAGACAGAGTCTCTGGGGAGGGCACAAGTGATGGTATTTCTTTAAGCTGGCCATGTGATTATGGCTGGAAGCATGGGCCGAGAGCCACTTAGCTAAGCCTTGCCTCTCAAGTCTGTCTGTCTTTCTTTCTTTCTTCCTTTCTTTCTTTCTGTCTGTCTGTCTTTCTTTCTTTTCTTTCGACAGAGTTTTCACTCATTGTACAGGCAGGAGTGCAGTGGCACCATCTTGGCCCACTGCAACCTCCACCTCCCAGGTTCAAGGGATTCTGCAGTCTCAGCCACCCGAGTAGCTAGGATTACAGGCACCAGCCACCACACCTGGCTAATTTTTGTATGTTTTAGTAGAGACATGGTTTGGCCATGTTGCCCAGGCTGGTCTTGAACTCCTGACCTCAGGTTATCTGCCCACTTCCGCCTCCCAAAGTGTTGGGATTACAGGCATAAGTCACCACACCCGGCTGCCTCTCAAGTTTCAATGTGCATATGAATTATTTCCGATTCCAGGCTCTCTCTTAGTAATGTGATTCTGCAGGTTTGGAAGCGGTCCATGAATTGGCTTCTTTAAAAAGTCTCCTCTTAATGCTGATGTTTCTTCCACTACATCCAATATAGTAGCACTCAGCTAGAGAAAGTAGGCACAGCACAGAGCTCCTGACACCCAACACTGTTACCACAACACAAATACTTTTGGCTCAAAGTGGAAGCCACCAATCGCCATTTTCAAACATGTCATTTTCTGCTGGCTCTTTGCAGTTTAGAAAGCCTAGAGAAGGCATCAATGTTTGAGTAAGTCTGCATTTGGAAAACATGTACACATGAGTTAATACAATGTTTATTGAGCACATACTATGTGTTCAGAAGTCTGTTACAGAGCACTGTTCAGGAAACATTACATGATGTGAGTTAATCCTCATAGCACCCTGGGGAGTTGGGTGCTAAGTTTTCTGTAATTTTCAGGACTTAAATGAAGGGCCTAGCATTTCTATTTTTTCTTCCATTTTAAAAATTATTTACCTGGAAAATAAAATGTGCAGAATAAAAGCTATATCGACAGATGAAGGGATAGAGAAAAAAGGATGAACTGTTCAGAGAGATGTTTTATATTTATATTTACCTTCTTGTGCCTTGTGGAGCAGCTACTGAATTTGCAGGAATGGAAAACAAGTTGCTAGGTGAGGTGTCTCTAGAAGCGCTGGCTTCAATGAAAAAGAAAGTATAACCCCCCAATATAGAATTATTTGCTTCCACTTATCTGCTTTTCCATTTTAGGAAATTGTGGGCACCAGCTCAGGAGAGGCAGCAGGAGCCCCCGCCCGAATCTCTGGTCTCCTTTAATGAGTTCTGTGAGAGAAGATTCTAGGGTGAGGCCAGACCTGGATGAGGCCTTAGAAGAGGGTGGATCTGGGCAGGGCTGGAACAGAAAGTGGACCCCATGTTTCTGATGTTCATGCTGGTGGAGTATTTCCAGTTCTGTCTTTCCTAAGCCTTCCCAACAGAGACTTGACTCTTAGAGCTTGTGTAATTTTAATCTGTTTTAGCCACTTCCCTGTCAATTTTTATAACACATGATAACAAGAAACTTAAGCAAAACTCTTAGGGTTTTTTAGGACAATTATATGAGAAGCTAAAAACTTATTTTTACCAAGATAAAAGAAATAGAAATAATCACAACAACAACAATAATTCTTCTGTCCATGAATAGTCCTTCAGGTAGTGACATCGGAACTCAAGGAACAGCATAAGGGAAATGGAGCAAATGCAGCCAAGGCCCCCTGTGCAGCTCCCTTCTCCCTTCCGACTACAGGATGCTGAATTCAGCCATTAATCCATTTCCCTTCCGACCACAGGATGCTGAATTCAGCCATTAATCCATTTCCCTTCCGACCACAGGATGCTGAATTCAGCCATTAATCCGTTTCCCTTCCGACCACAGGATGCTGAATTCAGCCATTAATCTGTTTGCTCTAGATGAAAAGTTACTGGACAGTAGAAACCATGAATTCTTCATCTGTTTTTCTGATGGTCATGTGATATAGTTTAGATGTCCCCTCCAAATCTCATATTGAATTTTAATCCCCAATGTGGCAGGTGGGACCTGGGGAGGAGGTGGTTGAATCACTGGGTGAGTCCCTCATGGATCTGTGCCATCCTTGTGATAGTGAGTACTCGTGAGATCTGGTTGTTTAGAAGTGTGGCCCATCCCTCCCCCATCTTTCTTGTTTCTGCTTCTACCATGTGAGATGCCTGCTTCTCTTTCACCATGATTGTAAGCTTCCCCAGGCCTTCCCAGAAGCAGACGCTGGTGCTATGCTTCCTGTACAGCCTGCAGAACCATGAGCCAATCAAACTCTTTTCTTATAAATTACCCAGTCTCAGGTTTTTTAAATAGCAATGCAAGAATAGCTTAATACCTCATATGAAAAGAAAGCAATTGATATATTTACCAGTTTGAGTACTTACCAGTTTGAGTCTCCAGACCTCTGCCTTGCTTCAACTCAAAGAACAGGAAGGGAGCAACCTCCATCTACTGCTCCTGATTATGGGAGAATCTTCAGTTCATCTTAAAACATTTCAGTCAAAAGCACCGTGTTTTATGTAGAAGAATGAGGGTGTCTGAAAGAATGGGTCTCTTTATTTATTTTTATTTCTGAGACAGGGTCTCTTTCCCTGTCATTCTGGCTGGGGTGCAGTGGTTCACTGCAGCTTTGACATTCTGTGCTCCAGCGATTCTCCCACCTCAGCCTCCCAAGTAGCTGGGACCACACGTGCACACTACCACAACCAGATAATATTTGTATATTTGGCAGAGATGAGGTTTTTCTATGTTGAGCATGCTGGTCTTGAACTCCTGAGCTCAAGTGATCCTCCAGCCTCTGCCTTTCAAAGTGCTGGAATTACAGGTGTGAGCCACCACACCGGGCAGATGGGTCTTAACTGATTTTAATCAGGATACATGAGCATGGAAGACATGCCCTTAATTTTTTTCCTAATACAATATTTGACAGTTATATAACTATGATTTTTTTATTCCTGTGATTCATAAGGATATGATAGTAAAAGGCCTTGAAAGCCTGTAGGAAAAAAGTGCTATATTGTGCTTGAAACCACCTTTTACTCTGAAAGCAAGTGCCATCCAGATACATCTTTTGAGAAGATATTTTCTCCTGCTGCATTTTAGTCAAACAGCTGAGTGTGTCTTGAAGTAGTTTTTTGATTTTTAACAGGACAAGTGTATTTTCTAAGACCCCAAACTCAGGAGTGGCCATGGGGCAAATCACCGCTGCACACATGGAATGCATGCACAGCAAATGCATTTCTCATCCCGAACCAGGGGTTGTTCCCCCTGGGTGCACACAGGAATCACCAGGGAGGCTTTTAAAATTACCTAAACTCAAAAGGCAATAGATAAGTGAACTCAGAATCCCTGCAGTGGGACCTGAGCCATAGTGCTGTTTAAAGCTCTCTGGGTGACTATGGGGTACAACCAAGCCCCCAAACTGCTGCTTTAAATCAGCCTCTTCGGGTGAACTAGTGGCAAATGGTTTCCTGAAATGAATGGTTTAAATCAGCCTTTTCTGGTGAACTAGTGGCAAATGGTTTCCTGAAATGAATGGTTTAAATCAGCCTCTTCCGGTGAACTAGTGGCAAACGGGTTCCTGAAATAAATGGAAAGATTTGCTGCTGGGTTGTGCTCTTCTGATCTTACCTGCATTACCTACTTTTCCTTGCCGAACTGACCTCTGCTACGTATTTTATTCCTGATTCAATCCAGTTCTACTCATACCAAATGCATAGTATGCACTAGGTGCCCTTGCATTGCTGAACCTCACCGTGGGGAGAGGACTTTGCTGAATAATAATTGCATCCTAAAAAAACTCAAAATACTGGACTCAAATGATCCTCCTGCCTTGGCCTCCCAAGAGCTGAGACTGTAGGCATGAGCCACCGTGCTTGGCCTATACCCTAAAAAATTAAAACTATCTTACTTACTAAATTGATGTAAACATGGGAAGACCTAGAAGGTCACCGAAGTGTTACAACATAAGTAAATACCTTGGAATATTAATATCCATCTGATGATGCCCCGAGAAAACATGTCCCACTTTAAAACAGTACAAAACAGTGCTATTATTCTGAGATATGAAGTTAAAATTTTGTGCAAATAGGTAATATTTAAATTTTTATATATGTATAACATTCATGCAGAAAGACGTATACAAAGAAATCATGTAAAGTTCAATGAATTATTACAAAGTGAACACACGTGTGTAACCTAGAAATAGAACCAGCTTCACAGATGTCCTGGTAACCACTTTCTCTCTTTTGCTCCCCCAAAGTCACTAAGATCTTAAGAGCTAACAGTGTAGATCAACTTTGTATTATTATACATGTTTTATTACAGAAAATTTAAAACATACACAAAATAAAAGAAACAGTACAATAGGCCTGTTACCCAGGCTCAACAACAACTAATAACATGCCAATTTTGTGTTATCTATACTTCAACTCATTTCTCACACAGACTTTGTTATTTATTATTATTTTTTGTGGTATAAAATGTGTGCTCATTGAAGGTAAAATCTTGGCTGAGCACAATGGCTTAAGCCTGTGTAATCCCATCACTTTGGAATGACAAGGCAGGAGGATCATTTGAGGTCAGGAGTTTGAGAGCAGCCTGGGCAGCATAGTGAGACCACATCTTTATTAAATTTTTTTTTTAATTAATCAGGCGCGGTGGTGCATGCCTGTAGTTCCAGCTACTTGGTATGTTGACATAGCAGGATCCCTTGATTCTACGAGTTTGAGGCTACAGTGAGTTGTGATTGTGCCACTGCACATCAGCCTGGGTGACAGAGTGAGACTCTGTCTCAAAAAAAAAATAAATAAAGGTTCGACCTTAACTAGCTTTTTACACATAAACACACCCATATAAGCAATCCCTCTTTTAACAATAGAAGTACCAAACTAAAAATCATTAGTGTGAACCCACTTTTAACTCAGACTTTATCTTTTAATAAGTTTCTTTTCTTTTTTTTTTTTTTGAGGTAAGATGTGCACTCATTGAAAGGTCTAATCTTGGCTGGGCATGGTGGCTCACATTCGTAACCTCATCACTTTGGAAGCCAGAGCTCAGGAGTTTGAGACCAGCCTAGGCAACATAACAAGGCCTCACTGGGGCAAGAGAGTGAGACCTCATCTCTACAACAATTTTTTAAAAGTTAGTTGGGCATAGTGGTGCACACTTCTAGTCACAGCTATTTGAGAGGCTGACTTGGGAGGATCACTGGAGTCTGGGAGGTCAAGGCTGCAGTGAGCTGTGATTGCACCACTGCACTCCTTCCAGAGGGACAGAGTGAGGCTCTGTCAAAAAAAGGTACAATTTTAACTGTACATGTTTGATACATCAACACATCCATATAAACAATCCCTCTCTTAAAAATAAAAGTACCCAATTTAACAGTTATTAATATTCATATGAATTACCTAGAAGCTTTTTGTTTGTTTTGGTTTGGATTTTTATTGAAAGGGGACACCTAGAAATGTCATTTACAATCTAGATTTTGATAAAAATAAGGCTGAGTTTTTTCTTTTTTTGAGATGGAGTTTTGCTCTGTCGCCCAGCTGGAGTGCAGTGGATTGATCTCGGCTCACCAAAACTTCTGCCTCCCGGGTTCAAGCAATCCTCCTGCCTCCCAACTAGCTGGGACTACAGGCATGAGCCACCACATTCAGCTAATTTTTTTTTTTGTATTTTTAGTGCAGATGGGGCTTCCTTATGTTGGCTAGGCTAGCCTTGAACTCCTGACCTAAGGTGATCCACCCGCCTTGGCCTCGCAAAGTGCTGGGATTACAGGCATAAGCCACCATGCCCAGCCAGTCCTAAGTTTTGCCTGAGAATTTCTCTTTCTAAGAAAGTACATCATATGGCAGTTACAAGGTCTCTTTTGTCTAAAATAAATAGAATTTAATAAATAAAAATTTAAAAAATTTACCTGAGATTAAAGGACAAATAAAAACACATGGGTAATATGTTCTCTGTAGGAATATATTTTAACAATGACATAAATTATTAATAATCACTAAATGTTGTAATAATTTATTAACTAAAATTAACAAAATTCCTATTACGATATCTAGGAAAATACTTTCTTAGAGTAAAATATTCTCATATCTTGAGAGAGCATTGGTTAAAAACAGCAAAGATGTGCAAGTCGATGTCTTATCAAGTACTTACTATCACGTAAGTAGCAGACCCCTCTTCACAGCTTTTACAGAGTTATCCAAAACGCAGTCATTTACACAAGAGCAGACAATTTTCCTAGCTTTCTATTGAGTTTATAGGTTAATGTTGTTACAAAATTTATGAAATTACCTGACCAAATTTTATATATTATTTCATAATATATCAAAATTTATTTAGATGTCAAATTTCATATCATAATATTATAATATATAACGATATCATATTATGATAAGTTCCATTTACTTTCAGACAATTTCACTAGGCAGTGTCTGTCTACCACTAATTCTTTTTTCGTTCCACTATTTGCACAGGCAGCACAGCTGGGAAAACACAGACTCACCCAACACAGTCTCTTCCCTGTGACTTTCTCCTCCTCAAGGAATCAGTTCATCAGTCAATCAAGTCATTTGGGACTGGAGGCTGAGTACTCCTTAACATAGAAGGTCTCGTTCCTGCATGCTTTCCTCAGCAGAGGGGGAGACAAGAAGGTCCTTTTAGGGGACACTTGCTTGGACATAGACTAGGCTAGTTGGAGGGCTCTGACCAGCAGAGACAGACTCCGCCGCAGTAGGAAGGGATGAGGCAGCTGTTCTGAACCTGGAGCTCCACCACACCTTGTCCTGTCTCACTGAGGCAGTTTTGAGAGGCTGCCCTGGAATACGTCTTGCTGGTGGATGTTGAGAATCAATGTGGGCTTTGACGGGATTCAGGTGGTGTCCGCAGTGTGAAGACAGGAGCTGATGTTCAGAATCTAGGCTGTTTGTCTTGTGATCAGTTGGGTTACCTGTTTGAGACCAAGTCCATTTTCACTAGGGAGGGCTGAATAAAGCCCACAGAACACAATGGCGCTCCCAGGATGACTGAGGAAGGGTGAGAATGGGGGAAAGTTTTTCCACCGAGACTTTTTGCTACCTCAGGAATCGGGGGCTAATTAGGTTAGCACTGACTCAACCTAATCAATTCAATTTTATTGCATTTGATCTAATTATCTTCCCCATTTTTAAGGTAGGAAGGGCCATTTCATTTGGTATTTATTTTTTCTCTGCATTTTTATTTCATCATATATGTGTGGACCTAATACAATCAACCATAATTTGACATTTGTTGTTTCCAAGCATTTAAGAAATTATAATATCTATGCATACAATGTTAACACTATGTATAATAAATTCTCTTTCTGTGCAAAATATATAACATATGACAATATAGGCATGTTTAATTGTGCATCTTGAAAGGTGAACAGGATCATAAATCCTTCCAGGTAGGAACTGGGACAGAAATAGGAAGAAATGCTTCCCCGATTTTCCGGTCCCTGTGCTCCCGGTTCTTTGTTTTCTGGACACCATGACAGGATCCTGAAAATGTCTCCCTTTAACTGTGTCTAGGTCCCCAGTAGAACTACAGCAAGAAACTTCTGATTGAGGCTCTAAGAAGCGGCAGGAATGAGAAAACTCTTCAGCCAATAAGAGTAAGCCACGCCCAGCCGAGGGACGTATAAAAGGCAGGTCTAGCAGACTAACCCACACTCTGCCTTTGGACGTGAGAGAGAGCGCACCTTTCACTTGAGCTTCAACATGGGAAAGGGAAATGAAGACTCCGATCTCCACTGCTCCTCCATCCAGTGCTCCACTGACCAGCCCCCTTTCCAACAGATCTCCTTTACAGAAAAGGGCTCAGATGAGAAGAAACCATTCAAAGAAAAAGGCAAGACCGCCTTCTCCCATTCCAGTGAGAAGCACATACAAAGGCAAGGTAAGGCCTTGGGCTGCTCCTGTGGAGTCTGGAAGGAGGGTTGGAATCAGGGATACTGAGCTGTGTCTTTAGCAGGGTTTTATTTTGAGATTTGGGGATGGGAAATGGCTTAGTGCCCTCAGGGGACTTGAGAAATGTGTTCACTCGTGACACTGGCAGAAGAGCTTCACATGAAAGACTGATCCGCAAAAATGCATCAGAGATAGACTGTGGGACTCTGCCTAGGGAGAGGTGAGTCACCTAAACCTTCTCTTGCAGCAGGATCGGAGCCCAATCCAAACAAGGAGAATTCTGAGGAAACCAAGCTCAAGGCCGGGAACAGCACTGCTGGATCAGGTAAGATTTGACTCTTTCAAGGTGAGAAGGGACAGGGAAGCAACACAGGCTCCCCTGGCAAGGAAACTGGGAGCTCCTTGGCAGCCAGGGCCGTACAGATCCTGGACACTGGAGAACAGAAGAGAGCTGGGGTTTGGTGGTAACCTCAGCTCCTGTGTGTCCAGGATGGACTAGGAATTTCAGGGTGTTCAGTTGGAGGCACTTTCTCAAACTCTCATTGTGTTCACAGAACCAGAGTCCAGCTCATATCGGGAAAACTGCAGGAAAAGAAAAATGAGTTCCAAGGACAGCTGCCAAGACACAGCAGGTAGAATCTTGGTGTTTGTTGTTGGTGGTGGTGGTTTTTTTGTTTTTGGTTTGCCCCAAAAGGCAAATAATCAGGAAACTTTTATACGAGGCTTGAGCGGAAAGGGAGTTACTTATTGACGAGTAAATTTTTGAGATCTTAGCACTCTGAGAATATTTGGGGACTCACAGGGGGTTCAGCCTCACTTCATTCCAGTGCTGAGATGGTCAGGAAGGAGTGGGAGAGACAAGTGGGGTTCACCTGGGTGTACAGGGGGTTCTGGAAATCAGGGTCTGTGGGGACTGCTCTGGTGAGTCTCTCACATGCTTTCTTTGCAGGGAACTGTCCAGAAAAGGAGTGCAGCTTGTCATTGAATAAAAAATCAAGATCCTCCACTGCTGTGCACAACAGTGAAATCCAGGAGACCTGTGATGCCCACCATAGGGGACATTCCAGGGCTTGCACTGGGCACAGCAAGCGGCATAGGTCTCGGGCCCTAGGAGTCCAAACACCGTCAATTCGAAAAAGCTTGGTGACTTCTGTGCGAGCTATGTCAGAGGCTGTTTATCAAGACCTAGCCCAGGTGTGGGCACAGCAGATCCATTCTCCACTTACCTGTGAGCAGCTGACACTGCTCACTCGGCTCCGGGGGCCTCTGTGTGCCCAGGTGCAGACCTTGTATTCCATGGCCACCCAGGCAGCTTATGTCTTCCCTGCTGAGAGCTGGCTTGTCCCAGCCACACTGCCAGGTCCTGGGGAATCAGCCCTGGATAGAGAAGCCCATCCCTTCCCTGGGCAGGAGATAACTGAGACTGTCAGTGGATCAGATGAGGCTAAGCTGTGAGCACCCTGACCCTATTCAGCAGAGATGCAGCTCTGGGAATGAGAACAAGGATCTGCTTCTTCTCAGATTCTTCCAGATGACCAGCAGTGACAATTTTAGACACACTGTGTTAATAAATGACAGAACCTGAAGAAGTCATAGGAAAGAAACTTGAGCGGTATACTCAGAATGGTGAGAGCCCTGAATTTTGCAGACCGCTAAGACTATAGACAAATTTTATATTTCATGTTAGACATTTGATGCCTTTTGGATGTCTGATGACAGTCATGCATTTCTATATAATCAGAAAAACATTAGAATGTAATCGTGAATTTGCATATTTTAGATTGTAGAAAAGTAAATATAAAATTATGTGCTCCTTTTTTGTTTTTTTTTTTTTTTGAGACAGTCTTGCTATGTTACCCAGGCTGGAGTGCAGTGGCACAATCTTAGCTCACTGCAACCTCTGCTTCCTGGGTTCAAACAATTCTCATGCCTCAGCCTCCCAAGCAGCTGGGACTACAGGCATGTACTGCTATGCCTGGCTAATTTTTTTTTTCCTGTATTGTTAGTAGAGACAGAGTTTTGTCACTTTGGCCAGGTTGGCCTCGAACTCAGGTGATCTGCCAGCCTCCGCCTCCCAACGTGCTGGGATTACAGGCATGAGCCGCCTTACCAAGAAATTGCTTCTCTTTTAATCCAGAAAAGGTTGTAGGCTCTCACTCTTCCAGCCTGAACCCATGGAGTACTAATATCCACAAACCATTAATAGCACTCCCTGTGGGAAAATGTCTATATATTTTTAGTTTGATATAATTATAGTAAAATTACTATGCAAGCTGTTTACTTTTAATATTTCTACATAAAATTTAAGTCAAGATATAGTAAATGGTAAATGATTGTACTTATTTATTGACCTGCCTCATGTTTCATTTCATTTTAAACATCCTAAATTTATATTTTATTATATTTTATACATTTCAATTGATTGTACTATATTGCAGGATATGGAGATTTCATCACGTACTACAATACAGTGTATTTTGTTATATTTGACGTATATTCTACTTGTATTTTGTACTGAGATCATACACTATTTCATTATCTAAGTGTATTAATTGTTTGGTTGCTTTATAATTTTCATTTTATGTAATGAAATAAACAATGTTGTTTGGAATTTTAAATTTCTTTCATATGGAATTTGTATTTAATAAAAATGTGAAAAAGAGAATGTCTTATCGTCACTTCCGTGTCATCCTATCCCTGACCTCCCCACAGCCCACAGCTCTTGTCATAGTGCGGGAATAGTGTTCTATCACTACAGGAAATGGGGCCAATTCAATGGTAATACACAGATATGAATTGGAGATACAGAGATTTTATTCTCGAGCACTGCAGTATAAAAGAATCACAGTAACGCGAGTCACACAATTTTTGGGTTGACACTGCTTATGAGTTATGCTTACACTCTGCTGTAGAATAACGCTGAAATAAATTATGTCTATTAAACAAATGCACATACATAAATAATGTGTCTAAATAACAATGTACATAATGAAAATGAATTTTATTGCTAAAAAATGTTAACACACAGATACACACAATGGGATCATATAATGTTGAAAAATAGAGATGGGGAGAGGAACAGAGACAGAGAGAAAGGGAGGAATGGAGCGAGAAAAGGACGGATGGATAGAGGGACATTGGAAAGGAGAAAGTGGGGAGCGGGGAGGGAGGGAGGGAGAGAAGGAGGAGGGAGGGAGGGAAGGACAGAGGGAGAAAGGGAGCAAGAGACAGAGAGGAAAGCAGAGAGGAAAGCAGAGAGGAAAGCGGTCTTCCGCCTCCAGGGCCAGCGGGACCTCGCACTCCGGGAAAACGTGGGGTGCCCGGTGCAGGCCGAGAGCTCGGCCCACAGCCGCGTCTGCTTGCGGGGCGCCCACCAGCTCACCAGCCCTCCGGATCGCCGGCCCGGGTCACTTCATCCCGGAGCAATTCGGACGAATTCCGCCTCCCAAGGAATGAGAGCAATGAGCCGAGACGCGGGTGATTGTCCGTTTTCCATCCACGTGGTTCACAGACGACACGGCCCCGCGTTGAGCAACAGAGCGCGAGGCGGACAGGCCCGTCCACACGGGAGTCACACTCGGGCCGAGTGAACCGTGATTCCGGGTTCCACGCTCCTTCGCCCTCTGCAAGGGGACCTGTTGCTCGCGTGTCTCCCGCCCCCGAAAGCGCGACCACGTTGGCTGTTTCCCGAGCTCTGCGGGGACACAGAAACCTCCAGCGAAGCGTGGAAAAGCAGCATCGTGACTTCGCTCTCCTTTCCGGTTTCCAGACCGGCCACAGTGGAGACTCCCCTTGTTGCAGGAAACAGGAATCCGTGGTCAGGCCGTGATGCACCCGACGTTTCTTTTCTCTGCAGTTTCGCTCTCGTTTTCTACATGAAAACGAACGAGATCCACACCCCTGCGTGTGTGAACTATCACGGCAACGGCGACACCCACAGAGGGCCTGGAAAACTCAAGACCGTCACGGAAGCTCAGTTCCACACTCCACCCTTCGGGGTGGTTTCTGCCTGAAAACTGAGTCAAGACAGCGGCTTCCAGTTTCCATAGAATTACTGGAGAACCTCAGAGAGCCAGCCCCGGAAGCCCCTCTTTCCCCTCCAATCCGGCCCTGCACCCACCCACCCCACAAGGCCCTGGTCCCTGTGGTTTTCGGCTTCGGAGGGCGGGCTACCCCGGGACCTTGGGCCCCGAGCTCATGCATGTTCATAACGCGGTGGAGGTGGTAGGTCTTTCTAAGGGCCTCCTGGCTGCACCTGCCGCAGTGCACAGGCCGGCTGAGGTGCACGGGAGCCCGCCGGCCTCTCTCTGCCCGCGTCCGTCCGTGAAATTCCGGCCGGGGCTCACCGCGATGGCCCTCCCGACACCCTCGGACAGCACCCTCCCCGCGGAAGCCCGGGGACGAGGACGGCGACGGAGACTCGTTTGGACCCCGAGCCAAAGCGAGGCCCTGCGAGCCTGCTTTGAGCGGAACCCGTACCCGGGCATCGCCACCAGAGAACGGCTGGCCCAGGCCATCGGCATTCCGGAGCCCAGGGTCCAGATTTGGTTTCAGAATGAGAGGTCACGCCAGCTGAGGCAGCACCGGCGGGAATCTCGGCCCTGGCCCGGGAGACGCGGCCCGCCAGAAGGCCGGCGAAAGCGGACCGCCGTCACCGGATCCCAGACCGCCCTGCTCCTCCGAGCCTTTGAGAAGGATCGCTTTCCAGGCATCGCCGCCCGGGAGGAGCTGGCCAGAGAGACGGGCCTCCCGGAGTCCAGGATTCAGATCTGGTTTCAGAATCGAAGGGCCAGGCACCCGGGACAGGGTGGCAGGGCGCCCGCGCAGGCAGGCGGCCTGTGCAGCGCGGCCCCTGGCGGGGGTCACCCTGCTCCCTCGTGGGTCGCCTTCGCCCACACCGGCGCGTGGGGAACGGGGCTTCCCGCACCCCACGTGCCCTGCGCGCCTGGGGCTCTCCCACAGGGGGCTTTCGTGAGCCAGGCAGCGAGGGCCGCCCCCGCGCTGCAGCCCAGCCAGGCCGCGCCGGCAGAGGGGGTCTCCCAACCTGCCCCGGCGCGCGGGGATTTCGCCTACGCCGCCCCGGCTCCTCCGGACGGGGCGCTCTCCCACCCTCAGGCTCCTCGGTGGCCTCCGCACCCGGGCAAAAGCCGGGAGGACCGGGACGCGCAGCGCGACGGCCTGCCGGGCCCCTGCGCGGTGGCACAGCCTGGGCCCGCTCAAGCGGGGCCGCAGGGCCAAGGGGTGCTTGCGCCACCCACGTCCCAGGGGAGTCCGTGGTGGGGCTGGGGCCGGGGTCCCCAGGTCGCCGGGGCGGCGTGGGAACCCCAAGCCGGGGCAGCTCCACCTCCCCAGCCCGCGCCCCCGGACGCCTCCGCGGCAAGCACAGATGCCAGCCATCCAGGCGCCTCCCAACCGCTCCAGGAGCCGGGGCGCTCGTCTACAGTCACCTCCAGCCTGTTATATGAGCTCCTGTAGACACCAGAGTTTCAGCAAAAGGCACGACCTTTCCTAGATCCGGCGCCACTGGGGGAGCTGAAGGACGTGGAAGAGCCCGCTCTGCTGGAACCACTCCTCAGCCAGGAAGAACACCGGGCTCTGCTGGAGGAGCAGGTTGGAGCGGGGTTGGGGCGGGGTGGGGGCAGGATGGCGCCCTCTCTTTCGCGGTGAACCTCTGACTCGGTATGGAGAGGCGTGCCTTCCCTTCCAGCTGACCTGTCTAGGATCCCTGAGTTCCAGGTCCGGTGAGAGACTCCACACAGAGGAGGGCTGTCATTCTTTCCTGAGCATCCCGGGGATCCCAGGGCCCGCCCAGGTACCGGGAGGTGGACTGTCTACTGCGCATGCGCAGGTTTGCAGGCAGCAGCCTAGGTTTTCCAACCAGCCCAGGCGGAGCTCTCATTCCTTTTTCCCCAGCGTTCTTCAGTCGAGTTGGCGGAGACCTCAGTCCGCGAAGCGCTGGGCCGGGGCAGAAGCCAGGCCAGTTCTCCTTTCCGTGGCTCGACTCCTCTGCCTCTTCGCTCACCAACACTTGCCAACCCCCGTCCCGCCAGCCTCCTCGCCAGCACCATGGAGCGCCTTGCAACTAAATGTAGACCCGAGACCCCGTGCAAACCAGGGTGCTGCCCTTTCCAGGCAAGAGGCAAGGCAGGCAGAGATGAGGACGGGAACGGAGACAGAGTGGGAGGGAAGGATGGAGCTAGGAAAGGATGGATGGACGGAGGGACCCTGGAAAGGAGAGAAAGAGGGAGGGAGGGAGAAAGGGAGGAAAAAACCAGGGGAGGAAGGGAAGAGCAGACGGAAGGATGGACCGAGGGACAAAAGGAGCAAGAAACAGATAAAGGAAGGCAGACAGAAAAACGGTCTTCTGCCTCCAGAACCAACAGGACCCAGCACTCCGGGAAAATGCTGGGTGCCCAGCGCGGGCTAAGTGCTGGGCCCTCCGGATCGCCAGCCTGAGTTACTTCATCCCGGAGCGATTCAGACGAATTCCGTTTCCGAAGGAATGAGCGAATTCCCCAGAGAGCAATGAGCTGAGACTCAGGTGGTTGTCCGTTTTTCATCCACATGGTTCACAGATGACATATCCCCACGCTGAGCCCTGCAACAGAGCGCGAGGCGGATAGTCCCATCCACACAGGAATCACGCTCAGGCCAACTAAAGCGTGATTCTGGATTCCACGTTTCTTTGCCCTCTGCAGAGGTGCCTGTTGCTCAAGTCTCTGCCCCCGCCCCCCGAAAGTGTGACCATGTTGACTGTTTGTTTCCCGAGCTCTGTGGGGACCCAGAAACTTCCAGGAATGCGTGGAACACCAGCATCGTGTCGGTGCTCTCCTTTCCAGTTTCAAACAGGCTATATTGCAGACCCCCCATTTTGCAGGAAACAGGAATCCATCGTCAGGCCGTGATGCACGGGACGTTTCTTTTCTCTGTGGTTTCGATCTCGTTGTCTACATGAAAATGAACGAGATCCACACACCTGCGTGTGTGAGACTATCAGGGCAACTGTGACACCCACGCGCTGGCAATAGAGTTGGCAGCCTGATCCCAGGACAAAGGTACTGACGGACATCCAGACACACCCCACCACAATCACTAGCAAACCCACTCCCAAACACACAGACACACACGGGCGCACGCGCGGGAACACAAGCACACACACAGACACACAAAGACACAGACAGCTTGAAGAAAAGCAAAGGACAGAGGGATGGAAAGATAGAAACGGAAGGAGAGAGAGAAACAGCGAGAGAGAGAGAGAGAGAGAGAGGGAGGAGAGCGGGCAAGGTGGAGAGGGAAGTAGAGAAAGGGAGCGGGCGAGGGAGCTAGAGAAGGAGAGCAACAGAGCCTTGGAGAAGGAGGCTCTGCTCTGGTAGACAGGGGCCCCTTTGGCCAGGGTAGGGTGGAGCGTGCCTGGGCCGGGCTAGAACAGGGGGGCAGGGCCGCCCACGAGGGAAAACCAAGGGAGCCCTGAGACGTGTTTTCACTTGGATTGGTTGGTGGCTTTGGGGGTGCGTTTCGTAGCGTCATTCCTTTGCTGGCTCCTCCCTGTCCTCTTGGTGCTGTGGGTCCTGAAAGTTGTCGAGTGCGCCCGTCCCTGTGGTGGGAGCAGTGGCCCCGAGCGTGCCCACGGGCCCCGGCTTGGGTTTCTCTCGTGTTTAGAATGGTATGGCCGTAGACAATGGCGGTGGCGCCTGGCTGGTCCAAGAGCCCGGTCCAGCTACGCGCGTCTGATTCCAGGCGTCACCACCAACCCGGGGCCGCGAGGCTGGGATCAGGCACCCCCGGAGCCGCTCGCCCGCGGCCGGGCTGCTCTCCCCCTCTATACGCCCAAGCACCAGTCGCCGCGCTGCGTTTTCCGCCGGCCTCGCAGAGCGTCCCGCTATCGCCGGCGGCCAGACCACGCGCAGGACCGCTGAGGCGCCCGAGGCCTCCATTCCCTGCCAGGGCTCTGGACTCTCCAGGCGGCCTCCCTTTAGCTGACACTCCAGGCCTTCCCCTGGCTCTCCAGCTCCGGAGCTTCCAACACTTGGGGCCTGCTCAGGACGGGGTGTGATCCCAGGTGTCAGGGCCCAGGGCCCACGGTCCTGGGATCCCCTCTGGTCCTCCGCCTTGCCGCGGAAAAATTATTTTGGATTCCTCGCCGCCCCTCCTGCAAGGCCCCCTCTTGCCCCACGCTCCCAGAGAAGCCAGGGCTGCCCGGGGGCGAACAGCCGGCCCAGCCCCGCGGGCCCTTTTTCTCACAACGCCCACACCATTGTCGCTTGTCCCGAGGAAGACCGGCCCGTGGCCAACGGGGCAGGAAGGCCCTGCTTTGTCCCGCGCTGGCACTAGAGCCCCGGCAGCCTGATCCCGGGAAAGAGGGGCTGACGGACACCCAGACACACCCCACCACCACCACGAGCAAACCCACCCCCCCCACACACACACAGATACACACGGGCGCGCGCACACGCACACGGACACGCACGGACACACACACAAAGACACAGACGGCTTGAAGGACAGAAAGGGAGAGAGGGATGGAGAGATAGAAACAAAGGGTGAGACAGAGACAGAGATAGAGACAGAGAGGGTGGGGAGAGACGGAGAGAAGGTGACAGAAGAGCGAGAGGTGGAGGGGAAGAAGAGAAAAAGAGAGGATGAGGGAGCTGGAGAGCGAGAGCCATAGAGCCTTGGAGGAGGCTCTGCTCTGGCAGACAGGGCCCCTTTGAGCAGGCCGGGGTGGGGTGGAGGGTGCTTGGGCTGGGCCAGAACAGGGGGGCAGGGCCGTCCAAGGGAGAGGACTAACTGAGCCCTGAGACGTGTTCACTCTTGGATTGGTTAGTTACTTCAGGGGTGCGTTTGGTAGGGTCCTTCCTTTGTTTGCTCCTTTCTGTCTTCTTGATGCAGTAGGCTCCGAGATTTGTAGAGTGCGCCTGTCCATCTGACCGGAGCCATAACGCCGAGCGTGCTTACAGGGCTCAAGACCTGGGTCTCTCTCGTGTCCCCGAGACTGGATTTTACACGAAGTCGGTGGCAATGAAAATCCAAGTGCACAGGGACGGTTTTCTTGGTGGCTGACGAAGGCAATGTCCTTCCGCGGTGGAAACCAGCCCATGCGTTGTGGAGCGCAGGCGTGCGGAAAAGTGGGAGTAGAGTCAGGGGGCCGTTGGGAAGCACGGCGACAAAAGGGGGAAAGAGGGAGGGAGCGGGGAGCCAAAAGCCTTCAGCACCCTGTATTCCCAGGGGGTCTCGCATCCCAAGTACTAACCAGGCCCGACTCTGCTTAGCTTTCAAGGTCAGTCGAGATCCCGTGCGTTCAGGGTGGTGTGGCCGTAAAGGCCGGCAGTGGCGGCTGCTCGACTCCTGGCGTCACCGCCACCCCTGGGCCGCGGGGCTCAGATCCGGGGCCCCAGAACCGCTCCCCCGCGGCCGGGCTGCTCTCGCCATCAAGGTCCCAGCACCGCCGGCCGCCGCGCTGCGCCTTCCGCCGGCCTCCCAGAGCCACCCCCGTCGCCTGCGGCCAGAGAACGCGCCGTGGCACCGCCCTGCTGCAGCGCGGGAGAGCCAGAGACCTCAGTCCCCTGCCCAGGCTCCAGGCACACCAGGTGGCCTCCCTTTTCGCAGACGCTCCAGGCCTTCCCCGGCTTGGGAGCTCCCAAGCTTCCAACACATCTGGCCGGCTCAGGACGGGGTGTGCTCCGAGGCGTCAGGGCCCAGGGCCAACTGTCCTGGGATCCCCTCCGGTCCTTCGTCTTGCCGCAGAAAAATTGTTTTGGATCCCTCGCCGCCCCTCCTGCAAGGCCCCCTCTTGCCCCACACACCCAGAGCCGTCAGGGCTGTCCAGGGGCAAACAGCCGGCCCAGCCCTGAGGGCCCTTTTTCTCACAACGCCCACACCATTGTCGCTTGTCCCAACGAGGACTCGCCCCGTTGGCCAAGGCCCTGCTTTGCCCCGCGCTGGCACTAGAGCCCCCGCAGCCTGATCCCGGGGGAGAGGGGCTGATGGGCCACCCAGACACACCCCACCACCACGAGCAAACCCACCCCGACACGCACACAGATACACACGGGAGCACGCGCGCGGTCACACACACACGGACACACACGGAGACACACACGGGCACACACACACGGACACACAAAGACACAGACACAGACAAAGATAGCTTGAAGTAAGGGAGGAGACCACCCCTCATATTGTCTTATGCCCAATTTCTGCGTACTGAGACTAACACAGCAACTGTGACACCCATGCGCTGGCGATAGAGTAGGCAGCCTGATCCCGGGACAAAGTTACTGACGGACATCCAGACACACCCCACCACAATCACGAGCAAACCCATTCCCAAACAGACACACATGGGCGCACCGCTTTTAGTAAAAACTAAAAGGCAGAAATGAAATCCATAGGCAGACAGCCCGGTGTCACACCCTGGGCCTGGTAGTTAAAGATATACCCCTGACCTACTCGGTTATGTTGTCTATAGATTACAGACATTGTATCGAAAAGCACTGTGAAAATCCCTGTCCTGTTTTGTTCTGATCTAATTACCGCTGCATGCGGCCCCCAGTCAGTACCCTCTGCTTCCTCAATGGATCACGACCCTCTCACGCAGACCCCCTTAGAGTTGTAAGCCCTTAAGAGGGACAGGAATTACTCAGTCGGGGAGCTCGGTTTTTGGAGACATGAGTCTGCGGATGATCCCAGCTGAATAAAGCCCTTCCTTCTACAACTCGGTGTCTGAGGGGTTTTGTCTGCGGCTCCTCCTGCTACAGAAGGAGAGGAAGGGAGAGAGGAATGGAGAGATAGAACCAGAGGGAGAGAGAGAGACAGCGATAGAGAGAGAGAGAGACAGAGAGTGGGGGAGGAGAGAGAGAGAGAGAGGGAAAGAGAGAGCGCGACAGAAGAGCGCGAGGTGGAAGGGGAAGTAGAGAAAGGGAGAGGCTGAGGGAGTTGCAGAGCGAGAGCGACAGAGCCTTGGAGAGGGAGGCTCTGCTCAGGTAGACAGGCCCCCTTTGAGCAGGCCGGGGTGGGGTGGAGGGTGCTTAGGCCGGGCTAGAACAGGGGGTCAGGGCCCCCCATGCGGGAAAACCAACGGAGCCCTGAGACGTGTTTTTTCTTGGATTGGTTGTTTGCTTTGGGGGTGCGTTTCATAGGGTCCTTCCTTTGTTTGCTTCTTTCTGTCTTCTCGATGCGGTGGCCCCCCAGATTTGTAGATGCGCCCATCCGTCTGGCGAGAGCCCTGGCTCTGAGCCTGTCCACGGGGCCAGGCCTGGGTCTCTCTCGTGTCCTCGGGACTGGAATTTACACGAAGTCGGTGGCAAAGTGCACAGGGACGGATTTCCTCACGGCTGGCGAGGGCAATGTCCTTCCCCCGGGTAAAGCAGCCCACGGGTTCCGGAGCGGAGGTCTCGGCTGGCGTCTGTGGGACCCGCTGCCCCTGCCCGCCCCTTCCCCCGGTTTGGACCGTCGCAGCGGCGCTGGATGAATGAATTGCCTGGGCTTCCGGGGAGCGTGAAAGACACCCGGGACCTCAGGGAACCCGCGCCTGCGCCCTCGGGGTCGGTCCAGTCCGCCTGGGTTGGAGCCCGGCTCCTGGTGGGGCTGCGGCGAGTCGGAAAAGGTGGGATGCTGCTGCCTGGCGGTGCTGCAGTGGCGGATCTTCAGGGGGAGGTCCTGGGCTTCGGCTGGGGCGCAGGGGCGGACAGGGTGGAGGGAGGGGG
Organism: Homo sapiens; assembly: GCF_000001405.40. Classification (NCBI taxonomy): domain Eukaryota; kingdom Metazoa; phylum Chordata; class Mammalia; order Primates; family Hominidae; genus Homo; species Homo sapiens. Next base: position 190,015,310 of record NC_000004.12, on the reverse strand, counting down.
CGGTTGGGAAGCACGGAGACAAAACGGGGAAAGAGGGAGGGAGCGGGAAGCCAAAAGCCTACGGTACCCGCTATTCCCAGGCGGAATCCATCCAAGTACTAACCAGGCCGGACCCTGCTTAGCTTCACGAGCTCAGAGGAGCTGGGGCGCGCTCAGGGTGGTGTGGCCTAGACACCGGCAGCGGCGCCTGCCCGCCCCGACAGCCCGGCCCAGCCACGTCCGCCCGGCTCCAGGCGTCACCGCCACCCCGGGGCAGCGGGGCTCGGATCCGGGACCCCCAGAGCCGCTCGTCCGTGCCCCCGGGCAGCTGTCTCCCTCTACGCCCGAGCACCGCCGGCCTCCCAGAGCGTCCCGCCGTCGCCGGCGGCCAGGCCTCGCGCAGGACCAATGTGGCGCCGCCCTGCTGTTGCTGGGGGGCGTCCTAGGCCTCCGTGCCCTGCCCAGGCTTCCGGCTCTCGGGGCGGCCTCCCTTCCGCCCACGCTCCAGGGCGTCCCCGGCTCCCGAGCTCCGAGCTCCACCACATCGGCCGGCTCAGGACGGGTGTGCTCATCCCTTCACTTTTTAACTTTTTGTTGTTTCTATTTATATTTTATTGTGCTATGTCTGGAAATGTTGTAGCTATTACTTTTGATTGGATATTATTTAGTATTCCTACTTTGAATAAGAGTAGTTTGCACATCCCACAGCTACAGCGTTATAATATTCTGTTTTGTTTTGTATCCTATTAGCACTGAGGATTTTTTTTACCTTTAGGTGATCATTTATTGCTCATTAATGTCCTTTTCTTCCTGATTGAAGTACTCTCTTTAGCATTCCTTTAGGACAGACATGGTATTCATAAAATACTTCAGCTTTTGTCTGGAAAAGTCAGTATTTCTTCTTTTTATTTGAAGAATATTTTCACTGTATATGCTATTCTAAGGTAAAAGGTTTTTTTTCCTTTAGTACTTTAAATATTTATTGCTTCTCTCTCCTGGCCGGTAGGGTTTCCACCGTAAAGTCTGCTGCCAGAGGTGTTGGAGCTCACTGTTATGTTCTTTGTTTCTCTTCTCTTTCTTCCTTTAGAACTTTTCTTTATCTTTGACTTTTGGAAGATCTATTGAATGCTTTGAAGTAGTCTTTTTTTGGGTTAAATCTGCTTAATGTCCTATAACATTTTTGTAGTTGGATATGGATATCTTTCTCTAGGTTTGGAAAGTTTTCTGTTATTATCCCTTTGAATAAATTTTTCTACCCCTGCCTCTTTCTCTACATCTTCTTTAAAACCAATAACTCTTAGATCTGTCTTTGTGAGGCTATTTTTCTAGATCCTGTAGGCATGATTTGTTGTTTTTATTCTTTTTCTTTTGTCTCTTCTGACTACGTATTTTCAAATAGCCTGTCTTCAAGCTCACTATTTCTTCTGCTTGATCCATTCTGCTATTAAATGGCTCTAATGCATTCTTCAGCATGCCAATTGCATTTTTCAGCTCCAGAATTTCTGCTTAATTTGTTGTAAATTTTTCAATCTCTTTGTTGAGTTTAGCTGACAAAATTTGGAATTTCTTTATTTTGTTATCTTAAATTTCTTTCAGTTTTTTTTTAATACAGCTATGTTGAATTCTCTGTCTGAAAGGTCACATATCTCTTTTTCTCCAGGATTTGTCCCCGGTGCCTTATTTAGTTCACTTGGTGAGGTCATGTTTTCCTGGATGGTGTTGATGCTAGTAGATGTTATTCAGTGTCTGGACATTAAATTCTTGGGCATGCAGCACCATATGAGAGGTTTAAAAAATAAAATTAAAAAAGAGAAAAGGTGAGTATTTATTGTAGTCTTCACTGTCTGGGCTTATTTGTAGCTGTCTTTCTTGGGAAGACTTTTCACATATTTTAAAAGACTTGGGTGTTGTGATCTAAGCCATATCTGCTTTATGGGTACCTTGTACCCAATAATGCTGTAATTCTTCCAGACTCAGAGAAGTACCACCTTGACAGCCTTCAACAAGATCCAGGAGAATTTTCTAGATTACTAGCCAGAGACTCTTGTTCTCTACCATTATTTTCTCTCAAAGATACAGAGTCTTTCTCTCTGTTCTAAGCCACCTAAAGCTGGGAGAAGAAAGACACAAGCACCCCTGGCCACCACCACTATGACTGCCCTGGATCAGACCTGAAGCTAGCACAGCACTGGGTCTTGCTCAAGTCCTGCTGCATGCACTTTCTGATGACTGCCTATGTTCACTCAAGGCCTTTGGTCTCTACAATTAGCAGGTGGCAAAGCCAGCCAGGCCTGTGTTCTTTCCTTTAGGGCAGTGAGTGCCCTCAGTCCCTGGCTGGGTCGAGAAGTGCCATTCAGAAGTCAGGGAGTAGAGTCAAAAGTTTTAGAAGTCCACCTGACATTCTATTGCATTGCAGCTGACCTGACACTCAAACCACAAGACATAGTCCTTCCCATTCCTCCCTTCCTTTCCTAAAGGCAGAGTAGCCACCACCACCTCAGGCCACAATGAGTACTGCCAGGCTACCACCAATGTTCCCTTAAGGCCCAAAACCTCTTGTCAACTTGCGATGAATGCTGCCTGGCCTGGGACTTGCCGTTTTCAGGGCAATGGGCTCCCTACTGGCCCTGGGCAGCTTCATAAATGCCAGCCAAGAATCAAATCCTAGAATCAGGGATTATGAAATTTTGCTTGGTGCTCTACCCACCTCTGGCCTTGCTGGTACCTAAGGGGCAAGACAAAGTCCCCTTTAATTTTCCCTCTACTTTTCCCAAGAAGAAGGAGTTTTGCCTTTTAGCTACCACAGCTGGTAATGTGCTGAGTTCACCTAAATCTAGCAAGTCTATGAGGGTCATCCAAGGCCCTTGATGTAGTACTGGGTATGGCTGCTGGTTATTCAGAGCCCAAAGGTTTTCAAGTTTGCAGGCGATAAATCCTGCCAGCACATGGTTCTTTTCTTCAAGGCAGCAGGTTTCCTTCTGGCCCAGGATGTGTCTAGGAATGTCTAGGAGCCAGAGACTGGAAAGGAGGCCTCAGGATTCTGACCAGTGCACTATCTTGCTGTGACTGAGCTGGTGTCCAGGATGAAAGACAAAGTACTCCCTACTCTTTTCCCTCCTCTCCTCAAGCAGAAGGATGGTGTCCCTTTTGGAGCCATGAGCTGTGCAGTCTGGTGTTAAGGGAGTGATAATGCCAGAACTCCTTTGGCTGCCCCAGCTGGTGTCTCAGTGTGTTGCATGCCCTCCCCACCCCAGTCCACTGTCCCTGGGCCCGGTTCAGCCCTAGGCCTCACCTAAGAGTTGCAGTCCTGATGGCCTAGGCTGCCTTTCAAGTTTTCTTAGACACACAGTGCGGGAGCCCTTAGTTGCCAGGTTTCCAAACACTGAAGTTCCAACCACTGGAATCTGATTCCCCTCTAGCTAGGGCTGGTTTAATTGATCCCTCTGTGGATGGGCATTAACTGCATTTGGTCTGGTTTTCCTTTCTGCTCTAACAGGACAGCACTGAGTGCAGTGCGTCACAATTGCTGTGTTCTCCCTCCTGCAGAACCCAGAGTTGTTGTCTGCACCATGCCATCACTGCTGGGGATAAGGAAATGGTGATTTCAGGACTGTTTTTTCTGTCTCTTCAGTGCCTCTTTCAGTGATCTGAGGTTAAAACCAGATACTTTGAGTACTCACCTGATTTTTGGTTCTTATGAATGTATTTTCTATGTGGATATTAATAGTTATTCATCTGGTGTCCTTGCAGGAGGGACAATCAGTGGAGCCTTCTTTCTGCCGTCTTGCTTTACTCTCACACCCAAGAATCAGAATGCAGAACTTTTAATAAGAAAAGCTTTCAGAACTCAGGAAGGACAAGGAAGACATTCTGGTTCTCCATGCTTAACATTGGACTGTTTCTTCAACTTAGGTGCATAGCACTGACTAAGCAGGGATTATCATAGATAATTTGACTTGGACTATGCAGTTCATTCAAATTCTTTATCTAGACAATTTAAGTACTAGCTGATTTGGCATGAAAATCTGGCAAAGTATTTTCTTGGTATTCAATTGATTTTTATTCTGCTTGGGTTAGCAATTTTATTAACCAGTCAGTCTCTTCATTAAAGTTCTGGAAATTCTTACCCAGTTCAAATAATATAATTCTAAAGTTCTCAAAAACCTATATTCAAGAGTACTTCTCAGGGCCTTCTCCATCCTTTCATGAACCTCCTTAAAGAAACAATATTCCAGGATTTTGCAAGCTTGTAAAGTTTTCAGAAACTGCCTCAGAATTAAGCAATTTACAGTGGAAATGACTTTAAACTATCATAGTTAGACATAATTGGCAAGATAATTTTATTATTTACAGGCGTGAGCCACCATGCCCAGCCTCTAAAGTTAATTTAATAAAACTTTATAAATAAATTTATCAAATGTTGTCATCTTTTAATCCCAGATTTTTGTGAACGTATGCTTTGCATTTTCCCCCAACTTTCTATATTTATCTAGTTTTATCTAGTTTTTTTTTACTTCTTCAATTTGAAATCTTTAAGTAACTTCAAACCAAAAAAAAATTAAAACACATTTTTATGTCTTTATAAGTTTTATCATCAAAAGCGTATGTTCACAAGCCTGTAATCCCAGCACTTTGGGAGGCCGAGGCAGGTGCATCACTTGAGGTCAGGGGTTCGAGATCAGCCTGGCCAACATGGTGAAACTCCATCTCTACTAAAAATACAAAAATTAGCCGGGTGTGGTTGCGAGCACCTGTAATCCCAGCTAGTTGGGAGGCTGAGGCAGGTGAATCACTCGAACCGGGGAGGCAGAGGTTGCAGTGAGCTGAGATCATGCCACTGCATGCCAGCCTGGGCAACAGAGCAAGACTCGTTCTCAAAAAAAGAAAAAAAAAGCGTATCTTGCTTTTTATACACTCTGTATGCAGAATTGTTTCTCTCATATCTAGTAATTAAGTCTTAGGAGCCCCAATTTTCAGTGAAAACCCTAAAAAGTGATTTTCAACTGTCTTGTATCAGTATTTTTAGATAAAAACCATTTTATAACTTTTAAGAAATATAATTCTTCAAATTACTGTTTATTAACAGAACTAAAGATATTTAGGTTTTGTATACCATATACAAGTAACGTGTCATGGTATATAGACCTAAACTAATTTTTAATGGTTAGTATTTCAATATTTTAGCTTACAAATGACTCAAGATATTTTATGGTTATGTATTACTTAATTTAATGTGATTTTAAGATTTTAAATTAATGAACAGAATTTTGAAACTATGACACAGGTGGCATCCGTAATGTCTTCCCTCAGTAATCCTCGGTTCCAAGTAGCCACATGGCACCCAGGAGAACTATGAAGATCAGGGCCTGCCTGAGTCCATTAGGACTAAAGACAGAACTGTGAAGGCTATAACTGGAGGATCCACCCCCGCCTAAAATAGCCAGGAGGCAAAACAGGGAAAGCATAGAAAGAAGGGGCCGATTGGGCTTGATTCTGGCTTGTAGCTGCTGGTCTAGGCACTGAGAATGTGTCTCCATACTTCTTCATGTTCACCTATCAAGACCCATGAATCAAGAAACTCTCAACAAAAGATGTAAGCTCACAGTTAAATCAAGCAAGTATCTAATTATTTTTAATGGATAATTGTAAAGCCATTTCTATTTAACGATTTAAGAATGAGCTTTATTTACAAAATATTATTACATACATGTAACACATATAGACATACAAACACACAGGAGCAGATCTTACAGCTTTCATAAAGGATTTAAAAAATGTTTTATTTTAGGTTTGGGGGTACATGTGAAGGTTTGTTACATAGATAAACTCATAACACAGGGGCTTGTTATACAGATTATTTCATAACACAAGTATTAAGCCCAGTACCCCACAGTTATCTTTTCTGTTCCTCTCCCTTCTCCCACCTTCCCCGCTCAGGTAGACCCCCAGTGTCTGTTGTCTGTTGTTCCCTTGTGTTCATAAGTTCTCATTATTTAGCTCCCATTTACAAGTGAGAACACGTAGCTGCATAGTATTCCATGGTGCATATGTGTGTTCTGTGTGGGAAACGTGTGAGGAAAGAAAAGAAACACACAATACTTTTAAAGGTAAACAGACTTTACCCCGAGTATATGGCAATATAGATATAATAAGCAAATGATACAACAAACAAATTTTAATGGGAAGGGGAGAAGGGAAAAAGTATATACATACATTTATATACATTTACACTCACCAGACTGTGGAGGATTCATCACCAGACTGGGAAACAACAGCCTGGGATTCAGAATTGGCCACTAGTCCGTGCACAGATGAGGAGAGGTCCCAGGAAGCTTCGGTGCGATCTGGAAACCGAGCTCTTTTTGTAACAAGTTGTTTGTCATGAGGCCCAGTCATGAGGGCCCTTCGCAACTGAGCTCAAGGAACACAAAAAGGTCAATTTGTTTTTGCAATTGCCTGTTGTTTTTCAATAACTGTTTTTCAATAACTGTTGTTTTTCAATAACTGTTTCTCCGAAGCAGCACTGGATGGATGCCTCAAGGGGCTCACACAACTCATTCCAGGACTTAGTGACCATTGTTTGTGTCCATGTTCAATTGAGTTCAAATTTAATATTTAACTTTTCCTCCACAGTGTGCCATATTATCTGCATCCAATCTGTCATCGTTGGGCATTTAGGTTGATTCCATGTCTTTACTATTGTGAATAGTGCTGCAACAAACATTTACGTGCTTGTGTCCTTATGACAGAACAATTTATATACCTCTGGGTATATACCCAGTAGTGAGATTGCTGGGTCAAGTGATAGTTCTGCTTTTATCTCTTTCGAGGAAAGCACTGTTGTGCTTTCCACAATGGTGGGACCAATGTACACTCCCACCAACAGTGTATGTGTTCTCTTTCTCCACAACCTTGCCAGCATCTGTTATTTTTTGACTTTTTCATAGTAGCCATCCTGACTGGTGTGAGATGGTGTCTCACTGTGCCTTTGATTTGCATTTCTCTAATGATCAGTGATATTGAGCTTTGTATTCTATGGTTGTTGGTCACATGTATATATTCTTTTGAAAAGCGTTCATGTCCTTTGCCCACTTTTTAAACATTTTTTTATTTCCATAGGTTTTAGGACAACAGGGGGCATTTGGTTACATTGGTAAGTTATTGATTGATTTGTAAGATTTTGGTGCATCCATCACCTCATCTGTATACACTGAACCCAATCTGTAGCCTTTTATCCCTCACCACCTTCTCCCCTTTCTCCCTGAGTCCCCAAAGTCCATTGTGTCATTCTTATGCTTTTGCATCCTTATAGCTTAGCTCCCAATTATAAGTGAGAATATATGATGTTTGGTTTTCCATTCCTGAGTTACTTCACTTAGAATAATAGTCTTCAATCCCATCCAGGTTGCTGCAACTGCCATTAATTCATTCCTTTTTGTGGCTGAGTGGTATTCCATCGTACGTATGTACCACAGTTTCTTCATCCACTCGTTGATTGATGGGCACTTGGATTGGTTCTACATTTTTGCAATTGCAAATTGTGCTGCCATAAATATGTGTGTGCAAGTATCTTTTTTCTTATAATGACTTTTTTTTCCTCTGGGTACATAGCCAGTAGTGGGATTGGTGGATCAAATGGTACTTCTACTTTTAGTTCTTTAAGGAATCGCCACACTATTGTCCATAGTGATTGTACTAGCTTGCATTCCCACCAGCAGTGCAGAAGCGTTCCCTTTTCACCACATTCACACCAACATCTACTATTTTTTTATTATGACCATTCTTGTGGGAGTAGGGTGGCATTGCATTGTGGTTGTAATTTGCATTTCCCTGATCATTAGTTATGTTGAGCATTTTTTCATATGTTTGTTGGCCATTTGTATATCTTCTGAGAATTGTCTATGACCGTAGTGCCAAAAGCAATCTACAAATTCAATGCAATTGCCATCAAAATACCATCATCATTCTTCACAGAACTAGAAAAAACAATCCTAAAATTCATATGGAACCAAAAAGGAGCCCGCATAGCCAAAGCAATATTAAACAAACAGAACAAATCAGAAGGCATCACATTACCTGATTTCAAACTATATCATAAGACCATAGTCACCAAAACAGCATGGTTCTTGTATAAAAACAGGCACATAGACAAATAGAACATAATGAAGAACCCAGAAATTAACCCAAATATTTACAGCCAACTGATCTTTGACAAAGCAAACAAAAACAAAGTGGGGAAAGAACACCCTACCCAACAAATGGTACTGGGATAATTGGCAAGCCACAAGTAGGAGAATGAAATTGGATCTTTATCTCTCACCTTATACAAAAATCAACTCAAGATGGATCAAGAACTTAAATCTAGGACCTGAAAGTATAAAAATTCTAGATGATGACATCAAAAAAACCCTTCTAGACATTGGCTTAGGCAAAGATTTCATGACCAAGAACCCAAAAGCAAATGCAAGAAAAACAAAGATAAATAGGTGGGATTTAATTAAACTAAAGAGCTTTTTCACGGCAAAAGGAACAGTCAGCAGAGTAAACAGACAATCCACAGAATGGGAGAAAATCTTCACAATCTGTATATCTGACAAAGAACTAATATCCAGAATATACAATGAGCTCAAACAAATTAGCAAGAAAAAAAACAAACAATCCCATCAAAAAGTAGGCTAAGGACATGAATAGACAATTCTTTGGACACTTTTTAATAGGGTTGTTTGTTTTTCTCTTGTAAATTTAAGTTCCTTATATTGAATATTAGATCCTTGTCAGAGACATAGTTTGTAAATACTTTTTCTCATTTTATAGGTTGTCTGTTCACTCTATTGATAATTTCTTTTGCTGAGCAGAAGCTTTTAAGTTTAATTAGATCCCACTTGTCAATAGTTGCATTTGTTGTAATTGTTTTTGGTGTCTTTATCATGAAATCTTTGCCTGTTTCTATGTCCAGGATGGTATTGCCTAGGTTGTCTTCCAGGGCTTTTATAGTTTTGGGTTTTACATTTAAGTATTTAATCCATCTTGGGTTGATTTTTGTGTGTGGTATAAGGAAGAAGACCAACTTCAATCTTCTGCATATGGCTAGCAAGTTATTCCAGCACCATTTATTGAATAGGAAATCTTTTCCCCATTGCTTGTTTTTGCCAGCTTTGTCAAAGATTAGATAATTGTAGGTCTGTGGTCTTATTTCTGGGCTCTCTATTCTGTTCCATTGGTGTATGTGTCTGTTTTTATACCAGTACCATGCTGTTTTGGTTACTGTAGTGCTGTAGTATAGTTTGAAGTCAAGTAATGTGATGCCTCAAGCTTTGCAGATTGCCTTGGCTACTTAGGTTCTTTCTTGGTTCTATGCGAATTTTTAAATAGCTTTTTCTACTTCCGTGAAGCCTGTCATTGGTAGTTTAATATAGCTTTGGGCAGTACAACCATTTAAATGATATTACTTCTTTCTCTCCATTAACATGGAATGATTTTTCATTTGTTTGTGTTTTTTCTGACTTCTTTGAGCAGTGTTTTGTAATTTTCATTATAGAGATTTTTCACCACCCTGGTTAGCTGTATTCCTATGTATTTTATTCTTTTTGTGGAAATTGTGAATAAAATTGCCTCTCTGATTTGGCTCTTAGTTTGGCTCTTCTTGGTGTGTAGGAATGTTAGCAAATTTTGTACATTGATTTTGTATCCTGAAACTGTGTGGAAGTTGTATCAGCTTAAGGAGCTTTTGGGTCACAACTATAGGGTTCAGATAGAGAATTATGTTGTCTGCAAACAGAGGTAGTTGGACTTCTCTTTCTATTTAAATACACTTTATTTCTTTCTCTTGTCTGATTGCTCCAGCAAGGACTTCTAATACTGTGTTGAATAGGAGTGGTGAGAGAGGGCATCTTTGTCTTGTGCCAGTTTTCAAGGAGAATGCTTCCAGACTTTGCCCATTTAGTATAATGCTGGCTGTGAGTTTGTCATAGGTGGCCTTTATTATTTTGAGGTATGTTCCTTCAATATCTCATTTATTGAGACTTTTTAACATGAAGCATTGCTGAATTTTACTGAAGGCTTTTCTGCGTCTATTGAGACAATTACGTGGTTCTTGTCTTTAGTTTTATTTATGTTATAAATCACATTTTATTGATTTGCCCATGATGGACCAACCTTCCATTCCAGGGAAGAATCCTACTTCACTGTGGTGAATTAGACTTTTGATGTGTTGCTGGATTCGGTTTGCAAGGATTTTGTTGTGGATTATTGAATGGATGTTCATCAAGGATACTGGCCTGAAGCTTTCTTTTTTTGTTGTGTCACTGCCAGGCTTTGGTATCAGGATGATGCTGGCCTTGTAGAACAAGTTGGGGAAGAGTCCCTCCTCCTCTATTTCTTGAAATAGTTTTAGTAGGAATGGTACTGGCTCTTCTTCGTATATCTGTTAAAATTTTACTATTAATCTATCAAGTCCTGGGCTTTTTTTTTTTTTTTTTTTTTTTTTTTTTTTTTTTTTTTTTTTTTTGCTTGGTAGGCTATTTACTACTGATTGAATTTTTGGAGCTCATTATTGGTCTGTTCAGGGACTCAGTTTCTTCCTGGTTCAGCCTTGAGATGGTGTATGTGGCCAGGAATTTATCCATCTTTTCTAGGGTTTCTAGTTTGTGTGTGTAGATGTGTTCATAGTAGTTGCTGGTTGTTATTTTTATTTCTCTGGGGTCAGTGGTAACATTCCCTTCATCATTTCTAATTTTGTTTATTTGAATCTTCTCTCTTTTCTTCTTTATTCATCTAGCTAGTACCCTATCTATCTTACTAATTTTTTCAAAAAACTTTGATTAAGTGATTTTTTGAATAGTTTTTCATGTCTCTATTTCTTTCAGTTCTGCTCTGATTTTAGTTATTTCTTGTCTTCTATAAACTTTGTGGTTGAATTCTTCTTGCTTCTCTAATTCTTTCAGTTGTGATGTTAGGTTGTTAATTTGAGATCTTTCTAACTTTTTGATGTGGGCATTACTTCTTATGCCCTACCCTAACTTTTCTCCTTCTCCTAGAAAACTCAGAACTATGCTTTCTAAACCAATTCAAACTTTCTCAGTGAATCAACCTGGTCTCCCTGAGGCAAAGTTAGCAATTTTCCATTACGCGTGGTCCTCTTTCTCTCTAAGAATATCTAACGCGACAATGCAAGTGTTTCATCCCTCCTGGGTATGCGAGGAATTCCTTTTGGCTGAGACCAAGACTTAAAACCTCAACATTAATGAAGATCTATTTAGAAAGCCTCCATTTTTTTATAGCAGCATGATTTATAATCCTTTGGATATATACCCAGTAATGGGATGGCTGGGTCAAATGCTATTTCTAGTTCTAGATCCTTGAGGAATAGCCACACTGTCTTCCACAGTGGTTGAACTAGTTTACAGTCCCACCAACAATGTAAAAGTGTTCCTATTTCTCCACATCCTCTCCAGCACCTGTTGTTTCCTGACTTTTTAATGATCACCATTCTAACTGGTGTGAGATGGTATCTCATTGTGGTTTTGATTTGCATTTCTCTGATGGTCAGTGATGATGAGCATTTTTTCATGTGTCTGTTGGCTGCATAAATGTCTTCTTTTGAGAAGTGTCTGTTCATATCCTTCACCCACTGGGGTTGTTTGTTTTTTTCTTGTAAATTTGTTTGAGTTCTTTGCAGAAATAGCTATACTTATACCAGACAAAAATAGATTTCAACAGAAGACTGTAGAAAGAGATTAAAAAGGTCATTATATAATAATAAACAGATCAATTCATCAAGAGGATATAATAATTGAAAATATATATGCACTCAACACTAAAGCACCTAGATAAATGAAGCAAATATTATAAGAGCTAAAGAAAGAGACCTCAATACAATAATGGCTGGACACTTCAATACCCCACTTTAGGCATTGGATAGACCTTGCAGACAGAAAATCAACAAAGAAACATCAGACAATCTGCACTATAGAACAAATGAACCTAATAGATATTTACAGAAAATTTCATGCAACAGCTGCAGAATAAACATTCTTCTCCTCAGCACATGGGTTATTCTCAAGGATAGACCATATGTTAAGTAACAAGTCTAAAAACATTCCAAAAAATTGAAGTAATATCAAGCATTTTCTCTGACGACAGGGAATAAAACTAGAAATCAATTTAAAAAGGAATTTCAGAAACTATACACACACGTGGACATTAAACAATATGATCCTGAATGATTAGTAGGTCGATAAAAAAGTTAAGAAGAACACAGAAAAATTTCTTGAAACAAATGATAATGGAAACATAGCATAGCAAAACCTATGGAATATAGTAAAAGAGGTACTATTATAAAAGGAAAATTTATAACTGTAAGTGCCTACATAAAAAACAGAAAAGCTTCAAATAAATAACCTAACAATACATCTTAATTAACTAGAATGAAAAGGCCAAACCAAACCCAAAATTAGAAGGAAAGAAATAATAAAGATTACAGTGGAAGTAAATAAAGATAAAATGAAGAAAACAATGCAAAAGATTAATGAAACAAAAAGTTGATTTTTTGAAAAGTAAAACAGTTGACAAATATTTAGACAGGCTAACTAAAAAACAGAGAAGATAGAAATTAGTAAAATCAGAGGTGAAAAAGGAGACATTACAAGTAACGCTTCAGAAAATCAAAAGGTCATTAGTGGCTACTATCAGCAATTGTATGCCAACAAATTAGAAAACCTAGAGGAAATTAATTCTTAGATACACACAGCTTACCCAGATTGAACTAGGAAAAAATCTAAAACCTGAACAGACCAATAACAATTAACAAAATTAAAGCCTTAATAAAAAAGTCAGTAGGACCAGACTGAAAAATAGAGAAGGAAAGAACATTTCCAAACTCATTCTTTGAGGCTAGTATTACCCTGATATCAAAACCAGACAAAGACACATTAAAAAGGCAAACTACAGGCCCATATCTGAGAATATTGGTGCAAAAATTTGCAAAACACCTAGCAAACTCAATTAAACAATACATAAATAGGTAAGTCATAATGACCAAGTGGGATTTATCCCAGGGATGCAAAGATGGTTCAACATTCAAATTAATCAATGTGATACATCACATAAACAGAATGAAGGGGTCAGGCACAGTGGCTCATGCCTGTAATCCCAGCACTTTGGGAAGCTGAGGCTGGCAGATCACCTGGGTTTAGGAGTTTGAAACCAGTCTGGCCAACATGGCAAAACCCCGTCTCTACTAAAAATACAAAAATTAAGCAGGCACGGTGGTGGGTGCCTGTAATCCCAGCTACTCGGGAGGCTAAAGAAGGAAAATCACTTGAACCCAGGAGGCAGAGGTTGCAGTGAGCTGAGATCACACCAATGCACTCCAGCCTGGGTGACAGAGGGAGACTTCATCTCAAAAATAAATAAATAAATAAAAGGACAAAATCCATATAATCATTTCAATTATGCTAAAAAATTATTTGATAAAACTTAATATTCTTTAATTATAAAAAACTCTTTGAAAACTCGGTATGGAATGAACATACCTCAACATAATAAAAGTCATATATGACAGACCCACAGCTAGTATCATACTAAGTGGGGAAAAACTAAAAGCCTTTCCTCTAAAATCTGGAAGATGACAAGAATGTCCACTTTTACCACTGTTATTCAACATAATTCTGAAAGTCCTATCTGGAGCAATCAGACAACAGAAAGCAATAAAAGGCACCCCAGTTGGAAAAGAAGTCAAATTATCTTTTTTTGCCAATGACATAGTCTTATATTTGAAAAAACATAAAGACTCCTCTGATAGGGTTTGAACGTGTGTCCCCTCCCAAATCTCATATTTAAATGTAATTCTCCATGTTGGAGGTGGGCCAGGTGATTTAACCATTGGGGTGGATTACTCAGAAATGGCTCAGCACCGTCCCACTTGGTACTATCCTCATAATAGTGAGTGAGTTCCTACAAGATCTGGTTATTTAAAAGTGTGTAACAACTCGCCCCTCTGTTTTTTGCTCCAGCTTTTTGCCCTTTGATGTGCAAGATTCTGCTTCAACTTCTGCCATGACTGTAAACTTCTACAGGCCACCCCAGAAGCATATGCCAGTGCTATGTCTTCTCTACAGCCTGTAGAACCATGAGCCACTTAAACCTCCTTTTTTAAAAATAAATTATCCAGTCCCACTCTTATAGTGATGCAAAAATAGCTTAATACAGAAAATTGGCACCAAGGAGTGAGAAATTGTTATAAGAATACCTGAAAATGTGAAATTAGCTTTGTAGTTGGATAAACAGGCAGAGGTTGGAAGAGTTTGTAGGATTCAGAGGAAGACAGAAAAATAAGGGAAAGTTGAGATTTTCTTAGAGACTGGTTGAATGGCTGTGACCAAAATGCTGTTAGTGATCTGGACAGTGAAGGCCAAGCTGAGGAGGTCTCAGATAAAATTAGAAACTTATTAGGACCGAAACAAAAGTCATGCATGTTGTCTTAGCAAAGTGGCTGGCTGAATTTCTGTCATGCCCTAGGGATATATAAAACTTTGATTTTGAAATTGATGATTTAAGTTTTCTGTTGGAAAAATGTCTAAGCAGCAAAGCATTTGAGATGTTGCCTGGCTGCTTCTAACAACCTATGCTCACATGATCTAGCAAAAAAAATATATAAGTTGTAACTTATACTTACAAGGGAAGCATAGTGTAAAAGCTTAAAAACTTTGCAGCCTAGTCCTGTGCCTAAAAAATAAAAAGATTTTATAAGAGAGGAACTCAAGCACGCTATGGAGCAACGACTTGTTAGAGGTATTTGTATAACCTAAAAAAAAAGCAAGTGTTGATAGCCAAGACAATGGGAAAGAGGAATTGAAGGCATTTTAGAAATCTGAAAGGCAGCCCCCAATCACAGGCCTTGAGGCCTAAAAGAAGAGAATAGTTTCTGGGATCAGGCCCAGGATCTGCTGCCTTGGGTAGCTTTGGAACATGGCTCCCTGCATCCTGACCATTGCTTCAGCTCCAGGTGTAGGTCAAATTGATCCAGTTACAACTCCAGTCACTGCTTCAGAGGGTGCAAGCCATAAGCCTTGGTAGCTTCCATGTGGTGTTAGGCCTGTGGGTTTACAAAATGCAAGAGTTGAGACTTGGGATCTTCCACCTTTGTTTCAAAGGATGTGTGAACAAGCCAGGGTGTGCAGACAGAAGCATGCTGCAGGGGTGGAGCATTCATGGAGAACCTCTACTAAAACAATGGAGAAAAGAAATGTGGGGTGACAGTCCCCATGCAGGCTCCCCACTGGGGCATGGCCTAGTAGATCTGTGAGGAGAAGGTCACTGTCCTCCAGACCGCATAATGGTAGATCTAGCTACAGCTTGCACCTTGCACCTGGAAAAGCCAGAGACACACAATACCAGCCAGAGGTACACAATGCCAGCCCATGAGAGCAGCTATGGGGGCGGAACCATGCAAAGTCACAAGGTTGAACCTTCCCAAGGCATTAGTGTGCCCTGGAAATGGGACACAGAGTCAAAAATAATTATTTTAGAGCCTTATAATTCAGTAACTGCCCTTCTGGGTTTCAGACTTTCGTGGGTCCTGTGGCCCCTTTCTTTTGGCTGATTTCTTCCTTTTAGAATAGGAGTATTTACCCAATGCCTCTGCCCCATTTGTATCTTGGAAGTACCTAACTTGTTTTTTTATTTTACAGGCTTATAGGAGGAATAAACTAGCTTTGTCTTAGATGAGACTTTTGACTTTTGAGTTAAGGCTGAAATGAGTTAAGACTTTGGGAATTATTGGGAAGTCATGATTGTATTTTGAAATATGAGAAGGATATGAGATTTGGAATGGCCAGGGCAAAATGATATAGTTTGGGTGTGTGTTCCCACCAAAATCTTATACTGAAATGTAATCCTCAATGTTGGAAGTGGGCCTAGTGGGGAGGTGATTGAATCAAGAGGGCAGGATTTCCATGAAGAGTTTAGCATCATTTCCTTTGGTGCCATTCCCACAATAGTAAGTTTTCACGAGAGCTGGTTATCTACAAGTGTGTAGCACTTACACTCTGCCCTCGCACTTACCATGTGATGTGCAAGCATCGGATTTATTTTTCACCTTGTCAGTTGCCAGAGGCTTCCCCAGAAGCAGAAGCCAGTGCTATGCTTTCTGTACAGCCTGTAGAACCATGAACCAATTAAATCTATTTCCTTTACAAATTAACCGGTCACTGATTTTTTTTTATAGCAATGTGAGAATGGCCTAATACATCCACCAAAAAAACTATTAGAAGTAATAACTTGAGTAAATTTGCAGAATACAAAATCAACATATACAAATCAGTAGGAATGCTATATGCCAACAGTCAACAAAGTGAAAAAGAATTCAAAAATGTAACACTATTTGCAATAGCCACAAATAAAACACAATGTGTGGGAACTTACCAAAGAAATAAAAGTTCTCAACAATTAAAACTGTAAAACACTGATAAAAGAAATGAAAAAGGACCCAAAAATTGGAAAGATATTTTTATGTTCACAGATTGGAAGAATCAGTATTTTTCTAAAATGTCCATACAATCCAAAGAAATCTATACATTTCATGCCATCTCTATCAAAATAACAGGCCAGGGGCAGTGGCTCATGCCTGTAATCCCAGCACTTTGGGAGGCCGAGGTGGGTGGACCATGAGGTCAGGAGTTCAAGACCAGCCTGGCCAAATTTGTGAAACCCCATCTCTACTAAAAATACAAAAAAATTAGCTGGGCATGGTGGCGGGTGCCTTCCCAGCTACTCAGGAGGCTGAGGTAGGTAATTGCTTGAGCCCAGGAGGCAGAGGTTGCAGTAAGCCGAGATTGCATCACTGCACTCCAGTCTAGGTGACAGAGCGAGATGCCATCTAAAAAAAAAAAAAAAAAAAAAGACATTCCTCACAGAAACAGAAAAAAAATTCTGAAATTTATATGGAACTGTCACAAAACACCATAATAGTCAAAGCTGTGCTGAGTATATAAAACAAAACTGGAGGAATTCCATTACCTGGTTTTAAATTATACTACTAAGTTATAGTAATTAAAACAGCATGACACTAGCATAAAAACAGACATAAAGCCAAATGGAACAAAATAGAGACCTTAGAAACAAACTCATACAGCTAAGCTAAACTTATTTTCAACAAAAGTGCCAAGAATATACAACAAAAAATAAGACAGTTTTTGTAATAAATAGGGCTGGGAAAAGTGGCAGGTCATAGGCAGAAGAATAAAACTAGAACCCTATTTCTTGCCACATAAAAAATCAAATTAAAATGAATTAAAGACTTAAACCTAACATCTCAAACTATCACATTTTTACAATAAAACATTGGGGAAACCCTTTAGGGCATTGGTTTGGGCAAAAATTTCTTAAATAGTGCCCCATAAGCACAGACAACCAAAACAAACACGGGCAAATGGGATTACAGCAAATCAGAAAGCCTTTTTAAAGTGAAGGAAACAATAAACAAAGTGAAGAGAAAATCCACAGAATGGGAGAAAATATTTGTAAGTTATCCATCTGAAAGGCAATTAATAGCTACATGATATGGTTAGGCTTTGTGTCCCCACCCAAATCTCATATTGAATTGTAATTCCCAGGTTTTGGGGGAGAGACCCGGCAGAAGGTGATTGGATCATGGGGGTGGTTTCCCCCAGGCTGTTCTTCTGATAGTGAGTGAGTTCTCATGAGATCTGATGGTTTTATAAGGGACTCTTCCCCCTTTGCTTCACATACATGCTGTCTCGCCTGCTGTCATGTAAGAGGTGACTGCTTCCCCATCTGCCATGATTGTAAGTTTCCTGAAGCCTGCCAAGCCATGTGGAACTGTGAGTCAATTAAACCCATTTCCTTTATAAATTACTCAGTCTTGCCAGGTGCAGTGGTTCATGCCTGTAATCTCACCACTTTGGGAGGCCAAGTGGGGGGTGGATCACGAGGTCAGGAGTTCAAGACCAGCCTGGCCAAGATGGTGAAACCCTGTCTCTACTAAAAATACAAAAATTAGCCAGGCATGGTGGCAGGTGCCTGTAATCCCAGCTACTCAGGAGGCTGAGACAGAGAATTGCTTGAACCAGGAGGTGGAGTTTGCAGTGAGCCGAGATTGCACCACTGCACTTCAGCCTGGGTAACAGATCAAGACTTCATCTCGTTAAATAAATAGATAACCCAGTCTTGAGTATTTTTTTTTTTTTTTTTTTTTTTTTTGAGACGGAGTCTCGCTCTGTCGCCCAGGCTGGAGTGCAGTGGCGGGATCTCGGCTCACTGCAAGCTCCGCCTCCCGGGTTCACGCCATTCTCCTGCCTCAGCCTCCCAAGTAGCTGGGACTACAGGCGCCCGCCACTACGCCCGGCTAATTTTTGTATTTTTAGTAGAGACGGGGTTTCACCGTTTTTAGCCGGGATGGTCTCGATCTCCTGACCTCGTGATCCGCCCGCCTCGGCCTCCCAAAGTGCTGGGATTACAGGCGTGAGCCACCGCGCCCGGCCGAGTATTTTTTTATAGCAGTGCTGAAACAGACTAATACACTACAATATATTGAGTTCAAAAAATTCTATAAAAATATAATAATCCAATTAAAGAATGGACAAAAAATTTAAATAGACATTTATGAAAAGAAGACATACAAATGTCAAGCAGGCAAATGAAAAGGTGCTACACATTACTGATCATCATAGAAATGCAAATCAAACCCAAAATGAGATATCATTTCACCCCAGTTAAGGTGGCTTTTATCCAGAAGTCAGTCAAAAACCAATGCTGGTGAGTATGTGGAGTGAAGGGAACCCTTGTACACTGTTGTTGGGAGCACAATTAAGGACAGTTTGGATGTTCCTGATATAACTAAAAATAGAGCTACTATAAGGTCTAGCAATCCCACTGCTCAGTATATGCCTAAAAGAAATAAAATTGGTAGATCAAAGACATATTGGCACTCTCATATTTGCTACAGCAGGGTTTATAATAGCCAAGATTTGGAAGGAACTTAAATGTCCCTCAACAGCTGACTGGATAGAGAAAATATGGTACATATACACGGTGGAGTACTATTCAGCTATAAGAAAGAATGAGAGTCTGCCATTTGCAATAACATAAATGGAACTGAAAGTCTTTATGTTAAGTGAAATAAGTCAGGCACAGAAAGACAAATGTCACATGTTCTCACTTATTTGTGTGTGCTAAAATTCGAAACAATTGGTGTCATAGAGATAGAGAGTATAAGGATGGTTACCAGAGGCTGGGAAGGGCAGTGAGGGAACAGGGTGTTAGTGGGGATGTGAAATGGGTACAAAAAATTGTTAGAAAGAATGAATAAGACAGCATTTGATAGCACAACAGGGTGACTATAGTCAAAAATAATTTAACTATACATTTTAAAAAACTAAAAGTATAATTGGATTGTTTATAACACAAGCTATACATGCTTGAGGGGATGGACACCCCATTTTTTTATTATGCATTACTCATTGCATGCCTGTATCAAAGTATGTCATGTATCCCCATAAATATATACACCAACTATGTACCCACAAAAATAAATTAAAAATTGAAATCAAAATTAAAACCAAAGGGAGGAGAGTATAATGAGGCCTGTGTGACCCATGGCTTGAACTAGCTTTTCATGTTAACTTTGGAATGTCCTTATCCAAGAAGAGGTGTCCATTTAGTCAATAGGGGCTTAGAAATTTATTTTTAGTTTATTTATTTTTAGTTTAGTTTATAGCAATAACCTCTCCATCATTATGACTAGAAGTTGAAATGTGGTATTTAACAACCCTACATGATAAGATCAGATATGCCTGTTTAGTGACAGCCTACTTTATGACAAAATTTATTTTTCATTTATAAGTGGAAAAAAGGATTTTTAATCCTGAGCCATAGCTCTCAGTCAATCAATCCCTGCAGGGAACCCTGTTATTTTCCACTGAATAACACCACATTTCAAAGTGAGGGGAAACATCTTGAAACTAAGAGGTACAGCCTTATTAAATTTGATTTGGTTTCAATTGTAATTAATTTAATCACATGCATTCTAGAGTTTGTCCTTAGTCTTCTCCTACTTTAGGCCCATGATCTGTTGAATTTGCTCAGCTCCCTGCTCAACAGCAGGAAATCAGTTAGAATTATTTAAAAATCTCATTGTGGCTGGGAGTGGTGGCTCATGCCTGTAATCCCAGCAATTTGGGAGGCCCAGGTGGGCAGATCGCCTGTTGTCAGGGGTTTGAGACAAGCCCAGCCAACAGAGTGAAATCCCATCTCTACTAAAGATACAAAAATTAGCTGGGTGTGTTGATGCATGCCTGTAATCGCAGCTACTTGGGAAGCTGAGGCAGGAGAATTGCTTGAACCCGGGAGGTGGAGGTTTCAGTGAGCCAGGATGGTACACTACAATCCACCCTGGGCAACAGAGAAGACTCTGTCTCAAAATAATAATAATAATAAATAAGTAAAAATAAAAATGTCATTGTGTTTCAAATTTCTCTTGAATATCAACTGTATCAACTTGCATATTACCTATAATCATTTTGCTTACTTTATATCCAATCTTGAGAAATCTTTGAGGACTAATTTCACTCTTTTCTGCCATTTTGGTAAACATACCAAATTCCATCAAACAAAATGCACAGAATTCCTGAGAAATACATTTTCTCCTTGAGCAGTAGACTTATTGTGTTAGAGGAACTCATGAATAACAAGCTTCTAGTTTAGTAAACATGACTAGAATACTCTATCTTAATATGAGTAGCTAGGTACTCACAAGGCATCTAGAAGATTAATGCTCATGGTCTGAAAATAGCCACATTTTTTAGCTGGCCACAAATTATAACTGGAGAATATTTGTGGTCATACAAGACATATTCCACCAAGCCTGAAAAACGTATACATGTCCTAGGAGTGCAGCATTTTTTTTGTAAGGATAATATTAATGAGCTTGCTTAGGTCAATGGGTTAATGGTCATTGTTAAAACCAATAGCCCCGACTTTAGTGAGTACATTTGCACCTTCCAAGTTTAATTATAACTCTTTGTCTTTATAGTTACTTATAAGAAGAGACACTAACAAAAGACAATGCATTCCTGCTCTTGTTTGCTGAGGGTGTCCAACTCTAATGGAGTCATTTCTAGTAAACTTGCTTCTTTCACTGTGCTCTCTGACTCACCTCAATTTTTTTCCTGCACAAGATCTAAGAATCCTACTTTGTGGTCTGTATCAGGACCCTCTTTTCCAGCAACATCTTTCAGCAACACCATGAAGGGACACCAAGACAAGACCCCCACTCCAAGGAAAACAATCCACACAGAATCAGTCAGCTGACACCTGGCAAGTGGGCCGTCTTTTAGAGTCGTGAAGCCATTCTGGTGGGCAAGAATGATGATCCACTACTACTTAAGCAAGAGGCCCTAGGGCATAATGTTAGGGTGAGACACTCAGCCCCAAAAATTAGAGGCCCGGGGGCATCATACTCAGATTAGAGGCCAAGCTCACAGGGTTAGAGGCCCTTGGGAATATTGAGAAGAATGGATTTGGCTAAACAAGATGTTTGCCACTTTCTCTTTTTGGACTGTCCACCTTGTGCTCTCTGTCCCTCACCTGAGTGCTCTGTATCTTGTCACCTTTCTGCTCACCTCCTCTGTTTTGTAGTAGCCTGGAGGCTGCCCCAGGAAAGAGGCCCCAAACAGTTTAGCTTTTGCTTTCCTCAGCGATCCTCTGACTTTTAGCTGATTGCTTGTTTAATTTGCCACTGGTCCAAGTGACACTGAAAAAAGAGAGATGTCTTGGAACCTAGTATTTTTGTACCTTAATTATCAGAAAAAAAATCAGCAATAACCTCTCCATCATTATGACTAGAAGTTGAAATGTGGTATTTAACAGCCCTACATGATAAGATCAGATATACCTGTTTAGTGACAGCCTCTTTTATGACAACCCTCTGCAAACAATTAGCCTCAAGATGGAGAACATGGGACTTTTTCTTAACAGTTTTCTCTCATTTCTTAACCATAACGCCATCTTTGATGAGCTGGTATAGGGCAGCTGGACCCTACTTTCTAAACCCAGTATCCCACTTTTTTCCTGACAGAGTTTTATCAGTTTTGTCATAGCAGTGTGAAAATGGACTAGTACATTACAATATACAAGTTACAGCCTTCCCATTTCCCCTGTTCAGTCTGACTCCTTTTTTTGCAGCTTAATTTGTTTTATAGAAGAGAAACTAAATGGGAGGAAATACTTTACATATAGGCTTCTCTGATGCTTGGTCAGGATAAAAAATTAAAATGGGCTTCTATATGTTTGATGGAGGAAAAGACAAAATAGGGATGGCACGTAATTGATTACCCTTTTAATGCAAGTGCCTCTTAATATTAGGCTTTTCTTAGCTGGGGCTGAACTCCCCCTGCCAGTCCGACAACCCCATGAGAACACAGTCAGACTCCTTCCAGTTCTGGTGAGGTGTGCAACATGTTATTAATTTCTTCTAGTTTTCCAGGGTTATCTAGTGTCTGGTCATCGTCTTCTCCCTGCCCTTCGAGTCCTGTCTTAAGTACACACCCCACTGTCGGAACACGTGAGCTTCACCAGAACAACATGCAGTGGGGCCTCTTATCAGCTGGCAAACTTGAATGTTTGCCCTCTCTGGGAAGTGACAGATGATAAAAAGGACACTATATAGGTATATGTACCCTTTTCTATGTCTGAACTAGCCATATACAAGGAAAAGCTAAAACAGTTTTCAGAGGTGCCTGAAAATTTGTAGACAAATTTAAGAGGCTAACCTTGTTTACGATCTGGCCAGGCAGGACTTGCATATGTTTATGTTTTCCTGCTGCATGGCAGAAAGGCAGTGTGTTATTCTCTTTGAAGCAGTTGTGAATGGGAGTTCACTCATGATTTGGCTCTCTGTTTGTCTGTTATTGGTGTATAAGAATGCTTGTGATATTTGCACATTGATTTTGTATCCTGAGACTTTGCTGAAGTTGCTTATCAGCTTAAGGAGATTTTGGGCTGAGATGATGGGGTTTCTAGATATACAATCATGTCATCTGCAAACAGGGAAAATTAGACTTCCTCTTTTCCTGATTGAATATCCTTTATTTCCTTCTCCTTCCTGAATGCCTTGGTCAGAACTTCCAACACTATGTTGAATAGGAGTGGTGAGAGAGGGCATCCCTGTCTTGTGCCGGTTTTCAAAGGGAATGCTTCCAGTTTTTGCCCATTCAGTATGATATTGACTGTGGGTTTGTCATAGATAGCTCTTATTATTTTGAGATACGTCCCATCAATACCTAATTTTTTGAGAGTTTTTAGCATGAAGGTTTGTTGAATTTTGTCAAAGGCCTTTTCTGCATCTATTGAGATAATCATGTGGTTTTTGTCGTTGGTTCTGTTTATATGCTGGATTACATTTATTGATTTGCATATGTTGAGCCAGCCTTGCATCCCAGGGATGAAGCCCACTTGATCATGGTGGATAAGCTTTTTGATGTGGTGCTGGATTCGGTTTGCCAGTACTTTATTGAGGATTTCTGCATTGATGTTCATCAGAGATATTGGTCTAAAATTCTCTTTTTTTGTTGTGTCTCTGCCAGGCTTTGGTATCACGATGATGCTGGCCTCATAAAATGAGTTAGGGAGGGTTCCCTCTTTTTCTATTGATTGGAATAGTTTCAGAAGGAATGGTACCAGCTCCTCCTTGTACCTCTGGTAGAATTAGGCTGTGAATCCATCTGGTCCTGGACTTTCTTTGGTTGATAAAATACCTAGGAATCCAACTTAAAAGGGATGTGAAGGACCTCTTCAAGGAGAACTACAAACCACTGCTCAATGAAATAAAAGAGGATACAAACAAATGGAAGAACATTCCATGCTCATGGGTAGGAAGAACCAATATTGTGAAAATGGCCATACTGCCCAAGGTAATTTATAGATTCAATGCTATCTCTATCAAGCTACCGATGACTTTCTTCACAAAATTGGAAAAAGCTACTTTAAAGTTCATATGGAACCAAAAAAGAACCTGCATCGCCAAGTCAATCCTAAGCCAAAAGAACAAAGCTGGAGGCATCATGCTACCTGACTTCAAACTATACTATAAGGCTACAGTAACCAAAACGGCATGGTGCTGATACCAAAACAGAGATGTAGACCAATGGAACAGAACAGAGCCCTCAGAAATAACGCCACATATCTACAACTATCTGATCTTTGACAAACCTGACAAAAAACAAGAAATGGGGAAAAGATTCCCTATTTAATAAATGGTGCTGGGAAAACTGGCCAGACATATGTAGAAAGCTGAAACTGGATCCCTTCCCTACACCTTACACAAAAATTAATTCAAGATGGATTAAAGACTTAAATGTTAGACCTAAAACCATAAAAACCCTAGAAGAAAACCTAGGCAATACCATTCAGGACATAGGCATGGGCAAGGACTTCATGTCTAAAACACCAAAAGCAATGGCAAGCAAAGCCAAAATTGACAAATGGGATCTAATTAAACTAAAGAGCTTCTGCACAGCAAAAGAAACTACTGTCAGAGTGAACAGGCAACCTACAGTGTGGGAGAAAATTTTTGCAACCTACTCATCTGACAAAGGGCTAATATCCAGAATCTATAATGAACTCAAACAAATTTACCAGAAAACAACAAATAACCCCATCAAAAAGTGGGCAAAGGATATGAACAGACACTTCTCAAAAGAAGACATTTATGCAGCCAACAGACACATGAAAAAATGCTCACCATCACTGGCCATCAGAGAAATGCAAATCAAAACCACAATGAGATACCATCTTACACCAGTTAGAATGGCAATCATTAAAAAGTCAGGAAACAACAGGTGCTGGAGAGGATGTGGAGAAATAGGAACGCTTTTACACTGTTGGTGGGAGTGTAATTTAGTTCAACCATTGTGGAAGACAGTGTGGTGATTCCTCAGGGATCTAGAACTAGAAATACCATTTGACCCAGGCATCCTATTACTGGGTATATGCCCAAAGGATTATAAAACATGCTGCTATAAAGACACATGCACACGTATGTTTATTGTGGCACTATTCACAATAGCAAAGACTTCAAACCAACCCAAGTGTCCATCAATGATAGACTGGTTTAAGAAAATATGGTACATATATACCATGGAATACTATGCAGCCATAAAAAAGGATGAGTTGATGTTCTTTGTAGGGACATGGATGAAGCTGGAAACCATCATTCTCAGCAAACAATTACAAGGACAAAAAACCAAACACAGCATGTTCTCACTCATAGGTGGGAATTGAACAGTGAGAACACACGGACACAGGAAGGGGAACATCACACACCGGGGCCTGTTGTGGGGTGGGGGGAGGGGGGAGGGATAGCATTAGGAGATATACCTAATGTTAAATGACGAGTTAATGGGTGCAGCACACCAACATGGCACATGTATACATATGTAACTAACCTGCACGTGGTGCACATGTACCCTAAAACTTAAAGTATAATTAAAAAAAAAAGAAAAAAGAAAAGCAGTGTGTTATGGGAGTGGTAGAGCACATGCTAATAGGGTGGCAGCCTGCAACCAGGGACATGACACCTATCAAGTGGGAGGCACAGAAGTGCCTGATTAGGACTCAAAAGAGAACTAGAATCTAGAAAAGATGAATGAATTAGGAAGAAAGTGGGATATAGAGAGAAAAAATTATGATCATTTGACTCCTTGAAGGAATAAAAAAAATTGTGATAAAGCTTTTTAATTTTTATAAAGTCTGGAAAATTACTCGGAAAAGATGAAAACCTAGCCTTATTACAAGGGTGGATAATTTAGACCTTGAGAAAATACACTAACACTGACCCTTACTCCAAGAAGGGATAGGCATTGCTAGGAGTTTACTTTATAGCCCAGCCTGCTTCTGATATCTGCAGGAAGCCGCCAAAAGCAGCCTTAGGCTTCCAGACTCCCATGGATCAGATTTTAGATTTGGATTTTGCAGTTTTCCATCACAGGAATAGGGCAGAGAAAACATAAAATAAACCAAATGTCCCAAAAGGCCCAGCTTCTAGCTGCAGCCTTGTGCTCTCCACCACTTCAGAGGCAGCCCGTTAACCCTGGCCCTCACAGAGGAAGTGAGAAGGTGAAAGTCCCAGTCTGTGCCTCTGGGCCACTGTGTCGTGGATATAAATCAATGTGCCTTCTGTAAGAAGGTCAGCCACTGCTGAAGGAAATGCACTGTGCTTTCAAGGGAGCCAACCTCAGAGCCCAGCAGACTTGAAAGTGGGAGGGCCTGTTACTTCCTGCCTCCACTCCCATTGGACTATTAGGTATCCAGAGATGGAGAAGCCTCAGGTGACTCTTGTAGTGGCAGGTAGGAGTATTAACTTCTTATTAGGTGTGGGAGCAGATGACTCTGTCCTGATTCAATACAGTGGGCTCCTGTCTCTTCATGATGGACAAGCCCAAAATAACTGCTTTTTGTATCTTCTAAGTTGTCCTCCAGGGCCTCTGGGCTTCTCACCTACCTTTTTAGTACGGTCTGAATGCCTGATCTCTTACTGGGGAGAAGTTTATTGACTCAGGAGACCAAGTCATGGTCACCTTCACAGATCATAAATCATAGAAAGTGTTACTTTTGTTCCTGACCCCTCAGGGGAAAAAAAAGAAGTTAAGAATGAGCTGTCACATTTACCACCTGAGGTATTGTCTCAAGTAAATCTTGAAGTTTGGGCCACACAGGCTCTGGGAAATGCACTAAACACCTCCCCGATTCAAATCCAACTTCAGCCTAGTGCTCCTCGCCCTCAGAAGAGACAATACATTTTAAGGCAAGAAGCATGAGGGGAAATTCAACCCCTTATTGCCAAATTCTTGCCATATGAGTTATGAAGCCCATGAGAGTCTCCTTACAATACTCGCATGTTACCAGATAAAAAGCCTAATGGCAAGTACAGATTTGTCAGAACCCTTAGAGCGCTAAGAAATGCAGTTGTCTCCATACACCTCATTGTCCCCAATACTTACCAAGTCCCAGGGGATGCAAGCTGGTTTACATTCTTAAATCTGAAAGACGCATTTTTCTGCATCTCAATGCATCCAGATTCACAATATGTTTGCCTTTGAATGGACTAATCCAGATACACATTCAGCCTCAAAACTAACCTGGACAGTCGTCTCTGAAGGGTTCTGGGATAGCCCCCACTTATTTGAAAATGCTCTAGCTAAGGACTTAAGAAATCTACAACTGGAAAGGGACACAATTATTCAGTATGTAGGTGACTTGCTCATTGCTAGCCCAACTAAAGAAGACTCAAATAATAATACTGTTAAGTTGGTAAGTTTCCTGGGAAGTTGCAGATATACGGTATCCCCATACAGGGCTCAGATTTTGACTCAAAGACTTAAATATTTGGAATCTGTCTTAACCACTGGAACTGATCAACAACCCTAGAAGATAAAAAAGTTATTTTAGTCACCGAAGGGTCCCAGTCCAACAAATGACTGTGGGCTCTTTTAGGAGATGGCTGGGTACTGCTGCTTATGGTTGCCCAGATTTGGACATGTAGCCAAGCCTTTATATGATACACTAAAGGGAAAGATTTAGAGCTCCTAGAACGTAATGAGAACTGCAAGCAAACCTT
This sequence comes from Homo sapiens, assembly GCF_000001405.40. Taxonomy (NCBI): domain Eukaryota; kingdom Metazoa; phylum Chordata; class Mammalia; order Primates; family Hominidae; genus Homo; species Homo sapiens. The sequence continues at coordinate 189,987,700 of NC_000004.12, read as the reverse complement.
CAATACTCTCAAGGAGAAATTGAGCTCTGCTGCAGCCATGGGAGTCCCCAAGTTGGATGAACCATTTTTTCTTTATGTGACCAAAAAGCAAGGCATAGGCCTTGGGTAATCTTGTCTCAAAACTGGGGGACATTCCAAGGCCAGTAGCCTAATTTTCTAAGCAGATAGACCAGGCGGCCTCAGGGTGGCCTTGATGTCTTAGAGCTATTGCTGCTACCACTTTTCTAGCAGGCAAAGCTAATAAACTAACATTAGAACAGCACCTACAGGTTTTTGACCCCACACCAAGGGAAGGTGGTCCTGGAAGCTAAAGGGCAGCAGTGGATAATAGGAGAACATTTATGAAAGTGTCAGGCCTTATTGCTAGACCCTCCAGACACAACCCTTAAAGCCTGCCAAACCACAAACCCAGCTACTTAGCTGTCAGAGTCCACAGGTGCTCCCAGCCTTTCTGGCATACAGGCTGTATTAGTCTGTTCTCACGCTGCTAATAAAGACATATCTGAGGCTGGGAAATTTATAAAGAAAAGAGGTTTAATTGACTCACAGTTCCACATGGTCGGAGAGGCCTCACACTCATGGCAGAAGGCAGGTGAGGAACAAAGTCACATCTCTTACGTGGCAGCAGGCAAAAGAGCTTGTGTAGGGAAACTCCCCTTTATAAAACCATCAGCTGTAATCCAGCACTTTGGGAGGCCAAGGCAGTGGATGACCTGAGGTGAGGAGATGGAGGCCAGCCTGGCCAACATGGTGAAACCCTGTCTATACTAAAAGTGCAAAAATTAAACAGGCATGGTTGTGGGCACCTGTAATCCCAGCTACTCGGGAAGCTGAGACAGGAGAATCGCTTGAACCCAGGAGTCAGAGTTTGCAGTGAGCCAAGATCACGATAATGCACTCCAGCCTGAGCAACAGAGCAAGACTATGTATCAAAAATAAATAAATAAATAAACTATCAGATCTCATGAGGCTTATTCACTGTCACGAGAACAGCATGGGAAAGACCCATCCCCTGATTCAATTACCTCCCACTGGGTCCCTCCCACGATATATGGGAATTATGGGAGCTACAATTCAAGATAAGACTTGACTGGGGGCACAGCCAAAGCATGTCACAGGTTATGAAACAAATTGATCTAGCAGGCCAGACGTAGGAGAGATGAGCTCCTTGACCATCCCAAGGCAGAGTGGTTAACAGATGCAAGTTGTTTTATGCATCAGGAAAACAGGAGGTCTAGATATGCTATTAGTAGTCAGCACAAGAGAATCAAGGCACAAGCCTTGCTGGCCTCGACCTCAGCTCAAAAAGCTGAGTTAATTGAACTTACTAGGCCCCTGCAGTTGGAAAGGATTTAAAAGTTAACATTTACACTGATTCCAAGTATGATTTTTTAGTGCTTCATGCTTATGCTGCAATTTGGAATGGGTGGGGACTCCTGACCCCAAGGGCTTTTCCATACAACATCATTCAGATTTTGAGCTTGTTAGAATACTGCTTTGCTGCCAGAAAGTGACTATAATTAATTGCAGAGGACATCAAAAGAGAGACTGACCATGTAAAAGGAAATGACCTTGTAGCTGCAGCCAAGGCCCCTGCACTGAAAGGGCCAATGAAGCTTATGGGCGTGCTGGTCAGCATACATAGAACTGGGCCGGAACACTCTGAAGAAGAACAGAAATGGGCCAGGGATTGCATTTCAGTCCAGGGCCCCTCGGGCTGGCTGAATGATGGTAATAAATTACTAATGCCAAGTACCAATCACAAGAGTATAACTCAGCACTTTCATGATTCTTTTCACCCTAGAAGGGATTCTTTGTTTCTGTTAATGTCTCACTTGTTTATAGGGGTAAATCTTTTCAAGACACTAAAACAGGTGACTCAGCACTGTGAGCTCTGTGCCTGACATGACCCAAACGGCCAGCAATTTTCTCCTCCAGTTAAACCTGTCCAAAATTAAGGAACCTATCCAGGTGAGAACTGGCAACTCTAATGTACCCCAATGACTTTCTGCAAGAGATTCAAATATTTGCTAATGCTTACTGATACCTTCACTGGTTAGATCGAGGCATTCCCCACCCCATCTGAAAAATGTTTACCAGAAGAAATAACTCCTCAGTTTGGGTAATCTAAAAGCCTGCAAAGTGACAATGGCCCATCTTTCACAGCAGGCGTAACCCAACACCTATCCTCAGCTTTAAGAATCCAATATTACCTTCACTCTGTGTGGAGACCGCAGTCCTCTGGAAAGGTGAAAGGGCTAATCCTAAAGAAGACTCTAGCTAAATCAGAGGCCTGACTATCTCTAACACCCATAGCTTACTGCAGATTTGAACTGCTCCAAAGTAAAACGTATAATTAAGTCCTGTTAACATGTGGAAGGCCTTTCCTAACGACAGATCTCCTAATAGATGAAAAGATTCATCAATTACAAAAATATGTCATCAATCTAGGACAGGTGCAAAGGCACTCCGTGCATATGGAAACAAGCGTCTTCCCCTCCCACATGGGAGGAAAATTCAGTTTCAGCTCAGCTAGGGATTTAGTCTTACTAAAGACGTGGGAGGAAGTTCTCCAGCTGAGCAGCTTTCCCCAACGTGGAAGGGACCACGCAAGGACACCTGAGTTCTCCAACAGACGTTCAACGCCAGGGGAGTCACAGGTGGGTGCACCTGTGTGGAAGTAAAGCTGTTGCTTATTCTGGGAGCCCAATCCTAGGCTGAGGGAGGTGGGCGCGGGGCTGTTTAAGCGTTGGCGGAGGCCGGGCTGGGTCGCTGTGCGTCTGCTCCTCCTTCTCGCGCTTCTCCTGCCGCCCTAATCCTGCCTTGGCCACGAGGGAGCTTGTGCTCACGCAGACCGGGCAGTGCGGGAACCAGATCGGCGCCAAGGTTGGCAGCCGGGGCTCTGAGGGCCCAGCCCGGGCCTGCCGGGTGGCCGGGGAAGATGTTGGCAGCGGCGGGGGCGGTGCCCCTGCATTGCGGCCCCTGGGCTCCCTGCCGGGGACGGTGGAACCGGGTGGCTGGCGAGGCGGCGGGGGTGGACCCCAGGGACAGGGCGGCCTGGGGATGGGGGTGCGGATGGGGGTGGGAGAGCGGCTGGGGCGCCTCCGTGACTCAGCCCCGGCCTGTCTGGCCCCTCCCGTCTCCGCAGTTCTGGGAGGTGATCTCTGATGAACATGCCATCGACTCCGCTGGCACCTACCACGGGGACAGCCACCTGCAGCTGGAGCGCATCAACGTGCACCACCACGAGGCCAGCGGTGCGACCCCCGTCCTTCCCCCACCGCCCTCCTGGGAACGCGGCCCTCCCCTCGCTCATGCCCTCCCGCCCCACGCAGGTGGCAGGTACGTGTCCCGCGCTGTGCTCGTGGATCTGGAGCCGGGCACCATGGACTCTGTGCGCTCGGGGCCCTTCGGGCAGGTCTTCAGGCCAGACAACTTCATTTCCCGTGAGCTGCGGGCGAGGACTGGGGTGCGGCTCCTTAGCCAGGGCAGCTCGAAATCCAGGAACGCTCCAAGGTCATCCTGTGGGAACTGTGGCGCCAGGGCCCCTGAACACCCTCCTGTCCTCCGAGTCGAGTCGCTCCATCTGCCTCCTAAACGGGCTTCGGGAGGAAGGCCCGCGTGTCTCCTCAAGGTGAGGAGCTACTGATGTAAACTCCCTGCAAGGACCTGAGCTGGGGCCGTGGCTACTGCCTTCCCTGAGAATGGGCCACCTGCAGCGAGGTCTGTGAACCCGTCTCAGGTTCGACTCCTGACTTAATTCCTAACAGGGGAAGCTGCTGTCCTGTAACTCCTGGGGAGGGGGTTTCATTTGTTCCACCTGCAGCGAGTTCTGTGAGCCCGTCTCAGGTTTGACTCCTGTCTTAATTCCTAACGGGGGAAGCTGCTGTCCTGTAACTCCGGGGGAGGGGTTTTCATTTGTTCCACCTGCAGTGAGGTTAGCCCCTCTCAGGTTTGACTCCTGACTTAATTCCTAAGAGAGGGGAAGCTGCTGTCCTGTAACTCCGGGGGAGGGGGTTTCATCTGCTCCACCTGCAGGGCGAATGGTGCTCTCACCTCACACGTGACACTTGGCCCTTTCTGCATTATGGTGGTGACCACTGATGACCGTATACCTGGCCGTCGAGTGACCGGCTGTGCTGTCTTACAGGTCAGTGTGGGGCCGGAAACAACTGGGCCAAGGGACGCTACACCGAAGGCGCGGAGCTGACGGAGTCAGTGATGGACGTTGTCAGAAAGGAGGCTGAGAGCTGTGACTGCCTGCAGGGTTTCCAGCTGACCCACTCCCTGGGTGGGGGGACTGGGTCTGGGATGGGTACCCTTCTCATTAGTAAGATCTGGGAGGAGTACCCAGACAGGATTATAAACACATTGAGCATCCTGCTCTTGCCCAAGGTGTCAGACACCGTGGTGGAGCCCTACAACGCCACCCTCTCAGTCCACCAGCTCATAGAAAACGCAGATGAGACCTTCTGCATAGATAACGAAGCGCTATATGACATATGTTCCAGGACCCTAAAACTGCCCACACCCACCTATGGTGACCTGAACCACCTGGTGTCTGCTACCATGAGTGGGGTCACCACGTGCCTGTGCTTCCCCGACCAGCTGAATGCTGACCTGCGGAAGCTGGCCATGAACATGGTCCCGTTTCCCCGGCTGCATTTCTTCATGCCCGGCTTTGCCCCACTGACCAGCCGGGGCAGCCAGCAGTACCGGGCCTTGACTGTGGCTGAGCTCACCCAGCAGATGTTTGATGCTAAGAACATGATGGCTGCCCGTGACCCCCGTCACGGCCGCTACCTAACGGCGGCTGCCATTTTCCAGGGTCGCATGCCCATGAGGGAGGTGGATGAACAGATGTTCAACATTCAAGATAAGAACAGCAGCTACTTTGCTGACTGGTTCCCCAACAACGTAAAAACAGCCGTCTGTGACATCCCACCCTGGGGGCTAAAAATGTCAGTCACCTTCACTGGGAACAACACAGCCGTCCAGGAACTCAAGCGGGTCTCAGAGCAGTTTACAGCAACGTTCAGGCGCAAGGCCTTCCTCCACTGGTACACGGGCGAGGGCATGGATGAGATGGAATTCACTGAGGCCGAGAGCAACATGAACGACTTGGTGTCTGAATATCAGCAATATCAGGATGCCACGGCCGAGGGAGGAGGAGTATGAGGAGGAGGAGGTGGCCTAGAACTCTCCTTTTCTAGGTAAAGGGGGGAAGCAGTGTGGATCCTTCACTGTGTTCTGACAGCCATGTGTCACTATGCGCTCGTTCATTTGTGTCTTCACATCTCCTGCTGCATTTTAAAGCATTTTTATAGTATGCGGTTTTGCCTAATAAAGTATTCTCACAGCATCTGGTTTCACCTCCAACTTCTATGGGCCCTCTGGCTACTGCTGCCAGATGTGCACAGTTGTCCTGCAAGGCGGAAGCTGTCTGGGTTCATCACATGCCCAGGAACAAGCATTCCAGTGGCTCTAGGAGGGCTCGGCATGGGCTGTGGACATGGCAGGCAGGCGCCACATGAACTTGGGGATGCCCTGGGCCTTGGGCAGCGACGTGGTGGAAAGCCTGTTCCTGAAGAAAAGCCTTGGCTTATCCCATGTACCAAACTTTTAGGGGACCAGTTGGCCATGTGTCTGGAACTTTAAAAGGGCTCAGCGACCCTGGTGGACAATGTCCCCAAAGTCCCATCTCGGGGTAGGAATGTGGTCAGACAGCTGGCTCTGAACCAGCAATGAAGGGTGGGCAAGTGGGACCCCAGGCACTCCATCACCAAGACGGTCTGGGTGTGTTTGTGTGGCCTCATTCTCTTCACGAGGTGGGCATGGGGTATCTGGCAGGGACTAGGCAGGAATCGAGCCCAGTGTCTGCTAACATGCACTGAACCCTATGTAGAGGGGGATTAGGTCCTGGGGGTCGTATATGGTGGTTGCTGGGCCTGTGTGCTCAGGGCAGTCTCTCCAAAGGCACAGATGGGGTTTCTGAACAGGACCTGGGAAGACAGGCAGGTGCTCACAAATGCTGCTTCCCCCAACTGGCAACCAGTGAGAAAAACGCCCAAGTGGAGGTCTGACCTGCCCCAGTCTGGAGGGCTGATGCTCTCTGGAAAGATGGGTGATGTGCAGTGTCTGCTGTCTCCCTGTCCCCCACTCCAAAACCTCAGAGCAAAGATAATCCAAGATTGCCAGGATGAGCCTGGTGAGGGTGGCACCTTTTTAGGGATAGGCCCTTCAGACTGGCAGAGTCTCCTCCCCAAGCTTCTCGGGGAGCCTGGACTGCAAAGCCCGCTTTGGGGAAGCTGTCAAATAAGAGGTGTGTGTGTGAGCTGGGTGCTGGGCAGCAAGCACGGACAGGGCTCTTCTCCCTGGCTCTTGTAGAACTTGTCCATGGTCTGTGTGATGACCCCTTGGTAATTCCCACCGCCACCATCACACAGATAAGATGAAGCCAGCACAGCCTGGGGGTGGGCAGATGAACAGGTTCTACCCCAGGTCCCCTGGGAATGTCCATCTGCCTCCGACGTGTCAGGGAAAACAGGTGAGGCCCCTTCTTGTTCTCTGAATGTTGTCAATGGTCTATTGCAGCCAAATGGGAACAGACAGGCAGCAGAGTGTCTCATCTCGAAAGAAGTGGCTCCTGGAAGCAGCTGGGAGGTGGGAGAGGTTCCCCACACTCCCCCAACCTCCCCCACACTCCCCCAACCTCCCCCACACTTCCCCAACCTCCCCCAACCTCCCCCAACCTCCCCCACACTCCCCCACACTCCCCCACACTCCCCCACACTCCCCCACACTCCTCCCCCACACTTCCCCACACTCCCCCACACTCCCCCACACTCCCCCAACCTCCCCCACACTCCCCCACACTTCCCCAACCTCCCCCAACCTCCCCCAACCTCCCCCACACTCCCCCACACTTCCCCAACCTCCCCCAACCTCCCCCACACTCCCCCACACTCCCCCACACTCCCCCACACTCCCCCAGCCTGTTCTAGGAGCAGGAAAAGGGGACTCTGTGACAGCCCCCCTCAGTGGCCCTCACTCTCTGAGGGGTGTCCTTGCCCAATCCAGGTGCACACCCATCTGAGATGGTCTTGCATGGACCTGCTTGGGAAGGTTCAGCTGCAGCAATCACTGGAACCTGCCCACACCTGGTGTCTCCACTCACGTGTGGACCTGGATGTTCCTCCCTCTCATAGTGGTACAGCCAGAGGCAGAGGGGGCAAGTCACTGCTGCAGTTCCCACCTGGGTCTGAGGAGGGCGTCAGGCTTGGTGCCCATGTATTTCCCAATTACCTGGTTCCATGTGGGGGCTTCATGGACAGGAGTGGTGCTTTTCCAGGCCTCTTTTCCACATGCCAGCTACAGGCCCAGGTTTCCCAAGTTTCTGGAGCCCCTCTTCCAGCCTGGCAAGCATGGCGTGTTGTAGGGGAAGGACATGAAGCCTACAGGCAGCAGAACCTGTCTGGGTATGTTCTCCACCCCTGGAGGTCCCTGGTTGTTTACCTCTTTGGGTGAGAGTCGGCTTACGATCTCAGCATTCTTGTAGGACTCCAGAACTGTACAGACAGGGGCCCAGGAGGCAGCAGGGGCTCGGACTGGCAGCTAACCAGTGTAGTGGGGGTTGTAGGGCTTGGTTTAGTCTTGCAGGGAATTCAGGGAAGCTTGGATTTGCTGAAGCTCTAGACGAGCTTGGGCTGGGATATGGAAACAGCATGGAGCCGGGGCCTTTCTGCACGCTGGAGTCTGAGTAGTTGCACCCTGGTGCAGCCATAGGTGTTCCCCACCTGGAGCACAGCTGTGGATAGAAGCTGGGAGAGCTGTGGAGGGAAGAGGAGGAGGAGGAGGGAGTCTCAGGGCAGTCCCAGCAGCCAGGCAGGGCCTCTGCAAGTGAGATGCAGATCCAGCCTGTTGGCCACTTAGCAGCTGCTTGGCTGGCTGCAGATCACCTGACCTCTGCTCACCAGTAAATGGGGGTTGCAGTTAGCACTTACCTTCTGGGGTTTCTGCAGCTTGAAGGGGCAGCACACACCATGTGCTGAGAAAGCGCCGAACTCAGGCAAGCTTTTCCAAGAGCACCACATCAGATTAACATCCAACCTGTACAGAATACCATCAAATCTCCCCACCCCTCATTCCAATGGAAGAAAAGGGAATCTCTGTCCTAGGGGGAGCAAGCACAGGCCTATCTATGCAGTCGGCACATGGCACAGGTGGGGAAAAGGCCCTTGGATACGTGCTGGTTTCACCAACCATCTGTAGGTTGGGTTTGGCCTGGACCCCTGCACCCCAGGAGGCCGGCAGCCCCCCTGCACCCCAGGAGGCCGGCAGCCCCCCTGCACGGTACAGGACTGGGAGGTGGGTGGGAGGGCTGAGCTTTGAGGGAAGCCATTATTTGGCCTCATGGGAAGTGGTGCAGGTGGTTGTTGGTGGCTCAGTTTTGCAGGACCTGGGTGATCACCCAAGGAGTGAAAATTGTCTTTTTATGAGAAATTGCCAAAATTGATGCAAGCTCATCAGTTGAAAAGGTGAGTAATGCTGACAGTTGGCTTCACGTGCCCCTTCCCCACAAGTAACTGGTGTTCAGAGGTGGATTTGGTTCCTTCCCAGCCTTTCCCGTTTGCATGTAGCTGTGTGCATGTACTTTGTGTACACACAAACATGTTCCCTGGAGGGGTTACTTTTATTTTTTTATTTGGGGGGATAACTAGTGAGGCAGCCTGACACTTGCTTATCTTGTCTTTTAAGTGTGGAGTCCTCTATGGAGTGGGCATCAGGTACTTACTAGCTGGCCTCTGCCAGCTGTTTGGCTGCCCCCGTTTCTGCCCTTCACAGACATGCTGGCCACCTGGTGTGACATGCAGTGGCCTTGTTTGCAGCTAGTGTGATGAGACAAGTGGATCAGGTACATTGTAAACTGAAAAAGCACACAACATGCAGAGGGAAAGGATAAATGACCATGAGGGTACTGCTCTGCTGAAGTCCACATCACATGACTGAGATGACATTTTTTCACCTAACATTTGGGCCCTGAGAAAAGGCATTTGTTTTACTTTTTATTTATAACAGAATTAGAAGAAATACTACCAGGCTTTCTTTTCCATTATCCTCAACTCCCACTTAAACCCCTCAAGTTTACCTACCTCAGAGAGAAAGTGGAGCTCGCCTGATTGAGAGCCTGAAATTATTTGAGCCAGGTCACTGTGTAAAGGTCAGACTGCTTCCATCTCCTTGTGCATCACTTGCGCAGCTCAGATATTTCATGGCTCCCTGTATACAGGTAGCTGTGTTACCCTCCTAGCCGCTTTCTTGGTTTGATACATGCCTGGGAGCATGTGGGAGCAGTTAAGGTCTGGGCTCATGGGAGGACAGTTCTGCCCACCCCAGCTCATCTCTCCAGCTCAGCCTGCATACCTGCCTTCCTCCATCTGATTCCAGAGTAGGGGATGGGAGGTCTCACACTGACCTCAAGTTTATGTGACTTTTTCCATCTCTGCTTTCCCAGACAGCCCTTGCTGTGGGACTTGTAAGGAGATTTGTGAAGTCAGTATCTACTTTTCTTGTGTGGGTGTTTATAAATTATTCCCCTGGAGGGGAATAAATGTTAGAGGTACTCCAAACCCCTAACATGTAAACATCTAAGCCTGGCCCTTTTTTGGTGGTAAAATATACACAACATAAAACTTACCATTTTAACCATGTTTAAATGTACAGTTCTGTGGCATCCAGTATATTCAGTGTTGTCCAACCATCTAGTTTATCTAATTTATCCATATCTACAACTTCTTTATCATCCTAAAATCAAACACCATTCCCATGAAGAAGTCACTGAATAGAAGACTGATGTATTTGACTCCATAAAAATTGAAACTTTGTGTGAGAGAAAAATGCCTCTAAGTCAAAAGTCAACAGACTGGGGAAATAGATCTGCCACATACATGACAGACAAAAAGCTAATTTGGGATATATACATACATATGGGTATATGTAAATATCCATTTTAAACACCATTCAAAAAATACCATCGTTTCCCATTGAATAGTGTTGACTCCTGTGTTAAAAATCATGACCATATTTTTTGGTTCTTTATTTCTATCGCATTGGTCTTTGTCTCTGTCTCTATGCTGGTACAAGTTTTGGGTACTGAAGCATTGCAGTAAGTTTGAAACCAGGAGGTGTTAGTCCTCTAACTTTGTTAGTTTTTAAGATTGATTTGGCTACTTGGGATTTTTTGAGATTTCATCTGAATTTTAGAATAGGTTTTTCTATTTTTGCAAATATTGGAATTTTTATAGTGATTTTATTGAATCTGTAGATGACTATAGATAACAATGGCATCTTGACAAGGTTTTGTCTTCCAGTCCATAAACACATGATGTCTTTTCATTTATTTGTCATCTTTAATACGTTCATGCCATGTTTATAGTTTTTGCTGTACAGGTTTTTCATTTTCTTGGTTAAGTGGGTTTCTAAGTATTTTATTCTTTTGATGCTATCATACATGATACTGTTGTCTTGATTTCTTCTTCAGATAGTTTATTGTTATTGTAGAAATACAACTGATTTTTGTGTATTGATTTTGTATCCTGCAGCTTTGCTGAATTTTGTTTATTGTATCTGACAGTTTATTTCACAGAAACCAAAAGATTTTTAATATATAAGGTTATGTCATCTGCAAACAGATAATTTTACTTTTAAAAAAATTGGAATATCTTTTATTCTTTTACTCATGTTTTAACTAACTAGAATCCTCAGTACTATATTAAACAGAAGTAGTAAAAGCAGGCATCCTTGTTTTTGCTCTTAGGGTAAAAGCTTTCAGTCTTTCACCACATTAGCTGTGTTTTTGTTTTTTGTATGACATTATGTTAAAGTGTTTTCTTTCTTTTTATAGTTTATTAAGTACATTTTATCATGAATGTGGGTTAAATTTTGACAAATGCTTTTTCTTCTTTGATTAAAATGTGATCACATGAGGCTTTTTTCCTTCTTTATGTTAATGTGATATTACGCTGATTTTCATGTGTTGGAATATACTTTTATTTCAGGAGTCAATTATACTCATTCATAGTGTATAATCCTTTTAGTGTACTGCTAAGTTTGAGTTGCTGGTATTTTGTTGAGGATTTTTGCATCAGCATTTGTAAGGGATGTTTGTTTGTAGTTTTCTTATGGTGCCTTTGTCTGGCTTGGTGTCAAGGTAATACTGGCCTCATAGAATAAGTTAGAAAACATTACCTCCTCTTCAACGTTTTGAAAAAGTTTGAGAAAAACTGGTGTTAATTCTGCTTTAAACGTTGGGTAGAATTCAACAGTGAAGCCATCTGGTCCAGGCTTTTCTTTGTTGCTGGGTTTTTGATTACTTATGCCATCTTCCTGCTGAATCTCCTTGCTGAATAGGTTTATTCAACTTTTCTGATTCAGTCTTAGTAGGTTTTTTGTTTCTAGGAATTTGTTCATTTTATTTAGGTTATTCAATTTTTTAGTGTATAGTTCCTTATGGTACTCTCCTACATCCTTTTTTTACTCCAAAAATTTGTTAGTAATGTACCCATTTTTCTTCTGAGTTTCGTAATTTGAGTATTCCCTTTTTTTCTTAGTCAATCTAGATAAAATTTTTGTCAGTTTTGATCTTTTCCAGAGAATAAACTTGGTTTTGTTGATTTTTGATATTGCTTTTCTGTTCTCTATTTCACTTATTTCCACTGCTATCTTTATCATTTTTAAAATTTTGCTAGCTTTTAGTTGTCCCTCTTTTTCCCTCTGTTTTTAGTTCCTTAGGAGTAAAGTTGTTGATTCAGTATCTTATGTTTTATAATCATTTATAGCTATAAATTTTTCCCTCATGGTACTGTTTTTGATGTATCTCTTAACTTCTGGTATTTCATCCAGTTTTCTCTCCATCCTTTATTTGATACATGAACAAATTACATGAGTGAAGAACACCACTGTGTCTTCTTAAATAACTTTTCAACTTCAGTAAGTCATGCAAGGATCAAATGTGAGAGAAATAGAGAACCTCAGGATCAACTCAAGTATTTGGAAAAAAGTACTGAAAAATGAGGTGGGGTGGTTTCCAAACTGACCTGCTCAGCATCGAAGGGATTCTTGTTTCTTAAGGAAGCCATGCAGTTTTATCAGCTTAAAAGTGAGTGGTTGGTAAAAATTTTTTTCTTTTAAACTTACTTTTTGAAACTTCTTATTTGTGGACTGTGGTTTGTTAGAATAGTGATTATTTTGTTTTTATGAGATGTTTATTGTATTTTTATCTTTTTTTTTTAAGGCAGAGTCTTGCTCTGTCACCCAGGCTGGAGTACAGTGGCTCGATCTCAGTTCACTGCAACCTCCACCTCCCAGGTTCAAGCGATTCTCCTGCCTCAGCCTCCCGAGTAGCTGGGATTACAGGCGCCCACCACCACACCCAGCTAATTTTTGTATTTTCAGTAGAGATGAGGTTTCACCCTGTCGGCCAGGCTGGTCTCAAACTCCTGACCTCAAGTGATCCACCCGCCTCAGTCTCCCAAAGTGCTGGGATTACAGGTGTGAGCCACTGTGCCCAGCGTGTTTCTTGTGTTTGATGATGAAAATCTGTTATTGACAGTAAGAGGATGGGGGCTCAGGTTAGCAACAGGGTGTTAGAAAAGCAGCAGTAAAATTTTGGTTCTCAAAACATTTGATGTCTTATTCCTTTTTTTGAACATGGGTTTTGCTAAAAAAAAAAAAGGCCAGCCATTTTGAAACTTGATTTTATTGTCACGTTCTCATTTTGAAATTCATCTTATGGTTTGTATGAATTGGCAGCCGTCTGTGGGAAATTTCAGTTTTGCATATTTTCAGATTATTTTCATTTTTACATCAGATTTTGAACAGATGCTATACAAAAGTATTCATTTATTTATTCAACAAAATTTAGTGCTGGTTATGTTGCAAGCACTTAGTGAACTTCATGCTGTACGTGCCTCACATACTTTTGCGAATGTAATGGCAACATCAAAACCTTTGCCCTTATGCACCTTATAAACCTTTAATTTCAAGGCATATTGATGAGCGGGCATCTGCTATAACGTGCTTTCATGGTCATTTAATTCACCATTATTTGGGTATACCTTATATTGAAGCTGATTACTGAAAATTGGAAACTATTTAAACATATCTGTGTCTTGCCTTTTTCCTTAACATATGTAGATCAAGGAGTCACTGAGGATCAATTTTAGGGATAGTTATAAAAATCTTAACTTTGCGACTATAACTTTGTCCTCAATGTAATAACTGCAAAAAATAATTTACATTTCAAAGGCTTTAATCTTTGTGCTTTTTTGAAAAGGAGCCTTCACCGAGATTCTTTAAAAATTCTTGCTCTTACAGTAGAGCATTTTAAGCTCATGGATATGGTCCTCTAATGGATCTGTACCCCCTCAGTTCTCTGGTTGTCGCCCTCCTGTGGTGAAAATTAAAGCTTATTTTCATTTCACGTCTAGGATGCAGTACGTTCTTATTGGGGAAAAAATGATGTTGCTGAGAAACAAGTGCCTTCAGTATCACTGTGTGTCACTTAATAAATATGACTAATATCTACTTTTACCAATGGCTGCAATTTGATGCTTAAACAGCCATCTTTAAATTATACTTTTTCTTTGGTTAAAGAAAAATAATTATAATAGATATTAATTATTTTTACCTAATTTTCTTATGTGGACTGCCATTCTTAGAACTAAAACTTTCAGATGTTTATATTACAAGTACAATTATTATTTATTTTTATTATTAGTGTCATCTTTTTTTTTCTGTAGCCAAATGTAATCAACTCCCTTCCTTTCACTTCCTTTTTTGAATCAGAATATTACACTTATACAAGCAAGAGCAACAGCTCTATATCCAGATCACTGCAGTGCTTAGAAGATACAACAGCACAATTTACAGATCCAAATTTCCAGGAAGTCTCTGCACACACCTCTAGTACAAAAGATGCTTCAGAGACTAGAGGGTCAGAGGGCAAAGAGAGGAAATATTCAACTCCCAGCTCAGGTCAAAAGGGAAGAAAGCCTGGTGTTAAAAGAAATCCAAGAAGGACTGTGTCTGCAACTCGCCCCTTTCTGTAAAGTATTCATGGTGTTTTAGTTAAAATGTTTGTTCTTATGATGGTCAAATAATATTAATAGTTATGCTTTGTAAAAGAATTTATTCTTATAATTAATGGATCGTTCTAAATTATTATACGTTTAGTTGCTATAGTAAGATGATGTCAAAGATTTGTTGCCTGTTAAATGTTTCTGGGATCTTTGCTTTATTTTCATATTATGATCTGTGCTTCCAAAGTTGAGTGGTAATTTTATTGTTTATACAAATGTAAAATAAAGCTTAAGTTTGGGGAGAAAAATAAAAGCTAGAGTTTTCCTTTCAGCTCTATAGAACAGTCATTCATTTCTATAAATGTTCTTTATATAGATTTCCTAGTTCCACATTTAAAAATAAATATGGGGATCTACACAGGTCTCAGTAAATAATAGTTGTTGATTAATAATGCATTTATTATAAAGCTTGAAGTTTAAAGTAGAATTTTGCTCAGCCTACATATCTTTTATGGTCAGGCTGCTATAATTATGTAATACCCAGTTAAATTTCAATTTCAGATAAACAAAGAATAAGTTTTAGTATAAGCATATCCCAAATATTGCATGGGGTATACTTACACTGAAAAAAGTATTTGTTTATCTGAAATTTAAAATTAACTGGGCATGCTATATTTTCTGTGGCAACCCTGTTTTATAGAGAGCAGAGTAAGTCAGCTAAATTTTAGAATACTTTAACCTGGTGTTCTAGGTCTTTCCTTTTTGTAATTATTATTATTATCTGGAGTCAGGGTCATGCTCCATCACTTAGGCTGGAGTGCAGTGGCACAATCACAGTGCCCTGCAGCCTTGAGCTTCTGGGCTCAAGTGATTCTGGCACCTCTGCCTTTGCCTCCCAAGTAGCTAGTACCACAGGTACGTGGGCCCAGCTAATTTTTTTTTTTTTTTTTTTTTTTCCCCGTAGAGACAGGGTCTCAGGGTGGTCTGGAACTCCTGGGCTCAAGCAATCCTCCCACCTCTGCCTTCACTTCCCAAATAGCTGAGACCACCGGCACATACCACCACCATACCCAGCTTATTTTTTATCAGGTTGGTGCAAGAGGAATTGTGGGTTTTGCCATTGAAAGTAATGGCAAAACCTGCAATTACTTTTTGTATCACCCTAATAATTTTTTGTGGAGACAAGGTCTTGTCCTGTTGTCTAGGCTGGTTTCCAAGTCCTGGACTCGAGTGACCCTCCTGCCTTGGCCTCTCAAAGTGCTGGGATTACAGATGGGAGCCACTGTACCAAGCTACTTTGTATAATTTTTAACATAAATGTAAATGTTTTGAGAACTAGAAATGTTAAAACCCTTGGAGGAAAATGTAAAGTATACAATAGAAAAAAAAATACAAAAAATTATCAATTTTCAGAGGAACAAAAAATATCCAGTTTTTACAATCTTCAGGATTCAATCCCATTATATCAAACATACCAAGAAACATATTCAAAGAAAAAGGCAATCAATCGAGACTGACCTCGAGACGACCGAGATGTTGGAATTAGTATGGATTTTTTAAAGTAGTTATTATAATTCTTACTAAAATCAAAACCCCAAAAACTCTTATAATAAATGGATAGAAAATCACAGCAGAGAAGAAGAAACTACAGTAATAACAAAGCCTCAAGTGGAAATTCTAGAAGTGAAAAATTTTTCAAAATTAAAAAATAATAGTTGTGTTCAGGAGCAGCTTGGAGGTGGTAAAGAGTCAACCTTAAAATACAATTGAAATTATTCAATCTGAAAAATGTGAGCAGTCACGGGTTGAGGTGAGGGAGTTTTCCTTTGGTTAGTGCTTTTAGGTAATCTTGGTTTTTTTTTTTTTTTTATTGATCATTCTTGGGTGTTTCTCGCAGAGGGGGATTTGGCCGGGTCACAGGACAATAGTGGAGGGAAGGTCAGCAGATAAACAAGTGAACAAAGGTCTCTGGTTTTCCTAGGCAGAGGACCCTGCGGCCTTCCGCAGTGTTTGCGTCCCTGGGTACTTGAGAGTAGGGAGTGGTGATGACTCTTAACGAGCATGCTGCCTTCAAGCATCTGTTTAACAAAGCACATCTTGCACCGCCCTTAATCCATTCAACCCTGAGTGGACACAGCACATGTTTCAGAGAGCAAGGGGTTGGGGGTAAGGTCACAGATCAACAGGATCCCAAGGCAGAAGAATTTTTCTTAGTGCAGAACAAAATGAAAAGTCTCCCATGTCTACTTCTTTCTACCCAGACACAGCAACCATCCGATTTCTCAATCTTTTTGATAAGATTACTAGATTGATCTGTCAGGGGCATGCTAAGCCAGAATTTATCTTGGTTTCAGTAGTGCTTTAAACAAAACTCATGATACCCTTGTGTTCAAGACAGAAGAAGAGTGGGCCAAATTAAATATTTAGATGCAGTCATTCTTAACCTCTGTTGCTCTCCCAGTGGTCTAGCTGGGGTTTGTATAAAGTGGAATGGGAGGAACAGGGAAGGAGCCCCCACCTACCCTCTCCCCTTGTCCACTTGTCCTCCTTGACTAGTGGATAAAGTCCACGGGAACAGGCAAGTTATTTTCAATCTGTATCTTCTGTTAAGATCTGTAATCAGTTCTGCTTGCTGGACTGGGGACAGGAACCGAGGGAACATGAGGGTGAACGAGGTGACATGGAGTCCAGGAGCACACTGTGCCTACATGCAGAATGTTTGTGCCAGGAAAGCCAGCAGCAGGCAGATGGTCTCAGATAGCAAGCTAGTGTTGGGAAGCAAGATTCAGTCTCTTGAAGGCGTGTTCCTCAGTGTGTGGTTTGTATCACTTGCTTCAGAATGACCTGGAGTACTTGTTAAAATGCAAATTTTCAGCCCAATCCTAGACCTCCTAAGCCTGCATCTCTACGGATGGGTCTCAGTAGTCGATATTGGAAACGGGCAGGTCCCTAGGAGATGCTTATGCATATAAATTTGAAATGTGTTTAAGGTTTAGGGAGCTGGCAAAAGCAAGGAATAGACCAAGCCCTTGGGTGGGAAGCCTCCACAACGTTGGCACTATTAGCATTCGGGGCGGAAGAGGATTCTGCCACATGCTTCGCAGCATCCCTAGCCTCTACCCTCTAACACCGTATCCCAGTTGTGAAAACCAAAAATGTCCCCTGGGAGGCAAAATAGTCACTAGTTGGGAACCGAAACCACTGCTTTGTATCAGAGTAGTTACTTTGTTCCTAATCCAAGGATCAGAACACACGATGAGAGAAAGTCTAGCTATGGGAACTGGAGTGCCAAGTTGGAGCTAGACCTACAACAAAAGCACCAAAAGCTCCTTTATAGGGCTGATTCCGTGCCTCAGCTACCTAGCTTGTACAAATGCCATGTAACTCTAGATTTGATGACAGAAGGCATTTAAAGGCTAGAACTAGTTAGGGTCTTTCAGATTAGGCCAGCACACAACGTGGACTTTTGACAACATCCAGATGCTTGAACCAAACTCAGTCCTGAGGCAGAATTTCCCGTGGCATCTGATACACAGCCTGGATTTGGAGCACTCACTAGGATTAGATGCCATGGGAATATTGTGTTTAGGAACTCTGAAAGAGACAGGCTTCAACAAAGCAGACCTAAGCAACACGTAGCGTCTTAACTTTTTTTTTTTTTTAACAGAAATGTTCAGAGCACCTTTATTTGTAATAGCCTAGAACTAGAAACAACCCAGATATCCTCCAATGACTGAATGGTTAAACAAACTGTTCTATATCGCCACTATGGAATTTTTTTTTTCTTTATTGTACTTTAAGTTTTAGGGTACATGTGCACAACGGGCAGGTTTGTTACATACGTATACATGTGCCATGTTGGTGTGCTGCACACATTAACTCTTCATTTAACATTAGTTATATCTCATATCGCTATCTCTCCCCCCTCCCCTGACCCCACAGCAGGCCCTGGTGTGTGATGTTCCCCTTCCTGTGTCCAAGTGTTCTCATTGTTCAATTCCCACCAATGAGTGAGAACATGCTGTGTTTGGTTTTTTGTCCTTGCAATAGTTGGCTGAGAATGATGGTTTCCAGCTTCATCCATGTCCCTACAAAGGACATGAACTCATCATTTTTCGTGGCTGCATAGTATTCCATGGTGTATATGTGCCACATTTTCTCAATCCAGTCAATCATTGTTAGACATTTGGGTTGGTTCCAAGTCTTTGCTATTGTGAATAGTGCCACAATAAACATATGTGTGCATGTGTCTTTATAGCAGCATGTTTTATAATCCTTTGGGTATATACCCAGTAATGGGATGGCTGGGTCAAATGGTATTTCTAGTTCTAGATCCCTGAGGAACCACCACACGGACTTCCACAATGGTTGAACTAGTTTACAGTCCCACCAACAGTGTAAAAGTGTTCCTATTTCTCCACATCCTCTCCAGCACCTGTTGTTTCCTGACTTTTTAATGATCACCATTCTAACTGGTGTGAGATGGTATCTCATTGTGGTTTTGATTTGCATTTCTCTGATGGCCAGTGATGATGAGCATTTTTTCATGTGTCTGTTGGCTGCATAAATGTCTTCTTTTGAGAAGTGTCTGTTCATATCCTTTGCCCACTTTTTGATGGGATTGTTTGTTTTTTTTCTTGTAAATTTGAGTTCATTGTAGATTCGGGATATTAGCCCTTTGTCAGATGAGTAGATTGCAAAAATTTTCTCCCATTCTGTAGGTTGCCTGTTCACTCTGATGGTAGTTTCTTTTGCTGTGCAGAAGCTCTTTAGTTTAATTAGATCCCATTTGTCAATCTTGGCTTTTGTTGCCATTGCTTTTGGTGTTTTAGACATGAAGTCCTTGCCTATGCCTATGTCCTGAATGGTATTGCCTAGGTTTTCTTCTAGGGTTTTTATGGTTTTAGGTCTAACATTTAAGTCTTTAATCCATCTTGAATTAATTTTTGTATAAGGTGTAAGGAAGGGATCCAGTTTCAGCTTTCTACATATGTCTGGCCAGTTTTCCCAGCACCATTTGTTAAATAAGGAATCCTTTCCCCATTGCTTGTTTTTGTCAGGTTTGTCAAAGATCAGATGGTTGTAGACATGTGGCATTATTTCTGAGGGCTCTATTCTGTTCCATTGTTCTATATCTCTGTTTTGGTACCAGTACCATGCTGTTTTGGTTACTGTAGCCTTGTAGTATAGTTCGAAGTCAGGTAGCATGATGCCTCCAGCTTTGTTCTTTTGGCTTAGGATTGACTTGGCAATGCAGGCTCTTTTTTGATTCCATATGAACTTTAAAGTATTTTTTTCTATTTCTGTGCAGAAAGTCATTGGTAGCTTGATGGGGATGGCATTGAATCTATAAATTACCTTGGGCAGTATGGCCATTTTCACGGTATTGATTCTTCCTACCAATGAGCATGGAATGTTCTTCCATTTGTTTGTATCCTCTTTTATTTCATTGAGCAGTGGTTTGTATTTCTCCTTAAAGAGGTCCTTCATGTCCCTTGTAAGTTGGAGTCCTAGGTATTTTATTCTCTTTGAAGCAGTTGTGAATGGGAGTTCACTCATGATTTGGCTCTCTGTTAGTCTATTATTGGTGTATAAGAATGCTTGTGATTTTTGCACATTGATTTTGTATCCTGAGACTTTGCTGAAGTTGCTTATCAGCTTAAGCAGATTTTGGGCTGAGATGATGGGGTTTTCTAGATACACAATCATGTCATCTGCAAACAGGGACAATTTGACTTCCTCTTTTCATAATTGAATACCCTTTATTTCCTTCTCCTGCCTGATTGCCCTGGCCAGAACTTCCAACACTATGTTGAATAGGAGTGGTGAGAGAGGGCATCCCTGTCTTGTGCTGGTTTTCAAAGGGAATGCTTCCAGTTTTTGCCCATTCAGTATGCTATTGGCTGTGGGTTTGTCATAGATAGCTCTTACTATTTTGAGATATGTCCCATCAATACCTAATTTTTTGAGAGTTTTTAGCATGAAGGTTTGTTGAATTTTGTCAAAGGCCTTTTCTGCATCTATTGAGATAATCATGTGGTTTTTGTCATTGGTTCTGTTTATATGCTGGATTACATTTATTGATTTGCATATGTTGAGCCAGCCTTGCATCCCAGGGATGAAGCCCACTTGATCATGGTGGATAAGCTTTTTGATGTGCTGCTGGATTCGGTTTGCCAGTATTTTATTGAGGATTTTTGCATCGATGTTTATCAGGGATATTGGTCTAAAATTCTCTTTTTTTGTTGTGTCTCTGCCAGGCTTTGGTATCAGGATGATGCTGGCCTCATAAAATGAGTTAGGGAGGATTCCCTCTTTTTCTATTGATTGGAATAGTTTCAGAAGGAATGGTATGAGCTCCTCCTTGTACCTCTGGTAGAATTAGGCTGTGAATCCATCTGGTCCTGGCCTTTCTTCGGTTGGTAAGCTGTTAATTATTGCCTCAATTACAGAGCCTGTTATTGGTCTATTCAGAGATTCAAGTTCTTCCTGGTTTAGTCTTGGGAGGGTGTATGTGTCCAGGAATTTATCCATTTCTTCTAGATTGTCTAGTTGATTTGCGTAGAGGTGTTTATAGTATTCTCTGATGGTAGTTTGTATTTCTGTGGGATCAGTGGTGATATCCCCTTTATCATTTTTTATTGCACCTATTTGATTCTTCTCTCTTTTCTTCATTAGTCTTGCTAGCAGTCTATCAATTTTGTTGATCTTTTCAAAAAACCAGCTCCTGGATTCATTGAGTTTTTGAAGGGTTTTTTGTGTCTATTTCCTTCAGTTCTGCTCTGATCTTAGTTATTTCTTGCCTTCTGCTAGCTTTTGTATGTGTTTGCTCTTCTCTAGTTCTTTTAATTGTGATGTTAGGGTGTCAATTTTAGATCTTTCCTGCTTTCTCTTGTGGGCATTTAGTGCTATAAATTTCCCTCTACACACTGCTTTGAATGTGTCTCAGAGATTCTGGTATGTTGTGTCTTTGTTCTCGTTGGTTTCAAAGAACATCTTTATTTCTGCCTTCATTTCGTTATGTACCCAGTAGTCATTCAGGAGCAGGTTGTTCAGTTTCCATGTAGTTGAGCAGTTTTGAGTGAGTTTCTTAATCCTGAGTTCTAGTTTGATTGTACTGTGGTCTGAGAGACAGTTTGTTATAATTTCCGTTCTTTTACATTTGCTAAGGAGTGCTTTACTTCCAACTATGTGGTCAATTTTGGAAGAGGTGTGGTGTGGTGCTGAAAAGAATGTATATTCTGTTGATTTGGGGTGGAGAGATCTGTAGATGTCTACTAGATCTGCTTGGTGCAGAGCTGGGTTCAATTCCTGGATATCCTTGTGAACTTTCTGTCTTGTTGATCTGTCTAATGTTGACAGTGGGGTGTTAAAGTCTCCCATTATTATTGTGTGGGAGTCTAAGTCTCTTTGTAGGTCTCTAAGGACTTGCTTTATGAATCTGGGTGCTCCTGTATTGGGTGCATATATATTTAGGATAGTTAGTTCTTCTTGTTGAATTGATCCCTTTACCATTATGTAATGGCCTTGTCTCTTTTGATCTTTGTTGGTTTAAAGTCTGTTTTATCAGATACTAGGATTGCAACCCCTGCCTTTTTTTTTCCATTTGCTTGGTAGATCTTCCTCCATCCCTTTATTTTGAGCCTATGTGTGTCTCTGCATGTGAGATGGGTTTCCTGAGTACAGCACACTGATGGGTCTTGACTCTATCCAATTTGCCAGTCTCTCTCTTTTAATTGGAGCATTTAGCCCATTTACATTTAAGGTTAATATTGTTATGTGTGAATTTGATCCTGTCATTATGATATTAGCTGGTTATTTTGCTCATTAGTTGATGCAGTTTCTTCCTAGCCTCGATGTTCTTTACAATTTGGCATGTTTTTGCAGTGGCTTGTACAGGTTGTTCCTTTCCATGTTTAGTGCTTCCTTCAGGAGCTCTGTTAGGGCAGGCCTGCTGGTGACAAAATCTCTCAGCATTTGCTTGTCTGTAGATTTTATTTCTCTTTCACTTATGAAGCTTAGTTTGGCTAGATATGAAATTCTGGGTTGAAAATTCTTTTAAGAATGTTGAATATTGGCCCCCACTCTCTTCTGGCTTGTAGAGTTTCTGCGGAGAGATCAGCTGTTCGTCTGATGGGCTTCCCTTTGTGGGTAACCCAACCTTTCTCTCTGGCTGCCCTTAACATTTTTTCCTTCAACTTTGGTGAATCTGATAATTATGTGTCTTGGAGTTGCTCTTCTCAAGGAGTATCTTTGTGGCATTCTCTGTATTTCCTGAATTTAAATATTGGCCTGCCTTGCTAGATTGGGGAAGTTCTCCTGGATAATATCCTGCAGAGTGTTTTCCAACTTGGTTTCATTCTCCCCATCACTTTAAGGTACACCAATCAGACATAGATTTGGTCTTTTCACATAGTCCCGTATTTCTTGGAGGCTTTGTTCGTTTCTTTTTATTCTTTTTTCTCTAAACTTCTCGCTTCATTTCATTCATTTGATCTTCCATCACTGATACCCTTTCTTCCAGTTGATCAAATCGGCTACTGAGGCTTGTGCATTCATCACGTAGTTCTCATGCCGTGGTTTTCAGCTCCATCAGGTCCTTTAAGGACTTCTCTGCATTGGTTATTCTAGTTATCCATTTGTCTAATTTTTTTTCAAAGCTTTTAACTTCTTTGCCATTGGTTTGAATTTCCTCCTGTAGCTCGGAGTAGTTTGTCTGAAGCTGCCTTCTCTCAACTCGTCAATGATTCTCCGTCCAGCTTTGTTCCGTTGCTGGTGAGGAGCTGTGTTCCTTTGGAGGAGGAGAGGTGCTCTGATTTTTAGTTTCCAGTTTTTCTGCTCTGTTTTTTCCCCATCTTTGTGGTTTTATCTACCTTTGGTCTTTGATGATGGTGATGTACAGATGGAGTTTTGGTGTGAATGTCCTTTCTGTTAGTTTTCCTTCTAACAGTCAGGACCCTCAGCTGCAGGTCTGTTGGAGTTTACTGGAGGTCCACTCCAGACCGTTTGCCCAGGTATCAGCAGTGGAGGCTGCAGAACAACAGATATTGGTGAACAGCAAATGTTGCTGCCTGATTGTTCCTCTGAAAGTTTTGTCTCAGAGGAGTACCCGGCCATGTGAGGTGTCAGTCTTCCCCTACTGGGGGATGCCTCCCAGTTAGGCTACTCGGGGGTCAGGGACCCACTTGAGGAGGCAGTCTGTCTGTTCTCAGATCTCCAGCTGCTTGCTGGGAGAACCACTACTCTATTCAAAGCTGTCAGACAGGGACATTTAAGTCTGCAGAGTTTTCTGCTGCCTTTTGTTTGGCTATGCCCTGCCCCTAGAGGTGGAGTCTACAGAGGCAGGCAGGCCTCCTTGCGCTGCAGTGGGCTCCACCCAGTTTGAGCTTCCCAGCCACTTTACCTACTCAAGCCTCGGCAATGGCAGGTGCCCCTCTCCCAGCCTCGCTGCCGCCTTGCAGTTTGATCTCAGACTGCTGTGCTAGCAATGAGCGAGGCTCCTTGGGCGCAGGACCCTCCAAGCCGGGCGCAGGATATAATCTCCTGGTGTGCCGTTTGCTAAGAGTGTTGGAAAAGCGCAGTATTAGGGTGGGAGTGGCCCAATTTTCCAGGTGCCGTCTGTCACCCCTTTCTTTGACTAGGAAAGGGAATTCCCTGACCCCTTGTTCTTCCTGGGTAAGGTGATGCCTCGCCCTGCTTTGGCTCATGCTCGGTGCACTGTACCCACTGTCCTGCACCCACTGCCTGACACTCCCCAGTGAGATGAACCTGGTACCTCAGTTGGAAATGAAGAAATCACACGTCTTCTGCATCGCTCACGCTGGGAGCTGTAGACTGGAGCTGTTCCTATTCCCTTACCAGCTTCCATTCCAGCCCACAAGGACAAAGGCATCACATACATATCCACTGTGGCTAACCTGTCCTCAGCAGGGAGTTTCCCCAGTACTACTCTCCCCTCTGTTCTGAGCCTACTTGCTCCTTTGTAATGTTTCTGCTTTCTGTCCCACTCCCTAATAGATGATTTGTCCTCTCTGCCCAGCCCCCTAGTTCTGATATTTGGATTGTCTGTGATCTGGGTAGTACTTAGAAGGTAGAACCAAAGCCTTGTTGATTGGATTGGGAGTTTCTAACTTCTATTAAAGGCACTGATTAAGCATCTATTATATAAAGTAAAGTAAGATTATGATCCAGTAAGACAGATTCCACAAGTAGCGCAGGAAGAATTGGTTTCTAGTACACTTCATGCTTCAGGACAGGAAATCCAGAAAAAAATTCTGTGGTACATTAAGTGTGAACTGTAAGTTTCATTTCCATGTGAAAAACTGTAGTTAGCTAAAAAGTACATCCATGAAGAATCCTGATTAAACTTGTTTAATCCTGGTTAAACTAGCTAAACAATAATTTCACAACTCAAGAACTCTGTAAAAGCATTTCCTCTGAATATTTTATTCAGAAAAAAACACAGAAAGATAAGGCAGAAACAAAAATCCCAGTCACTTGCAGTATCTGTCGGCTTTCAATTTGGCTCTCCTGTTTAAACAAAGAAAAATAAAATTAATCTATGTAAAACATGCCATATATATTCAACTGCTACTAAATATAAAAAGCTTTAAAACTGTGTGTTCAATTTTGGTTATTACCACAACACTTTTATTAAAATATGTATACTTTTAAATTTGGTTTCTATAAAAAATGGATTCTAATCTTATAAAAGTTATTTCCTAATATTCAATAAATGTTGCCTAAGGGCTTTTTCAATCCAAATAGCAATTTTAATTATTCCGGAATTTAAGGCTGCTCTAAATTTCCATTTAACAGGGTGAGAATGCTGTATTATTACAAGTGATAAAAGTTACAGGACATAGAGCTTATTCCGTTTTAGAGTCCACATCCTGATTATATTTTATATCCTCTTCTTGATTTCTTACAATGAGATACATATTCATTTGCTCAGCTGGAAAAAATTCTTAACATTATTTACTGACTTTAGGTATGAACACTACCAGCTAGTTAACAGGAAATACGTAATTAAACATTGCCTTTATCAAGTAATGTAAAAAAAAGGGTAAGAGTAACTTTGCAACATACGACTTGAATGAGCGGCTGGTGATTATCAAAATCTGGCACTTAATTGATTTATACTTGTACACTCACAGCTAAACGTCTCTGTTTTTCTATGTCATAAATCTAGGACATTACTTATCTACCTAGGAAGAGTAATAAATATTAATAATGTGGTATGATAAACATCCTGCACTCTTCCAAATCTTATAATAAAACTGCTTCAATTTCACTTGTTTAGCTTTTATACTTAGTTTTTTAGTTGATCTATTCTTATTTTAAGGAACCTGAACTACTCTAACAGAATCCACATAATTTTTATATTAGTCAAACTGCTTCTAACTCTGGTTCTAATAGTTATAAAAAGATGATAAATTTATGAAGTAGATACAGTCAAACCTGAATTTCTTCAAGTATATACTTAGAATCGGTTATAATTTTTAGATATTCTTTCATGACAGTCTTTTCCCAAACTTACGATGTCCTCTTTAGGTAATATTGCCACACTCATAAATTAGAAATAAAGACAAAAATGTGAAAAACTACAGTAATTTAAGAGAATGTAGGTTTTCTACATGCCATTTCTATTGGCTACTGAAAATAGTGGAAATAAGTAAATAAATAGCTACCTGTCCAGAAGCGTCTCATGCAAAAATCCATCTTTCCGAGCCTTTTTAAGAATTTTACTGTCTTCTTTACTTATTTTAAGTTTGTGGTCTTGGAAGCTCTGAAATTTCTTTCTGTAAAGAAAATGTCTTCATTGAAAAATACCTCAAACTCTGATTATACATATTTACTATTAAATTTATAAATACTGTTAATTTCTTTTTCACTTGTAAAAAAGTCTAATTGTAGGCCAGGCGCAGTGGCTCATGCCTGCAATCCCAGCACTTTGGGAGGCCAAGGCAGGCACATCGCTCAAGGTCAGGAGTTCGAGAACAGCCTGGCCAACATGGTGAAACCCCATCTCTACCAAAAATACAAAAATTAGCCGAGCATAGTGGCACGCGCCTGTAGTCCCAGCTACTCGGGAGGCTGAGGCAGGAGAATCACATGAACCTGGGAAGCGGAGGTTGCGATGAGCCGAGATCGCGCCATGGCACTCTAGTCTGGGGGAGAGAGCGAGACTCCATCTTGGGGGAGAAAAAAAAAGGTCTAATTGTATTTTTTTAAATAAGCTGGAGCTTTTCAACAAAGATGACCTTCATGACCTCTCAAGAGGAGGGCCACTCATTGACTGGGTAGCACAAGGCCCCACTTCTA
The DNA here is from genome assembly GCF_000001405.40 of Homo sapiens. Lineage (NCBI taxonomy): Eukaryota > Metazoa > Chordata > Mammalia > Primates > Hominidae > Homo > Homo sapiens. The sequence goes on along the minus strand of NC_000004.12, from coordinate 189,961,298 downwards.
TTAGGGCATGCTGGCTAGAGTCCCCTGTGTCCTGGCCATAGCACAGCCTTTGACTGGCATCACACCCATTCTATGAATGAATAGAGAGATTGACTAACCTGAGTGACTAGCTTTGGGAGGTGGTAGGATGATTAGGAAAACTGAAGCCTCAAGAAAAGAAAAGCATTTAGCTCAGTGCTCTGTCCTAGAGGCTACATTGTGTCGTCTCTTCTTGTCCATCAGTTTCATTTTTTCAGACACGGTCTTGCTCTGCCACCCAGGCTGGAAGGCAGTGGTGATCAGAGCTCACTGCAGCCTTGAACTCCTGGGCTCAAACAATCCTCCTGTCTCAGCCTCCCGAGTAGCTGGGCCTATAGGCATGTACCACCATGCCCAGCTAAGTAGGTAATTTATTTTGAAAGCACTTTGAGAAGCACTTCACTGTCAAATCTGTAGGTCTAAAAGGAAAAGAATACATACACATAATTGATTTCACATTGTTTTACATTTCCTTTGTCTTCTTCTGGAATGTCATCTTTTTTCTTGGTTTCTCTTTCAGCACAGGATCTAATCTAGATATTGGAAAAGAGAATCCAATGGGTTATATGTTTATCTTCCACCTTCCCCACTTTACGTATCACATAAGAACATTCGAGATGATTTCTTATGCAGAAGAAAAAATTAACTGAGCAACTATATTCAGAAAAAGGTTCTGGCTATGTGTTTTTACTTCATATATATAATCTATATGAGTAAGTGCTATCACATGCTTCCTCCACAGCATTGTGTCAGAAACACTACAGACAAAATTATTTCAGAAACATTTTACACATCAGATCCTGCTAGGAAATAAAGCGATCATTAACTAATTTAATTTTGTCCTCCAAGTGAATACACTAGGATCAAATTATCCCTAGTAGACAAGTGTTCATTTGATCGGATTGAAAGCTTAATAGCTATTTTATGTTGCACAGACTATTACCAAAGTATTAAAACTTTTAACATTACACAACTTGTTTTTAACTAATTGGAACCCACCTCTTTTACTAGCTTCTTATATCCTCCTAAGTTTGGATAGATGTTTACTACCACATGTCATAAGTTAATTAATCTGCATTCAACAATTAGGATCACCCACAGAACAGGCAATTAGCAATGGTAAGGACTCATGTCTCCTAAGGGATCTCTGTGGCCAGAGTCCAGTTCCAGGGCTGCTTAGAAAGTGATGACAAATAACGTGTTTGTGCAAATGACATCTTTGTGACAGTTCTGATTAGAGGGGTCCCAGACCTGAAAACATTCCCTGCTAGGGCCTGTAACACAAGGCTACCTTTAGTAAGAGGGATCTGTGTTCTGGTCATAAAGCTGAAGGGCTGACAGAGGTAACACAAGGCTACCTTTAGTAAGAGGGATCTGTGTTCTGGTAGATAAGGCAAGGTCATAAAGGTGAAGGGCTGACAGAGATTAGGAGAGCCTGCAATTAAATGGTAAAGGAAAAGAGTCCTAAATAATCACTGTTCAGAGCTTCCAGGTACTTGACTAACCAAAGAGACCCAGAAAACTTTGTATTTCGTCTGAAAATTGCTTTAAATAGTGAAAAAGGCAATCTTTGTGTAAGTATCTTTGTATCTTTGTATAAGTGCAAAGCACTGCACATATATTTGCAATTGTTGCCTTCAGTAACACTTTTGTGATGATATCCAGATGCAAAATAATTTAAACATGATACAATAAAATATAAATAAATAAAATTAAATGTAAGTCACAAACCCATCTGCATTTCCCCAATGACCTGTTTCCTGAGAAGCAATGTGCTATGAAATATTGAGAGTGGCCTCTGGAGTCAGCTGGGCCTGGGTACACATCCTGTCTTACCACACCTTGAAATCACTGTGATTTCCATGAACTGACTGACAAAAACCACGAGGATGTAAGGAGGGTCAGAGGCTGTCTTCTTGTCTGTAATGCTGAGCTCACATCCACCTCACAGGGGCATTATGGAAATTCAAGACTACAACGCATGTGCTGGGTGCATGCAATGAAAAAATATAACATTTCCCTTCTGTAAGAAAATACCTACATTTTAGATTGAAATTGTTTGAGCTTTAGATTTGAAATTATTTGAAATCAAGACTATTCTAAAAAGAAAATCAAACTTATGACAGGAAATCTAACATGAAGTATGTACAGAGATTTGATAGATGCTTTTAAATTGCACTGGTAGTAGAGAAAAATGTAACATAAATTTTTATGCTCTAATTATAAGAACGAAGGGCATTTTAGAAAAGGCACTTGCCCCCTCTCTTAGAGCCTTCCACTCTGGCCCCCACAATGCCTTACAGAGGAAATCTGGGTCAGACTGGATGCAACCTGTGATTCCCAACAGAGACAAACAAAGCAAGGTTCAGGATGCTCAGTACTGAGATGGAATGCCAAGACACAGAAAAGCCATGTGTCAAGAAGTGGGGAGTTATTCTTTAGACACATCCTGGTATATGTTTATCATTAAAGATCAGTGGCTTCTGTGAGTCTAAAAAATTAAGCCTTAAATGTTTTCATCAGATTCCAATTAACTACTTGATTTATCTAGGTTATATTAACAGTATTATTTAGAATTTCACCTTGATATGAAGATGTCTGTGTAACTTTTACAATGATGTAAAACAAAGAGTAGGATTAGAGAGGGCACAGGCCACTGGTGCAATGGATAACGCGTCTGACTACGGATGAGGGAATTTAGCCTGGAATAAGGAACTTTTATTTCCAGCTTAGTGACGCACACAAATTTTAAAAATAAAATAAAAATCATGTTTTATGTGATTCATGTTTCTCCTAATGCAAAGAAGACGGGTACTATTAATAAAAATATTTTTAAAATCTGAGGGCTAAGGCCCCAGAAGTTCTGCTATGATTTTTTATGTTTCATAGAGTGATTATCATCACAGAAGCTCAAGCATTACGTAAATACAAACGCATATACCCCGACCTGGTAATTCTGCTTCTGGAAATTTACCTTCAGGTCCACCCGCACATCTACAAACTGATGCATATTCAATGTTATGTACTGCAGCACTGTTTATAAGAGCAAAAGACTGGAAACAGCCTAAATTTCCATCTATAAAAGACTAAATAAATTAAGGTACATCCCTGAAATGGAATATTATGTGGCTGTTGAGAGAGAGAGAAAGAGAGGAAAAGCAAGAAAAAGAGAAAACTTTCTACATTCAAACTCATAGTAGAAAACTCTCCAAGATACAATTTTAAGGAAAAAAAAAAATTGAAGTCTAGACTATAGAGGAGGCTACCTTTAGCGTAAAACAGTTGAAAATTATAAACATATTCATATGTTTATAAAGAAATTTTAGGAGGCTATAAAAAAACAAAGGGAAAGACGAACAGGTGCTGGGACACAGGTGAGTAAGACGCATGGCAGGCATACGTCTTCACATGCTTTTATTTGAAAATGTTGGACCACGTGTACATGTTATCTATTTTAAAAATTAGATTTTAAAATACAAGCAAGAAAACAAGAAAATGAAAGCTTAAAAAGAGCATGTGGAACTACCAGAAGAAGATACTAATCCATGGAGATAATGGCAAGGTAGCTCCTAGATGCACTCATTTCTCTACCACATTGTATAAACAAGACATCAACTATGGGATTTATAATTAAAAATGAGTCTATTTGAAACACCACATTATAAAAAGCTATTAAGTAAATCTTTAAAGTGACAGTAAATGACCATTTAACATTTTAAAGAGATACAGTCACATCGCATGTGTGAATGCAGTCATCTGTATAAAATGTCATCATTACCTTGATCATTTCTTCTTCTCCTGCTGTTTTACTTTTTGCTTCTATGTCCCCTGCTTCATTGCATCTAATAAAGCAGCTATTTGAGGCCAACAAAGCCATTTTCCCCTAAGTGAAACAAATAACAAAATAGCCATGAGGATACTTCTTGTGGGAGAAACATTAAGTGTTTAGACTGAATTAATTTTTCCTCCCTGATTTAAAAATCACAGAAAAGAACTTAGAGAAAAACCTGAAAAATATAATACAAGAACATATAGAAAAGAAACCAAAATCACCTATCATTTTACTATTCAAAGATTACCACAATAAACATTTGTAGTGTATCTTCCTAGTAGGACTAAATTCTAAGTAGATGAGGTAGGATTGCTTCCTTTCTAAAAGATCTACTGAAGACATAACTGATTTAGTTCAGTTTGAAAAATTAACTTTAAAGACAAGAACATAATTATGAATGCATACTTTATTCAAATATTAGCATTTTAAGTAAAATTTATTTTCTTCACAATTAGAAAACATGAAAAGGTACATACAATGCTTTGGTGTTTTGAATTTAAGAATCAATGTCTGAGGGACTTTTGTGTGTGAAAATAAATATTCATATACTTTTTTAGTTGTTTAATGTTTGATATATTACACTGCTTTCTATTAAAACTTTAAAGACTGATTTTCTTGTGTATCTAAATCTGGGTTATAAATTTGGTTAGCTTAACTCCCTTAACAAATATAATGTTTATTTATAACTTGTATTTGGTTGATTCTTTTGGAAAACTTGGAATACCATAACATTTAGACAAAATATTTATAAATACAATGATTACAAAATATGTTAACCTTATATCACATCAAGTTAAAAAAGTGCTGATAACATGGATTTAATTTCTTAGTCAAGGTCACAAGGGCTGGGTGGTCTCTCATCTGGATGGCTCCTGGTGAGCCCTGGAACATGGTGGTGTGGTCCAAGACGATTTAAACCTGTGCCACAGATTATTCAGCTGAGTCCCTTTTGCAATAGTTTTAAGACCCTCTTTCATTTAAATTTAAATTTTTGAAACTTAGTGTCCTTCCTAAAAATAAAATGAAACGAACTTTCCTAAAGTGTTGTATTATTAGTACTATCTAAGTCATCATCTAAGGCCTTATGATATATTGGCCTTTTCTACCGGTGTAACTTTTATTAGAAGTATCTCATCCTAACTAGTAGGATCATCTCAAAGGGGTTGCAACACATTAGCGGGTCATGAAATCAATGTAGTGTTGTTTCCTGTACGGTATGGGGGGCGGGGGAAGGAATACACACAGACTCACAGAGGAAGGGGTAAAAGAGAATAAGAAATATCAAGGTGCATAACACATGGATAAGTAAGTATTGTTAAGTACAACTCTTGCTTCAGTTATACATGTGTGCTGGGCTGCAATGTAAAAATGCATTTCTCAATGGGTTGGGCCAAAATAGTTTTCAAGTCACTGAGTTAAGATTTTATCCTAGGGGATGAGGAAATTAGTCTAAGTGATTACCTCTTTCTGGAGGGATGTTTGTTTAATCTGTCATCTTAGAAAACACTGCTGAGTTCCTATTTTCAATTCATTAGTGTATACTACCAAAGCTGCTACTCAAAGGCTAAGCTTATCTTCTATTTGCTTGCTCTGCGTGGTGCCCATTGGTCCTTACTGTTTTTGATAAAGTTATCTACTTTTTAAAGACTGTTTAGCACTCACATATTTTTGTTCAATCTTTACTTCTCACACAAACAGAAAAAGGAAATTATGTATTCTGTGTCAACAAAGATTTAACAAAACATCCATATACAACTGTCTACTTACTAAAATTAAGAATTAGTATATTATCTTTTTTCTTCTTATATTAAAACTATCTTTTCGTATGCTATTTTAAGCTTATGAACTGAAAGTCTTTTAGAGATAATTTACTTCAATGAACTATTATTATTTATTTTATGCACAAATTGTCACAACTTGGTCTTAGCAAGCTCCACTGTTCGCTTACAGTCTCTAATGTTTCTGAAAGCATCCATGATTTCTGCTACAAAGATACTTAGGAACTACTCTGTTTTCCTACTCTGAGACCTAAAATTGACTGGTTCTTCAATGGAAATGAGATCCATATCTAGGCACTAAGGGTATACAGAAATAATTGTGGGCAAAAGGACTAATGCGATTTTTGTTGCACTATATTTTGAGATCTCTTTAAGGCTCTATGTTCTTATTGATTTATTCCTATTTAATGTATTACACTATTGCATCCTACTTTTTCTTTTTAAATATATTATGATTGACTGTTAACAGACTTTCTGTTAAACTGACAGGAAGTTTTTATAAACAATAACAGCACTTACATTTTGAAAGACTGGTTCCCATTGTTCTCTTGGTCCAATTGCATCTGAACGCCCAACAACAAGTCCATCTGAATTTATACCAAGATATTTTCCATAGCCAGACTTCAGGGCGATTCTGTACATTAATAACATAGATAAAAGTTAAAGACTGAGAGAAAATTAATTATAGGACATCAAAACAGGACATGCGTATGTGTGTGGCTGTGTACATATCTAAAATTTCAGACTGCACATATTCCAAGTCTTCAAAAGCTGCATGTGGCTGAGTGGTGACTCACTCCTGTAATCTCTGTGCTTTGGGAAGCCAACGGGAGAATTGCTTGAGGCAAGAAGTTCAAGATCAGCCTGGACAACACAGTGAGACCCCATCTCTACAAAAAATTTAAAAAGTTAGCTGGGCATGGCGGCATGCACATGTGATACCAGCTACTTGGGAGGCTGACGCAGGAGGATTGCTTGAGCCCAGAAATTTGAGGTTATAGTGAGATACGGTCACACCACTGCACTCCAGCCTGGGTGACAGAGTGAGACTCTGTGCCTTTAAAAAAAAAAAAAAGAAAAAAGCTACATGTGACTAGTTGCTGCCATGTTGGACAGTGCAGTTTTAAATTTAGTTTTATATTGTGCTTTTTTAATATAAACATTGTACCTTATATATTACATAACAAATATTTTTGAAATTCATCATTCTTCAATTATACCTCTTTAGTTATAAAGTTCAAGAATAAATTACTAAAACTTACTTTTTCTCTTATTATAAATAGTTCTATGTACATCTATTCTGTACATAAAACTGCTTTATCCTTAGAAAAAATTCCTAGAAATAACTGGATCGAAGAGTATAAAGTTCTTATGTCATCAAACTGTTTTCCAGAAAATGCTGCTTCCATTTACATTCTTACCTCAAATTAACAGAGTATGTTTTGTATCACGCATTTTTTTTTAAACATTATGACTTTAAAAAAATACTTGAAAACCTGATATGGAAAAAACAGTATCCTATAAATTTGCATTTTAGTAGTTAACTAGAATAACAATTGTTTTTCTTTTCCTTTCCTTTTTAGTTTTTAGATTATCTGGTAATGTCCCTTGTCCATTTTTCTATTGAGATCTGATTGTTCGCAGTTTTTCTACTGGGGTCATCAGTGCTATGAATTCTATACAAGATACATATGAAGAGTAAGAACTCACTGCCTATTAAGATTGTTGCAAATATTTTCCTCATTTGTCAGTTAATTTTCTTTATAATCCTTTTTTGTTTATAATTGTAAAGCAGTTTAAAACTATTGAATTTTTTCTTCCTCTGCTTTTATTCTGTCTTTCACCATACTTATCAGACTTTCAAAGAAAGTACAGAAATAATCATCTTAATGTGATTTTTTAAAATTATGATTTCTAATCTTTTACCTTACCGAGAATCTCCTGGGATGCCAGAATTGACTTTTACTCCTTTATACATTAATGATTATATAACAGAAATCATTATCATATTGATGTAACCAATTACTAAAATATGTAAATTCACTTTCAGTATCTTCTGCCCAAAGAATCGTTCTATACTTTTGCACAAGGTGAGAATAAAAAAGGTTACTTTATAAAATGACTGTAAAAATAGTGAGTAAAAATATTCTTTTGGTCGTTATGATTCTGTAACATTCTCTGCTGGTTTCAACAATATTCCTTTTTTTAGTCTTCCTGTTTGCCTTTGGACTTCCAAACAGTGAGTTTAAATATCACAGCAACAGTGAACCAGGTTTTGTACTATTTGATTCATTTTTTAATCTATCTTATTCGGTATGTGAAATTATTAATCTTCACTTTTTAACTTATTTTTTTTCCAGCCTAGCATTATATATTGATAGGAAATCCATTAAAAGTAGATCACAAAATCTACTTTTCAAAAAAGCTATTTTGTTTTTTACATCAAAATTACCCTGTGGGCTTAAGACAGATACTAAAATTTTTAATGAATACAATTAAATTTTTAAAATAACTGGTTACTAATTATATTACAACATAAGCTCACCTGGAATCAGATAATTTGACAGCCGTAAACTGCTCTGGAGGACTAGGGCCCTCATCAACTATTGGAGAAAAAACATTTGAAAATAAATTTGACATTTGCTATAAATATAAAGACATTATTTTGTTTTAAAAAATGTGGCTATTTTCTTCTGCAATTAAATGTAAGAATATTCAGATATACTGATGTCACTGTAATACTGTATCTTTGGAATCAAGATCTATTTTACCTTCTTTTAACTACAGTGTTAATTTTATACACTGAGTAAGACAGGGTGATATAATGCTTATTTAATAACTTTTGAGATAGCTTCTCTTTATGTTTTAAAATACAGTCATAAATAAGCACTTATTTAAAAAGCTAAATGCTTTCACTTATTCAAGGGATGGCCTTGCTGACCAAATGATACTGCTTTTTATCTTCTAATTACTTCATATCTCATTAGTGCTTCCTCTAATGGGCTAAAGAAAATGAGGAAACTTCAAACTGTTAAACGCACCCAGGTTAGTTTTGGCAATAGGTCTGAATAAAAAAGAAATTCAAACATTTTGACTCAAATAGGTTTTCTTTTTTCTTTCCACTTACTATTTTAATTATTCATGTTATTTTGATTTCCAAAGATACTCTTCTGGAACTATACGGAATGTTTTCAAATGCTTATATTAGAAAGAGGGACTTGCCAATGGCTGGTAAATATTAAGGAATTAAAAAAAAATGGAAGAGTCAAATGCAATGGTTCCATTCCTTTGGAAAATGTTTGAGACTAGTTAGAGTTTGGCCTAAGTGAATGAATGTCCTAAAATCTACACTTGTGGCAGCCTCTTCCCTTCCAGACACAAACCTTCTTTGTGTGGAGCTCCCAGGGTAAAAAGACCATTGTCGAGTGCATGTATATAGGTTCCCTTATCCATTTCAATGGCTATGGTTCCTGAAATTTCACCAAAGTTTGTTACTGTCCACCAGATTCCTAAAAAATAAAATCAATATTTCAACTTTATATTTTAGTTTTGACACAGAGTTCTTTTTTTTGTTATTATAACTTAATTTTAAAAACTTCTTATTTTGCAGTTGTAAGAAATAATACAAAGATCTCACATATTCTTTACTCACTTTGTCTCGATTAAATCTTGCATAAGTATCATACACTGTCAGAATCAGGAAACTGAAATTGATATAATCCATGAAGCTTATTCAGATTTCACCAGTTTTACATGTACTTGTTTGCATGTATGTGCAGAGATTCATGCGACTACCAGCACAGTCAGGATTAGGTTTTTAAAACATAAAATAGCAACATACAGCCAGGCATGGGGGTGCATGCCTGTAATCTCAGCTACTCGGGGAGCTGGGGAAAGAGGATCACTTGAGCCCAGAGTTCAACGTTATAGTGAGCTATGATCATGCCACTGCACTCTAGCCTGAGTGACAGAGCAAGGTCCTGTCTCAAAAAAAGACCAAAACAAAACAAGAGGCAACATGTGAAGGTACAAAGTGACATATAGAGAATGGTCTCTCTCATGATAGACCCCAGTCATCTATTTCATGCCTGCTTTCCAGAGCCAATGCCTATCATAATGTTTCTTAAAAATGCCTCTACAGGAAGACTTTCTAGCATAGCAATCTTTTTTTTTTTTTTTTTGAGACGGAGACTCGCTCTGTCGCCCAGGCTGGAGTGCAGTGATGCGATCTCGGCTCACTGCGACCTCTGCCTCCCGGGTTCAAACAATTCTCTGCCTCAGCTTCCCGAGTAGCTGGGGTTACAGGCGCCTATCACCATGCCTGAATAATTTTTTTTGTATTTTTAGTAGACACGGGGTTTCACCACATTGGCCAGGCTGGTCTCAAACTCCCGACCTCGTGATCCACCCGCCTCTGCCTCCCAAAGTGCTGGGATTACAGGTGTGAGCCACCGCGCCTGGCCAGTAATCTTAACTATGATTTTAGATTGAAAGTAAAATGAGCAGAATCTATGTCTATGTATACTAATTTCCAATTTGCCAATAGAAATATTAGACTCTAGGAACAATTATTTAAGCCGTTGTTATAAAAGTTTATATCTTAATGTTAAAAAATATCCTCAAACCTCCTCCTAAATTGTACTTTAGCTAGAGTAGAAATGAGTCAATCATTAACTGGATATGACATATTAAGGAATTCTTGTTAATTTTACAAGGTCTGATAATGACATAGTATAATATATAAAAATAAAGAACAAAACAGGTGATGACAGAAAGACATACCACGTTAAGAAATGTACGTTTATGTACTCATGGGTAAAATGACATAACATCTGTGATTTTACTTAAAATTTTCTAAGAAAAAATGTGTGTGGGGGCATGTGTGTAAATGAAATGAGATTGGCAAAATATTGATAATTAATGCTGGGGCCTGGGCACATGGGGGACTCATTATATTCTTCTATGTATGGAATAGTTTGGATATTTCCATAATAAAAAGGTTTTAAAGATTCAGTTAATTCCACTGCACAAAATTTTCTATTCAACTAAACATTTCATGCTTTCCATAATAAATTTTAAAATACATAAAATTTTAGCTAAAATGAAGTTGGACCCTTATCTAATGCCAAATACAAAAAGTAACTTAAAACAGACCAAAGACCTAAATGTAAGAGCTAAAGTTAGAAAACTTTTAGAAGAAAATGGGAAAAGCTTCACGACATGAATTTGGCAATGATTTCTTATGTAGAACATCAAAGGCACAGGCAACAAAAGAAAACGTGGACAAACTGGACTTCATCAGAATTAAAAACTTTTGTGCATCAAGAACCGCCATCAACAGAGTAAAAGGCAACCCAGGGAATGGAGAAAATATTTGTAAACTACATACATTATAAGGAATTAATATCCAGACTATATAGAGAACTCCAAAAAGACAAATACCACAATTCAAAACTGGGCAAAGGATATACACGGACATTGCTCCAAAGATGATATACAAATGGCCAATAAGCACTTGAAAAGACGCTCAACATCACTAGTCACTAGGGAAATATAAATCAAAACCATAATGCAATACCACTTCACACCCATTAGAATAGCTATTATCAAAACAAACAAACAAACAAAAAACAGAAACCAAGAAAGCCAGAAAAACAAATGTTGGGCAGGATGTGGAGAAACGGAAACCCTGTGCAATGCTGGTGGGAAGGTAAAATGGTGCATGTATTTAAATGCCACTGAAGCATACACGTAAAAATAGAAAAACTGGCAAATTCTATATTCTGTATATTTTACCTCCACACACACACAAAACCAATGGAGAAAAAGAAAATTAATCAAAATTAAAATTTCAGCTAAAGACAATTAAAAAGAAATAAAACTAATAAGCAATTTAGATGATTGAATTATAGCTACAATTGTTTTCAGGAAAAGAAATAATGCTTTATTCAGAATCATTATCAACAGTGTTATGATTAGCAAGTCTTTCTTATAAATATAATAGTTAATGATTTTAAATTAGATTTATTTTGTATGTTCTATGCCACATTGACCAAGTACACTTAATATTAAATAAAATCATTTAAATATAATAACTCATTAATGTTTTGCAAATGAAGAAGAAATTTCTGGCAGACAAGCTCCTTAAAATTTTCACACTCTGTCCAAGTAGGGAAATGATACAATAACGTTACTTTAATATTGTCAACTGAAAAAGAAATTACTTTGAGCAGATGCCAGTATTTTTTCTCAATGCAATTTCAAAGAATAAGAAATATAAACACAGTATCATCAAGAATTAAATGTGAGCATTCTGCCTACTTTCTGCAAGTGGCCTACATTCAACCTTTGGAGGTATGCTTATATGTTTATCGACTAAAGTAACATAACATAATACTTAATGGTGCCACTCTGGGGTTTTAGCTGTGAGAAAGCAGTGGATCCTATGAACACGGGCACTGAAGTTGCCTGTCTCTACGTCAGGTGACAGCTCAAGCTGTGTATATGGTGCAGATGCCCAAGCTGAATTTAAGAGAATCCGCTCTAAAACATTACTTGCTATTTAGACACATGCTTAAAGTTATTTCCTTTTAAACCTTAGGCAGATGGTGAAATATTCCTGCTGTGTTGTCTCACAATGCATGAGAAAGCTTTACACATATTGTCACATAGTTTAGAATGTTTACATATGTCTGGCATGCCTGTAATCCAGCACTTTGAGAGGTGGAAGCAGGAGAATCACTTTAGCCCAGGAGTTCAAAATCAGCCTAGGCAACAAAAGGAGACCCCCATCTCTACAAAAAAATTAAGAAATTAGCTGGGTGTGGTGGTACGAGCCTGTGGTCCCAGCTACTCGGGAGTCGGAGGTGAGAGGATTGCTTGAGCCTACGAGGTCGAGGGTGCACTGAGCCACGATCATGTCACTGCACTCCAGCCTGAGCAACAAAGCAAGAGCCTGTCTCAAAAAAAACAAAACAAAAAAATGGCCCAATGCACCAGTGTCATGGCTGATAAGATAGTACCAGGGCACCCTCATTCTAGCATCAAGGCTGTGTGACAGCTCACCTCACCTTCTGACTAACCCAGTGCTTCCGTGCTAAGGGCCCCCTTAAATCTCTACTATCATTATGTGCTTGGCACAAAGGAATGATATATCTTAGATTTGGAAATGGAATTTTCTTCCCCAATCTTACTGTAGTCTAAGTACCCTTCACAGACCTTCTATTAATCCACAGCTGACTTAGCTTTAGTTCCTGGGTAAATAAAATATATGTGTTTTGCAAAGTACGATGTTGTAAGTCCAACTGCTTCTGAATCTAGCAGAGCTCAGTGAAACTCTTTGCCTACAGACATGCTCGTTTTTATTAATGTCACACTTGGTTTTCTCCATGTGAAAGACAGAATTTCTTTCATCCTATTTACCAATCCCTTCAGATCCTTGTGAGGAACCAACAGAACAGCTTTAAAAAATTAAAAGGTTTTTTTTCTTTCCCTTCACAAATAGGCACATGCTTACTTATACGGCAAGTTTAGAAAATCCACAATGCAAAACCATGTGGAAGGACAAAGAGAAAAAGACGCAGAAGGACTTCCTCTTCCAGCCAAGATGGACTTGCCCTCCCACCATGACCAACGAGAAAACTGAAACTGGATAGAATATTTGAGAAAACTGTTTTCAGAGATTGGAACACAGGCAGAACAGGACTGTGATATTTGAGAACAGGAAAACACTGGAGGCAAATCTCATACACACTTGTGTTTTCTGCCCAATGGCAGTTTCTTGACCACACGGAGAGAGGTAGAGACCTCCAGAAATGAGGCAATGTCACTGTCACTAAGCTGAGAGTCTTACAGTGCTAACATGTTGGGAGTTTATAGAATAAGGTACTGGAGAAGAGGGAACTACATACAGGTGAGGCCTCAAAAGAGTACGCAAAAGTTCTCTGCAGGTCTGTGGCCAAGGGCTGGGGGGAGTGCATGCAGCAGGCAGGCTCCACAAGGCCTCTGCAGAGTGGCTGGCACTTCTGAGGGCTGACTGGAGATGCCAGAGATCACACAAATTTGGGACACAGCAGAGTGGAGAGAACTCACTAAGTATACCTAGAACATGTGGCTGAGGCCCATGAGGATGAACCTTTCCTAGACTAAGAGTCACTGTCTAAGTCTACGAGCAAAACCCTAATAAATAAGCACAAACTAACAAAGGCCCAGGCTTGACAGGAGCAAAAGGGTGGTCAAATAATTTGACTAGGCATCAAGACATTTAACAGAAATAAGGTTAAAATGTTATGAAAATGAAAGACTGAATTTATAAGGAAGACTTAACAATCCTAAATGTGTACACATGACGGCTTCAAAATACTTTAAGCAAAAACTGCTCAAGTAGACAGATCTAGAATTACCGCTGGAGATTTTAACATAACTATCAATACACTGTAGCATTAGTAAAAAATCAGTAAGGACACAGAAGATATGCATAGTCACAAGCTCTACCAGTTGATCTAACAGACATCTAAAGAACACTGAACTGGCCGGGCACCGCGGCTCACGCCTGGATCCCGCCGAGGCGGGAGGATCACCTGAGGTCAGGAGTTTGAGACCAGCTTGGTCAACGTGGTGAAACCCTGTCTCTACTAAAAATATTTAAAAAATTAGCCGGGTGTGGTGGCAGGTGCCTGTAATTCCAGTTACTCCGGAGGCTGAGGCAGGAGATTCACTTGAACCTGGGAGGCGGAGGTTGCAGTGAGCCGAGATTGCACCACTGCACTCCAGCCTGTTGGGCAACAGCGAGACTCCATCTCCAAAAAAACAAACAAACAAACAAACAAAAAACCCTGAACCAACATCTGCAGAATACACATTCAAGTCTACATGGAAATTCACTAAGAAAGTATGTTCTCCAACTATACTATAAATGAATTAGAAATCAGCAACAATAACATACCTATAATATCTCTATGTAGTAGAAATTAAAAACAATATACTTTTAAATAACTCACGTGTCCATGAAAAGAAAAATCACAAGGAAAACTAGATGATATTTTGAATGGAATGAAAATGAAAACAAAATGTGTTGACTATAACTGAAACTAAAGTGGAATGAAGAGATCTAACTCCCTTCCTAAGAAGCAATAAAACAAGAGCAAAGTAAACTGAAAATAAGTTAAAGGGAGGAAAAAAATAAAAGACTGAAAATAAATGAAATAGAAAATGAAAAAAAGAGAAAATAAGTAATATTGAAACAGGCTTGTCCAACCTGAGGGCCACATGTGGCCCAGGCCAGCTGTGAATGCAGCCCAACACAAATTCATAAACTTTCTTGAAATATTATGAGATTTTTTTGCTTTTTTTTTTTTTTTGGCTTATCAGCTTATCGTTAGTGTATTTTATGTGTGGCCCAAGACAATTCCTCTCCTTTCATTGTGGCCCAGGGAAGCTAAAAGATTGAATACACCTGTACTAAACGATCATTAACGATCTAAAATAAATGATCTTGTAAAGAATTGAGAAACCTCCAGCTAGACTGACTGATCCAGGAAAACATAGCAAAAACACAAATTACCAATATGAAGAGACTGCAATACAGATGAGATTCTACGGACATTAAAAGCATATTAAAGGAATATTCTGAACAATTCTATGCCAATAAATCCAACAACTTAGATGAAATTTTCTTAAAAGACACAAATTGCCAAAACTGACACAACAGAAAAATCTGAAAATATCTCTTAAAAAATTTTAATTTTCCCACAAAAAACTAAAACCAAACCAAACAAAACCCTCCGGGTTCAGCTGACTTCACTGGTGAATTCTATCAAACATGTAAAGAACAACTCATACCCATCTCTACACAGCTATTTCCAAAAATAGGAAAGGAGACAGCACTTTCCATCTAATTTTGTGACACCCAGTATCACCTTGACACCAAAATCAAAAAAAGACATTACAAGAAAAGGATACAAAAGTCCAATATCTCCCATCAACACCAATATAGAAATCTTAAAAAAAAACAAAAAACACAAACACCTAGAAATCAAATCTAGCAATATCCCAAAGGACAACGCACCACAACCAAGTGGGGTTTATCTCAGGGATGTAAAGTTAGTTTAAAAGTTGAAAATGAAACCAATATAATCCACTGGCAGAATGAAGAAAGCTGTATAATCATCTCAACAGATACAGAAAGAGGCATCTGACAGCATTAAACATCGTTATGATAAAAACTCCCAAGAAACAAAGTTTTAAAAGGAATGTCCTCATTTTGATAAAAGTTTTCTCTGCAGATCCTACAGACGTCATACCATATGGTGGACTACTGAAAGCTTTCTGCCTAAGCTTGAGAGCAATGCAATTATGCCCATTCTCATGACTTCTGTTCAATGCTATAGAAGTCCTGGACAGTATAATAAACCAATAAAAAGAAAGACAAGACAAAAGGATTAGAAAGAAAGAAGTAAAACGATAGTCACAGGAAACATAATTGCAAATTTCTTAGTTTTCTATATAAGCAAACCACTAGAAGTAATAAGTGAAACAGACTTAGACTACAAAGTCACTATACAAAAATCAATTGTATATCTACATACTGACAGCAAACAACTGGAAAATCAAATTCAAAGGTTCTATTGACAGTAATGTAAAATTATAAAATACTTAAGAATAAATGTTTAAACAGGCATGCAAGATGGCTACATTGAAAATTATGAAATATTGAGGCCCAATATTAAGATGTTGATCTCCCCCAAATGATCTGGACTCAATACAGTTCTCGAGAAAATCCAACAAACTTCACTGCAGAAATTAATAAATTAACAGTTAATAAGTACAAAGTCGGAGGACTCACACTACCTGATCTCAAGACTTCATGAAATTATAGCAATCAAGAGAAATATACCAACAGAAAAACAGACAAACGTATCGATAGAACAGAGTCCAGAAACAGACCAATACATAGAAAGTTAATTGATTTTTTATGAAGATACCAAAGTGGATTAATGGAAAAAGGAAACACCAGTGGTGCTGGCACAACTGGCTATCAAGATGTTTAAAAAAAAAAAGTAAATCTTGAAACCGAACTCACAACATCATGCCAAAATTTAATTTGAGATGAATGACAGATTTAATGTAAAAACTAAAACTATGATGCCTCTAAAAGACAATGTAGAATATTTTCCTGACTTTGGGGTAAGCAAAGATCTCTTAGATCAAAGACATAAGACAGTAACCATAAAAGAAAAAAAAAATAAACTGAGCTTTATAAAAATTAAAAGCTTCTGACCATCCTGGCTAACATGGTGAAACCCTGTTGCTACTAAAAACACAAAAAATTAGCCGGGTGTGGTGGCAGGCACCTGCACTCCCAGCTACTCGGGAGGCTGAGGCAGCAGAATGGCATGAACCCGGGAGGTGGAGCTTGCAGTGAACCGAGATCGCATCACTGCATTCCAGCTTGGGAGACAGAGTGAGAATTTGTCTCAAAAAAAAGCTGCTCATCCAAAAACCACCATTAAGAAACTGAAAAGGTAAAACTCAGACTGGGAGAAAAGACTGATAACACCATCAACTCTTGGCAAGGATGTAACTGGAGCACTAATTCATTCTTGGTAGGAGGGTAAAATGGCACAACCACTTTAGAAAACTTTTGGCATTTTCTTATATAGTTAAACATTCACCTATCCTTTGACACAGCAATTCCACATCTACATATCTACCCTAGATATTTACCCTAATTTTAGAATTGTTGATTTGCCATTTTGAAAGCAATGATTCTTCCAGAACATTAGCTTTATACCATTCCATATTTTATATATTAAGTTACCATAATTTATGAAGATTCAAAATGCAACTTGCCAAGTTTTAAAAGAGAAAAAAATATGTATGGAAAAGAACTAAACGGAAAACAGGCTGGTTAAGTGTGTTTAGGTCAGTTTATTTCTAGTATCATTTACAGGCTACCCTGATGTTGTATTTAAAATTTTCATTCATTTCAGAGTTCACAAAATAATGATTTTTCCTGTGAAGATACTTCCTTTAAGAGACAACCGACTTCTACAATTAAAATGCATACATGTGCAAAGAAAATAACTTGTAAAAGATATTTGGTTGAATAACATTTACATTAGGCCTTTAAAATTATGTATTAGAATCTCTGGCTATTAAGCAGTCTAATGGTGCCTACTAAGTCAGAGAGTTATAATTTTTCTCTCCTGATAATGAAGTAAAGGCATCAGTAGCATCTACTGTGTTAAAGAATAAATGGAATTTATAACTGTAGGTAATATTTAAGCACTTTAAGACAAATATGAATACATCATAAATTTCTAACTAGGAAAACACTTTCAAGGAGATCTCAAGAAACATTAACTTTTTTCAGAATAGAGCACTGAAAACTGACTCACCAACAATATCAAGCTGGGTTTCTTCATCTTCTTCTCTTTTTCTTTTCTTATCTTTGCTCTTTTTCTTCTTACTACAGGACATAATTTATATAGACGAGTTTAGGTATATTGATTTGTACGATAAATATTGTAAGATTGAAACTTGAAAGTCTTTTAAGCTGTTTCATTTATAAATTATTGATTTAGGAAGACTTACATTGATATGCCCTCTTAAATACAGTACTGAGAAGTTGCTTCAGGCTTTGCACATATTACGTTAGAGTTCAAAGCAGATTGTAGAGCCACACTGCCAGATTTTAAATCCTGATTCTTTCACTTCTTAGCTCCGTGATTTTTGGAAAAGGTACTGAATCTCTCTGAGTCAGTTTCCCCACTTAAAAAATTAGGATAGTAACTTAACCTAACTCTTAAGGCTATTGTGAGGATTAAGAGGTAATATGTACCTTCACACATTCCTGGTGGAAATGTAAAATGGTGCAGCATCTACAGGAAACAGTTTGGGGTTCCTCAAAAAGTTAAAGTTACCACATGACCCAGCAATTTTACTCCTAAGTATGTATACCCAAGGGAAATGAAAACATACACCCACAAAAATACTTACATAAGAATATTCACACTAGCATTAGTCACAATAGCCAAAAAGGGGAAACAACCCAAATGTTCATCAGTTGATGAATGGATGAACAAAATGATACATCCATACAATGGAATACTATGCAGCCATAAAAAGGAACAGGCGCTACAACAATGATGAACCTCAATAATGTTATAAGTGAAAGGAGCCAGATACAAAAGGCCACATGTTGCATGATTTCTTAGGAAATATTCAGAATAGGCGATTTCACATAGAGAGCGGATTAGTGGTTGCCAAGGACTAGGAGAGGGGGAGGATGGGATGTGACTGCTTTAATGGGTAGGGGGAGATTTCCTTCTGAGATGATGAAAATGCTGAGCAACTAGACAGTGGTGAACCTCTTGAATATATACTAAAAACCCCTGACTGTACAAAAGGGTGAATTTTATAATTATGAATTATATCTCAATAAAAAAATAAAAAACCAAGAGTGATTTGAAAAAAAGTTAATGTGCAAAGTGCCTACAACAATTTCTTGGCACATTGACAGTGCTATATGAGCATTAATTATGATTATTACGATGATCTTAAGACACCCGTGTCTGCATTTTCATTATAAAGTTTTCAGAAGATAACTCTCCTCTCCTCCCAGGAAATTCACAGAGTAAAAATCTCACATTCATTCAGGATAAACCTGCCATTTATTCTGGCATCTTCATGAGGCCAGACTCCTCGAGAGGGTTCTCAAGGCCAGTGGCTTCAACTCACTCCTTGATACTTTCTATCTCGCCTAAAAATATCAAAACCTCTGTTTATCACGGAGACCAGGAGGAAATACTCGACATTTGTATGTACCTCGGGCAAATCTGCCAGTTAAAAAAGAAGCGGGGATATGAGTGCACAGGTATTTTTTCCTAAAAAGCTAATAAATTACCATTACGACCTCCTCCTCACATTTGGCTCAATTTATTTTCTGCATATATGTTCTCTCATTTAATCCTCACAGTCTTCTAAAAGTATAAAAAACGTCTGAAAGTATAAATGTGTAAACGGAGGTTCAGATATTTGATCTCTTAATGAGTAAATGGAAGTTCAGACATATTAACCAATTTGCCACAAATTACAAAACTAGTAAATGACAAGAGTGCAGGTTCGAGCCCATATCCCTAAAGCCCATATACACCTCAACCACTGTGTGATTCATCCTGGTTTCACTGTACATATTAGATTAGAAAAAATTAATAAGTTTTCTAGAAAGAAAAGAGACAATGGAGAAAATAATAATCCCTAATAAAGGAAATTATCATGAACTACGAGATCAGACTAATGCAGACCCCCCAGGCAGAGGCCTGGAGAGATGCCTCAGGGGACCCAAACTCGTGGGTACGGGGTCACGGGTCACCTGCCCGTCTATCCTGTTTCCAGGGTCGTCCGCGCGGGAGGCTGCCCCTCTCTGCACAGACGCCGGGAACCGCGGCCCGGCCTCCGTCCAGCCCGGACAGGGGCCAGGGCGAAGCCTGGGAGGCCACAAAGCCGGCTCTCCGCGCCACGGCTTCCACCGGAGTTGCGGGGGTGGAGTGCGTCCGAAAAGAACGGAGGAGGCTCCCGCCCAAGCTGCAGGACCCACCTCTTCGTCTTGGTTCCCTTGAGCACGAGCTTGGTAGACTTCACGTAGGAGTACTCGGCCATGGCTCCGGGAAACTTCTGCGCGGAGAGGCTGAGGCCGGTTCTGGACGAGTATGTGAGTCGGGGCAGCACAGGGGCGCGGAGAAACAGAAGCGGACGCGAAATAAACACTCCCTGACAGCCTACGTCTCTGTAGAACCCGCCTCCGTCTTCACCCAAACGCTGAATGGCTCAGAGTTCCACTTCCGGGTTTCTGCCGGGGAGCTACGGCGGCCGCAGAGGGCCAAAAGGCATCCGCGCGCAGCTGCTCCCTGGCGCCCTCTCAAGGAGCCCCTGAGGATTCGCGCCTCCCGGAAGGGAGAAAAGCCCGCCCGAGGCGCGGTGCTGACGGTGGCTGGGCTGCCGGGTGCGCTGTGGAACCGCCTCCTGCTAGAGCAGCGGGCTGGCGACGGTCCTCGCCGGGGCGGGAAGCGGCTCAGGCTGCCCTCGCTGGCCTGCGGCGGCGCGGCTGGAAGCGCGGGCCACTCGTGCGTGGGTCACTCAGGACTGCGCCTCGCGCGACTGTGTGTGCAGGAAACAAGCAGGAAATACCCTAAAAGAGAATGAAGCGCCATGTTGAGGGTCGCGGACGTCGCGAGTGCTGTGGGAATGTGGGCTGAGGTGGAGAGTTATGGTAGCCCGTGTTACAGGCTCAGGGGTCTGAAAGAAGCCTAATCGTGGAGGCGGCATCTGAGGAGGGTCTTGAAGGCTGGGCAGGCATTTGCCCGACAGAGATGGAGGAAGCTAGTCCTGTCTGATGGAGGAAACAGGGCGGAGGCGTGGAGGGAGCCGTGCAGCGCTGGTGTGAGGAGCAGCGAGCAGGCCAGGCCTGTAAAGCAGAGTGAGGGAACCAGGATAGAGAAGGCAAGTCGGGGTCCTGTGGTCGCTGAAGAATTTGAATGAAATCAGTAAACAGGTGAGAGGGATCCATCGCAAGAGCATGGGATGAAAGGAGGAGTAGTCCACGGTGATTCCTCTGCAGCGGTGGGTGTTATTAATCGCGTATGTGACACCAAAACCACCCCACTCAAGCTGTGGCTCTTTCCCTAAAGTAGAAAACCGAGACCAGTTGGGTTCCAAGCATCCACGAAGATCTTATTAAATTCGTGATCCCTGGTGGCACCATGGAGTCAGGATTGGCTCATCTCAAACCTGACTCAGAAACAAAACCGTCACAATGTGCAGAGATGAGCGTCCTTACCGCTATCAACGTATTTTCTGGTGTTTTCACAGTGCTGCGCTTCCTAATCCCCATTCCATGGCAATCCACATGCCATGATGCCCGGAGTCATTAACAAAGGAGACACACAGGGGCTCCTCACGTTGGCTTTCCAGGGTTTTGATGAAAATCTGTTTCCTCGTCTCATACAATGTGGTTAGTAATAGTATCATTTAGGGTTGAAGAATTAAATGGTACGAGTTATATAGGGTGCTTATTATAACCTACATGGAAAATGCCTAGGATATGTTAGCTATGCTCATCACCAACATCGTTATATGATGGTAATAATCAGATAGTCAGGAAGCCTGACACCAAGAAAATGGATACATGCTCTGAAGGAATGAATGTGGAGAGATCAGAAGGTCAAGAACAAAGTCGTACAATATGTCTACAGTAAAGGGATAGAGAAAAGAAAGGCTATAAAAGAAGGAATGAAACAGAGTTAAATTATAGAAATCAAAGCTAAGGAGAATTTCCAGAAAGGGTAGTATCATTTAATATCATAGAAGTTTAGGAGCCCAAGATGGAAAAAAGGCCTCTGGGTAACTGACATTGAGGCAGTCTTTGGGGAAGCTCCATTTCCGATAGAGAAGTAGACTGAAAGTCAGCTTGAAGCAGGGACTAGGTGAAGAAGCTGTTGGCTGGTCGCATGGGGAAATAAATAAGGGATGGCATATGCCGTATTTCTGGATTTCTTTCTTTCTTGCCCAGCCTCTATATATGCACAGAGTTTGGCGAAAACTTACAAAAAATAAAAATGAAACCAATTTCGTTTGTAGACCCAAATACAATGCTTTCTGTTAGAATCAAGATAAATTCATGCCTCTCCCTTCTATTCAAACCGTCAGTTTTGAAATTAAACATCAGCTTTTCTTCTTCATTAAAATCATTTTCAGCTCTTCCCATTGATGGTTTGGGGGAGTTGCATAAGCAGTCAGGTCTTGATGAGTAGAGGAGGAGGGAACAAACACTTTCAGCAAAGGCAGAATTCTGAAATTCTGCTCATATTTTTTTCCAGTAACTTTCCTATGTTTGTGAGGTTATTCAGTCATAAAGATCCTAGTGAAATGTTTTTCAAGCTTTACTAATCATAATCACTGTGGACATTTGTTTAAAATGTGTATTCCCAGGCCTCTCACCTGGTGATTCTGATTCAGGAGATCATGGATGGGACTCAGCATACATGTGTTTGACAAGTATCACAAGTGGTTCTTATGGTCAGGCAAATTTGGGAAACTAACCAGGAATTTATGTTTTTATGACTGGCAGCTAGAAAAGATTCCTAGAGTCTTTGCTTTTTGAAAATAAAATATTTCTTTTTTAAAAGGAAAATTGTATGACTAGATACAGCATTTATACATGTGATAAATGTACTATACTGTGTGCTTTTGTCATATTTACAGTTAAAGATGTGTAAGAACACTCTGAGAAAAATTGTATATTAAATGAAAAGAGGGGTAAGTCAGGGTGGGGGAGAAATGAGAAGGGTGTGCTTATTGTTGCTAAAAGTTAGAAAAGCCAGAATGATAGCATCTAAGGTTGCAAATAGCACACTGTAAGTTGAGGGAGCTTCACAATCATGTCTGAAGCCTTCTTTGATATGCTGAGTTGTAAACAGTGGCTTTGGACAAGATTTGAGGGAGAAACCAACTATGCTTTAAAGTGTTCATTTAAAAGTCTTTAATTAAAGGAAAGTCTTTGCATTTACTTGAGCTAATTTAACTTCAGGACTTTAAGAAATTACTAGCCCTTAACCTCTTAAAAATTGTCTTTCATTTCAAATGAAAGTTTAAGGTGGCCTTTATGTTCGATTGGTATACTTGTGCGAAGACTTAACAGCAAGGTACTGTACAATTCTAAATGTTTACTTCTTAATTTTGCTGGAAGAAATATACTACTCAATTGATTATTTTTAAAGCAAAGTAAAACAATTTATTTTGACAAGTGACACTGTATTTTCCTAGTTTTTTGGTGGCAAAGATTAGTCTTAACATCACTAATCATCAGAGAAATGCAAATCAAAACCAAAACGAGATACCATCCTACACCAGTCAGAATAGCTACTATTCAAAAATTGAAAAACAACAGATCTTGGGAGGCTGTGGAGAAAGGGGAACATTTACACATAATTGGTGCAAATGTAAATTAGTTCAGCCACTGTTCAAAGCGGTTTGGAAATTTCTCAAAGCATTTAAAATAGAATTACCATTCAAGCCAACAATTCCATTACTGGTATATAACCCAAAGAGAATCAGTTATTCTACCAAAAAGACATATGCACTTGCATGTTCATCGCAGCACTATTCACAATAGCAAAGACATGGAGTCAGCCTAGGTGCCCATCGACAGTGGATTGGATCAATAAAATGTGGTACATCTACACAGTATGATTAGGCCATTCTTGCATTGCTATGAAGAAATACCTGAGGCTGGGTAATTTATAAGGAAAAGAGATTTAATTGGCTCACATCTCTGCAGGCTGTACAGGAAGCATGGTGATGGCATCTGCATGGCGCCTGTGGAGGCCCCAGGGAGCTTTTACTCATGATGGAAGGCACAGAGGGAGTAGGCACATCACATGGTCCGAGGAGGAGCAAGAGAAAATGGGAGTGGGGGTAAGTACCACACACCCTTACACAACCAGATCTTGAAAGAATTCACTATCACAAGGACGGCATCAGGCCATGAGAGATCCATCCCCATGACCCTACCAGGCCCCACCTCCAACACTGAGGATTACATTTCATCATGAGATTTATAGGGGCCACCTTCCAAACCATTTCATACACCACGGAATACTATGCAGCCATAAAAATAACAAAATCATGTCCTTTGAAACAACATGGATGCAGCCGGAGGCCATTATCCTAAGTGAATTAATGCAGGAACATAAAACAAAATACCACATGATCCCACTTATAAGTGGGAGCTAAACACTGGGTACTCATGGACATAAAGATGGAAAGAATAAACACCGGGACTACTAGAGGGGAGAAGGAGGAAGGCAAGGTTTGAAAAACTACCTATTGGGTATTATGCTCATGTATTAATCTGTTCTCACACTGCTGTAGAGAACTACCTGAGACTGGGTAATTTATAAAGAAAAGAGGTTTAACTGACTCACAATTCCACAGGCTGTACAGGAAGCATGGCTGGGAGGCTTCAGGAAACTTATAATCATGGCAGATGGTGAAGGGGGAAGCAAGGCACGTTCTACCATGGCGGAAGGAGAGCAAGTGAGCCAGGGGGGATTTGCCATATGTTTAAACCATCAGATGTCATGAGAACTCACTTACCATCTAAGAACAACAAGGGGGAAATCTGCCCTCATGAGCTAATCACCTCCCACCATGTCATTCCCCCTACATTGGGAATTACAATTCAACATGAGATTTGGGTGGGGACACAGAGTCAAATCATACCAAATCAGCATCTGGATGATGGGATCATTCATACCCCAAAACTCAGCATTATGAGATATACCCATGTAACAAACTGGCACATGTACCCCTGAATGTAAAATACAAGTTAAAATTATTTTCAAAATAAATTAATTAATGAATAAATAAATATTATTAAATTAAATTAAAATTTTGAATTAAAAAAATTTGAGAGTGATTTCAGCTTGACAGTTATGTAAGTTATGTAAATGGAAACAGTGAGTTCTGTAAGGTTCGGATAAATTGGACTATGTGTACTAAGTTGATGTCCAGTTGTTTGGATGAAAAGAAAAGAGGAGAAACATATAGATCTAACAGGAAAAAAATGGACAAGTTTTTATGATAGCAAAAAGAAAAATGGAGGAAATAGGACTGAGATTATAGTGATTGATAGATATTAATAGACGACTAAGTCAAAAGCCACTGGTTGCAGAAAATATTGATTAATTTTGTTTTATTCCAGTCAGACAACAAAATTCTATGCCCTGCCTCCAGAGAAAAACCTTTTAGCCCTGTAATTATCTTTATTCCAAGCACCATTCCATTCATTAAGTAGTGTATACGGTGATTAATAAGTGAATTATTCACCGAATTGAGACAGAAGTTTTGAGTATTTCAGGATATTAATAGTATAGTCAATGAACTAAAATAAAATTTGACTAGAGGTGTGATCACCATGAATGCCATGTTGGTATCTTGTTAGATTTGGCAACCTAAAGTTGACAAATTTATTTATAAAATAAACATTCATTGATGATTAATTTATAATTAGTAGACATGCTCTGTCTTCTTCCTTCGTTTTCTTTTTCATTCATTCATTCATTCCTACAGAGCAGTGACTTTCATTCTAAGATTCCCAGAATCCTAAGGAATTCTTGAACGTCATCATAGGGAGCCAGGTGTGGGGATTCCCAAAAGTTGTATTTAATACTTGAAAAAATCTCGAAAAGTTATATATTTACACCAGAAACAGCTATACAGGTTTTAAGTTATGTATATATAGTTGAATATATTTTATTTCTATCCAGAACTAAGTCATTAGAGTTAGTAATGTTGATTATTTCATACTGACCTAATGGGTAGCCTTTATATATCATTGATTACTTATTAATAAAATAAGAACCACCCCCAAAATTACAAAATAAATATATTTTGTGGGTTTTTCTTAAGGCTTTTGAAACATAAAATCAGAGGAGAGGATTAAAAGTAATCCGTGATTGTTAAAAAGGCAGGAAACTACTAACTTAGAAAATTGTATGAAAACAGCAAGATATATACATGGACCTCAGACCAGCTGCCTGTTTTAATAAAGTTTTATTGGAGCACATCCATGGATCTATGGTGCTTTCCTGCTACAATGGTAGAGTTGAATGGTTGCTATAGAGACCGTATGGTTTGCAAAGCTTAAAATATTTATCATCTGGTCCTTTATAGCAAAAGTGAACCCAGTTTTAGAACATTCACTTCACAAATTAAGATACAGTGGATGCTGCCTTAACTGACCTCCACTTAACTGATTTACAATTAGCACTTTCTGGTACCCCTGTACAACTTATTGACTGATGTCCATTGCAAACTGAAAGCCTTTGAGCTACTTTTAATGCCTGTACATTTCTCCTTCCATCACAGAAATTATATAGTTTCTAAGAGGAAGCTGTGTTCATTCCTAAATATGTTTACACCATTTGTTCTTGCTCTTGTAGTTATGCAATTTAATTAAATATTATATTGGGAGGCTAAGGAGGGCGGATAACTAGGTCAAGAGATCGAGACCATCCTGGCTAACATGGTGAAACCCGGTCTCTACTGAAAATACAAAAAAATTAGCAGGGCGTGGTGGCGGGCGCCTGTACTCCCAGCTACTTGGGAGGCTGAGGCAGGAGAATGAGGTGAACCTGAGAGGCGGAGCTTGCAGTGAGTAGAGATGGCACCACTGCACTCCAGCCTGGGCAACAGAGCGAGACTCCATCTCAAAAAAAAAATAAATAAAATAAAAAATAAATATTATGTAAACTGAGAAAATGAGTACAACAAGAGTAGTATTGTTGTTTCTTTGAGAAATAAACCAAATGTGTTGGGAAAATGAGACACTCAAACAGTTGCTGCCAACTTAACAGTGGGCAAGACAACTAGAAACAAATGGGAAAAATTGTATACTCTAGGATTTCAGATTGCTTTACCCCAGTTGTCTTCACAGAAAGTGAACGAGAAATGAATGACAACATATCATTGGCATAGTTTCCACAAGAAACTCCACTCATTGAATCCGTGCAAGGCTTTGACCTTGTCATCAAAATAGTGGCAAATTTATTTACACATGTCTTTTAAATTAAAGTTGTTTTAAGGACTTACATCTAATACTTCTTATGATTCCTCCATCTAACTTAAATTTGTTATTAATCTATTTATTACTGGTCCCAATCTTATTGAATAAGGGGGTTTCTACCGTTTTTGCTAACAAAAAGTTTACTTTGATGAAGTTGGAATTATAAACACAATAATTCAAGTTTAAAGAATTAGAATGGTAATGGTTAATATAATATAGTATGCCTAAAAATCACTTGAAAAGCTTACTAACAATGCAAATTCTTGTGCCTTAGGCCTGAGATTTTGATTCAGTAGGTCTAGCATGGGGCATAGGAATCTGTATTTTTAGGAATGTTAAAGGAAAATTGCTTCAAGTAGGATAAATTATGACTTACAAATA
Source organism: Homo sapiens (assembly GCF_000001405.40). Lineage (NCBI taxonomy): Eukaryota > Metazoa > Chordata > Mammalia > Primates > Hominidae > Homo > Homo sapiens. The sequence goes on along the minus strand of NC_000004.12, from coordinate 189,933,664 downwards.
TAAAATGAACATTTGTCTAAGATTTTTGTTTAACTCATTTATTTAATGAGGGAGTCAGTAAGATGTTATAATGAGTTTTATGGAAAATTAAAAGAGCCACACATCTCTATGCACTAAGGAACACTGAAATAAATTTTCTTGATAGGTTCAAAACTGACTTCTTGATGGAAGGTGAAAAAAGGAAAATTAATTATACTTCCACCCAAATCAGTCATTTGCATGTCTATGGACAAGAATATTTGCATTACTATCAGTAATCTATGACTAACAGGATTGCAAATAACAAAGAAAACAAAAGGCAAAAAGACCCCATAGAAACAGATAACCCAGGTTATTCTAGGCAAGGCTGAGATTTCTTGAAGACACTCAGTGGTAATTTCATTGGTCCATCTTAAAATCTTTCCATTTTCTTCTGAAACAAGTTGCTCAAGCAATTCAAATACAATGAATGTGGTCAGTGGGTCACACCTGGAGAATCATTTTCTAACCTATAATCAAGACTGTTGAATTACTCCCTTCACTAGAAAGAATAAAATATTACCACATACATTTGTATTATGATAATGGCCCACTATGAATGCTTTGGCGTTCTTAATTTTCTTAAGATTTATTAATATTTCTGAAGTAACTACTAAATGCCAAGCAATATATTTTCTAATTTAATCTTTCATTGACTTTTACTTTCACTTCAATTGAGCTACTCACTTTCATGGCTATAAACTTTTCAATAACTTAAAAATTGATTTCTAATGTTATAAACTTTAATGTTCCACTCTGTGACCTGCTCTTTCAGACTCTCTCTTCCTTACTGCCAATTCACCTTCTATCTCTTCAAGTGCCCCAGTATCTTGACTCTTCCATTTTCTTTTTTTTTATTAAGTGGACACATGATAATTTCACATGTTGATGGGGTACAATGTGGTATTTTGATACATGATACATTGTTAAAACCTCTTCTCCCTAACTTTCCCAGTCTGGTAACCACTCTTCTACTCTCTATTAGATCAGTGTTTTTAGATTTCACATATGAATGAGATCATGTGATATTTGTCTTTCTGTGGTTAGCTTATTTCACTTACCACAATGTCCTCTCTACTCATTCATGTTGTCACAAATGACACGATTTTATCCTTTTTTTATGGCCAAGTGTGCATATGATATAGTTTGGATATTTGTCCTGACCCATATCTCATGTTATATTGTAATCCCCACTGTTAGAAATGGGGCCTGGTAGGAGGTGTTTGGGTCATGGAGGTGGATCCCTCATGGCTTGGTGCTATCCTCATGATAGTGAACAAGTTCTCAAGCTTCCTGAGGCCCCAGAAGCAGATGTTGGCACTATGCTTCCTGTAGAGCCCACAGAACCAGGAGCCAATTAAGTCTCTTTTCTTATAAATTATCCAATCTCAGTTATTTCTTTATAGCAATGCAAGAATGGCCAAATACAGCATATATGCCACATTTTCTTTATCCATTCATTCATTGATGGACACTTAGGTTGATTCTAGGCTATTGTGAATAGTGCTGTAATAAACATGAGAGTGCAGAAATCTCTTTGACATACTGATTTAATTTTCTTTGAATATACACCCAGTAGGGGGATTGCTGGATTATGTGGTAAGTCTATTTTTAATGTTTTTGGAAGTTATATTGTTTTCCATAACAATTGCTCTAATTTACATTTCCACCAACAGTGTATGAACATTCCCCTTTCTTCACATCCTTGCCAGCATTTGTTATTTTTTGGCTTTTTCATAAAAGGCATTCTAAGCAGGGTGAGATGATATCTCACTGTGGGTTTTTTCACTTGCATCTGTGTGAAGAGACCACTAAACTAAACAGGCTTTGTGTGAGCAATAAAGCTGTTTATTTCACCTGGGTGCAGGTGGGCTGAGTCCGAAAAGAGTCAGTGAAGGGAGATGGGGTGGGGCCATTTTATAGGATTTGGGTAGGTAAAGGCAAAAGGGGGGTTGTTCTCTGGCGGGCAGGAGTGGGGGTCACAAGGTGCTCAGTAGGGGAGCTTTTGAGCCAGGATGAGCGAGGAAAAGGAATTTCACAAGATAATGTCATCAGTTAAGGTACGAACAGGGCATTTTCACTTCTTTTATGGTGGAATGTCATCAGTTAAGTCAGGAACCGGCCATCTGGATGTGTACGTGCAGGTCACAGGGGATATGATGCCTTAGCTTGGGCTCAGAGGCCTGACATTCCTGTCTTCTTATATTAATAAGAAAAATAAAATGAATTAGTGGTAAAGTGTTGGGACAGTGAAAATTTTTTAGGGGTGGTATGGAGAGATAATGGGTGATGTTTCTCAGGGCTGCTTCGAGCGGGATTAGGGGCGGCGTGGGAACTTAGAGTGGGAGAGATTAAGCTGAAGGAAGATTTTGTGGTAAGGGGTGATATTGTGGGGTTGTTAGAGGAAACATTTGTCATTTAGAATTATTGGCGATGGCCTGGATACAGTTTTGTATGAATTGAAAAACTAAACGGAATAAGACAAGGAGAAAAACAGGTATTAAAGGACTAACAATTGGGAGGACCTAGGACATCTAATTAGAGAGTGCCTAAGGAGGTTCAGCATAGCTTTGCCAGCAAAGATTTTTTATTTACTTTAAGAGTTAAGAGTGACGGTTTGAGGGTAGCACCAGGAGATATCAGCTGTGATGGCTTGGAGAAACAGTGTAAACTGGCAGTGTAAACAAGAGCAGGGCATGTATGAGTAGTTGAGAATGGTGAATAGGAGTATGAGTAGACAGAAGATAGTAGGGATGACAAGTTTTTTGGGGCATAGTCCAAGTTGATCTGGTGTCTGGAATGAGACTGGGGCCTAATAAAAAGGAGCGTCTATACAGGAGCTCAAATGGGCTATACCTTGTAGTATTCTGAGGACAGGCCTGAATTCTGAGAAGGGAAAGTGGTAAAAGTATTGTCCAGTCCTTTTTAAGTTAGTGGCTGAGCTTGGTGAGGTGTGTTTTTAAAAGACTATTAGTCTGTTCTACTTTTCCTGAAGACTGAGGACTGTAAGGGATATAAAGGTTTCACTGAATACTAAGAGCCTGAAAAAATGCTTGGCTGATTTGACTAATAAAGGCCGGTCTGCTATCAGACTGTATAGAGGTGGGAAGCCAAACCAAGGAATTATGTCTGACAGAAGGGAGGAAATGACCGTGGTGGCCTTCTTCGACCCTGTGGAAAAGGCCTTTACCTATCTAGTGAAAGTGTCTTACCTAGACCAAGAGGTATTTTAGTTTCCTGACTCGGGGCATGTTGAGTAAAGCTAATTTGCCAGTCCTGGGTGGGGTCAAATCCTTAAGCTTGATGTGTAGGGAAGGGAGGGGGCCTGAATAATCCCTGAGAAGTAGTAGAATAGCAAATTTGCCTGTCCTGGGCAGGAGCAAATCCTTGAACTTGATGTGTAGGGAAGGGAGAGGGCCTGAATAATCCCTGAGGAGTAGTAGAATAGCAGATGGAACACTGAGAAGTTATTTCCTTGAGGATAGATTTCCACGATGGAAAGGAAATGAGAGGTTCTAAGAGGCGGGTTAGTGGCTTGTACTATAGCATAGCCTGCCTTTGCTGGTGTGTGGTGATTAGGCCTGGTGGAACTGCCATCAATAAACCAAGTGTGATCAGGGTGAGAAACAGGGAAGAAGGAAATGTGGGGAAATGGAGTGAATGTCAGGTGGATCAGAGAGATGCAGTCATGGGGGTCAGGTGTGGTATCAGAAATAATGTGGGAGGCCAGATTGAAGTTGGGCCAGGAAAAATGGTAATTGTGGGAGACTCAACAAAGAGTGAGTACAGCTGAAGGAGCTGGGAAGCAGAAAGTATATGCGTCAGGTGTGAGGAAGAAAATAGATCTTGGAAATTATGAGAGCTGTAGAGAGTGAGTTGAGCATAGTTTGTGATTTTAAGGGCCTCTAAAAGTATTAGGGTGGCAGCAGCCGCTGCATGGAGACATGATGGCCAGTCTAAAACAGTAAGGTCAAGTTGTTTGGACAAAAAGGCTACAGGACGCGATCCCAGTCCTTGTGTAAGAATTCTGACTGCACAGCCCTGCACTTCAGCTGTGTGTAATGAAAAGGGTTGGGATGAGTCAGGGAGAGCTAGAGTGGGGGCAGTCTCTAAAGCTGTCTTCAAGGAACAGAAAGAGGAGTGGGGAAAGGATTTAGGATCTATGGGGTCATGTAGGTTTCCTTTTGTGAGTTTATGTAATGGTTTTGTTAGGATGGCAAAACCAGGTATCTAAAGGCGAAAGTATCTAACCATGCCCAGGAAGGAAAGGAGTTGTTGTTTTGTAGAAGGGTTTGGGGTTTGAGAGATTGGTCAGACATGATTGGCAGGGATAGCACATGTGTTTTTATGAGAATTATGCTGAGATGGGTAACGGATAAGGAAGAAATGTGGGCTTGACTGAAGTAATGGAGGCTGTCTGTGAAGCTTTACAGCAGTACAGCCTAGGTAATTTGCTGAGCCTGATGGGTGTCAGGGTCAGTCCAAGTGAAAGTGAAGAAGGCTGGGATGAAGGGTGAAAAGGAATAGTAAAGAAAGCATGTTTGAGATCCAGAACAGACTAATGGATTGTGGAGGGAGGTATTGAGGATAGGAGAGTATATGGGTTTGGCACCATGGGGTTCATAGGCAAAACAATTTGGTTGATAAGGCATAGATCCTGAACTAACTTGTAAGGCTTGTCTGGCTTTAGGACAGGTAAAATGGGGGAATTGTAAGGAGAGTTTATAGGCTTTAAAAGGCCATGCTGTAGCAGGCGAGTGATAACAGGCTTTAATCCTTTCAAAGCATGCTGTGGGATGGGATATTGGCATTGAGAGGGGTAAGGGTGATTAGGTTTTAATGAGATGGTAAGGGGTGCATGATGAGTTGCCAAGGAGCGAGTAGAGGTATCTTATACTTGTGGGTTAAGGTCGGGGGATACAAGAGGAGGATGCAAAGGAGGCTTTGGATTGGGAAGAAGGGCAGAAATGAGATGTAGCTGTAGTCCAGGAATAGTCAGGGAAGCAGATAATTTAGTTAAAGTGTCTCGGCCTAATAAGAGAACTGGGCAGGTGGGGATAACTAAAAAGGAGTGCTTAAAAGAGTATTGTCTAAATTGGCACCAGAGTTGGGGAGTTTTAAGAGGTTTAGAAGCCTGGCTGTCAATACTTACAACAGTTATGGAGGCAAGGGAAACAGGCCCTTGAAAAGAAGGTAATGTGGAGTGGGTAGCCTCCATATTGATTAAGAAGGGGATGGACTTACCTTCCACTGTGAGAGTTACCTAAAGCTCAGCATCTGTGATGGTCTGTGGGGCTTCCGAGGTGATCAGGCAGTGTCAGTCTTCAGCCGCTAAGCCAAGAAGATCTGGGAAGGAGTCAGTCAGACAGCCTTGAGCCAGAGTTCCAGGGGCTCTGGGAGTGGCTGCCAGGTGAGTTGGACAGTCCAATTTCCAATGGGGTCCTGCACAGATGGGACATGGCTTAGGAGGACATGGCTTAGGGCTGTGGGCATTTCTTGGCCTGGTGGCCAGATTTCTGGCACTTGTAGCAAGCTCCTAGTGGGGGCGGTTCTGTAGGAATGCATGGCCACTGCGGTTTAGGCATTTGGAAGTTCTTGTGTGCTGGAGATGTGGCTGGGGTTTGTCTCACAGTGGAGGGAAAGAATTGCAACTCAGAAATATGTTGCTACTTGGCTGCCTCTACTCTATTATTGTACACCTTGAAGGTGAGGTTAATTAAGTCCTGTTGTGGGGTTTCAGGGCCAGAATTTCATTTTAGGAGTTTTATTTAATGTCGGGAGCAGATTGGGTAATAAAATGTATGTTGAGAATAAGACGGCCTTTTGATCTTTTAGGCTCTTAGGGCTGTAAAACATCTCAGGGTTGCTGCCAAACGAGCCATGAACTGGGCTGGATTTTTATATTTGATGAAAAAGAGCCTAAACGCTATCTGATTTGGGATAAAGAAAAAGGAGCATTAACCTTGACTATGCCTTTAGCTCCAGCCACCTTTTTAAGAGTAAATTGCTGGGCAGGTGGGGGAGGGCTAGTCACAGAATGAAACTGAAAGCCAGACCGGGTGTGAGGAGGCGAGGTGATAAAAGGATTATAGGGTGGAGGAGCAGAGGCTGAGGAAGAATTGGGACCTAGCTCAGCCTGGTGAGGAGGGGAGAGGTCAGATGGGTCTGTAGAAAAGGAAGATTAGAAAGACTCAGCAATGCTTGGGGTTGGGACTGAGGGGACAGGTGGGAGGGAAAGAAGGAAGATTTGGGATGAGTTACATTGGGAACAGAGACTAGGGAGGGACTGATGTGTAAAAGAATGCCTGGACATCAGGCACCTCAGACCGTTTGTCTATTTTATGACAAGAATTATTTAGATCTTGTAGGATGGAAAAATTGAAAGTGCCGTTTTCCAGCTATTTGGAACTACTGTTGAGTTTGTATTGGTGTCAAGTGGCATTGCAGAAGAAAATAAGATGCAAGATGCTTAGATTTTAGGTCAGGTGAGAGTTGAAGAGGTTTTAAGTTCTCAAGAACACAGGCTAAGGGAGAAGGAGGAATGGAAGGTGGAAGCTTTCCCATAGTGAAGGAGGCAAGCCTAGAGAAAAGAGAGTAGAGACACGGAGAAGGGGTGGGGGGTTCTTGCCCTCCAGAAAAGCAGAGAAGGGGTTGGGGCGTGGAAATAAGGAGCTGGGGCACAGAGATAAGAGGTCGGGGCACGGAAATAAGGGATCGGGGCACAGAGATAAGAGGTTGGGGTTCCTGCCCCTCCTCCAGAAAAGCAGAACTTGCCATTAAGGGTGAAGGAGAAGGGGTTGAGGGGTTCTTTCCCCTCCCCCAGAAAAGTGGAGAAGGGGTAGAGACATGGAGAGAAGGGATTGGGGTTCTTGCCCCTCCCCCAGAAAAGTGGGACTTGCCACTAAGGGTGAAAGACCAAGGCAGGCATCCCTGTGTGGTCTGACACCTCTGAAACCTGGGTGAATAATCAGAGAGGCGTCCCTGCAATGATTAAACACCAATGGAAGGCTGCCTTCCCTAGTCTGTGACCAGCACCAGGGTTTTGGGTCCATGGATAAAACGTGTCTCCTTTGTCTCTACCAGAAAATGAAATGAATTGAAATTAAGAGAAGAGAGAGATTGAAGTGTGGCACCAAGATTGAAAGGAGAAAGAGGTTGAGGGATAGTGAGGGAGGTTGGAGAAGAGAGTAAAAAGAGGCTACTTACCGGATTTGAAATTGGTGAGATGTTTCTTGGGCTGGTTGGTCTGAGGACCTGAGGTTATAGGTGGATCTTTCTCACGGAGCAAAGAACAGGAGGACAGGGGATTGATCTCCTAAGGGAGGTCCCCCGATCTGAGTCACGGTACCAAATTTCACTCGCGTCCATGTGAAGAGACCATCAAACAGGCTTTGTGTGAGCAATAAAGCTGTTTATTTCACCTGGGTACAGGTGGGCTGAGTCCGAAAAGAGAGCCAGTGAAAGAAGATAGGGGTGGGGCCATTTTATAGGATTTGGGTAGGTAAAGGAAAAAGGGGGGTTGTTCTCTGGTGGGCAGGAGTGGGGATCACAAGGTGCTCAGTAGGGGAGCTTTTGAGCCAGGAGAAGGAATTTCACAAGATATTGTCATCAGTTAAGGTAGGAACAGGCCATTTTCACTTCTTTTGTGGTGGAATGTCATCAGTTAAGGCAGGAACCAACCATCTGGATGTGTACGTGCAGGTCACAGGGGATATGATGGCTTAGCTTGGGCCCAGAGGCCTGACAGGTTTGACTTGCATTTCTCTGATTATTAGTGATGGTGAGCATTTTTTTCATATACCTGTTGGTGATTTTTATGTCTTATTTGGAGAAATGTCTATTCAGCTCTCTTGACTATTTTCTAATCCAATTATTTGTATTTTTGCTATTGAGTTGTTTGAGTTTTCTATAAATTTGGGATATTAACCCCTTATCAAGTGAATAGTTTGCAGATATTTTCTCCCATTTTGTAGGTTGTCTGCTTACTCTTGTGATTGTTTCCTATGCAGTGCAGAAGTTTTTATTTGGTGTAATCCCATTTGTTTATTTTTGCTTTTGTTGTGCATGTCTTTCGATGTCTTTTCTAAAAAGTCCTTGCCCAGACCAATGACATATAACATTTCACCTATGTTTTCTTCTACTAGTTTCATAGTTTGGGGTCTTACATTTAAATATTTAATTTATTTTGAGTTGGTTTTTGGATATGATGAGAGATAGGGGTCTACTTTCATTCTTTTGTATGGGGATATCCACTTTTCCCAGCACCATTTGTTGAAAATACTGTCTTTTCCCCATTGAATGTTTGCATCTTTGTCAAAAATAAGTTGCATGTAAACGTGTGGATTTATGCCTGGGCTCTCTATTTTTGTTCCACTGGTCTGTGTCCCTGTTTTTATGCCAATACCATGCGTTTTAGTTAGGATAGCTTTGCAATACATTTTGAAATTAGATAGTGTAATACCTCTAGCATTGCTCTTTTTGCTTAAGATTTATTTGGCTATTTGGGGTGTTTTGTAGTTTCACATGGATTTTAAGATCTTTTTTAATATCTGTGAAGAATGAAATTGGAAATTTGATAGAGATTATATTGGATCTATAGATTGATTTGAGTAGTGTGGTCATTTCAACAATATTAATTCTTCTAGTCCATGAATATGGGGTATCTTTCTATTTATTTTAATTTTTTTCAATTGCTTTTATCAATGTTTAATAATTTTCATCTTTCCGTGGCTTAATTTGCTTGTAGGTATTTTGTTTTTTTTAATAGCTATTTTAAATGGGATTACTTTCTTGATTCCTTTTTCAGATAGTCTGCTATTGGTGAATAGAGATGTTACTGATTTTTTATGTTGCTTTTGTATCTTGAAACCTTATTGTATTCATTTACTATTTCTGATTCTCAGTGGGGTATTTAGGGTTTTTTACATATATGATCATGTCATCTGCAAAGAGGGACAATTAGACTTTTTTTTCCAATTTGGATGCCTTTTATTTCTTTCTCTTACCTAATTGTTCTGACTAGGACTTCCAGTACTATGTTGAAAAAAGTGATTAAAGTGAACATCCTTGTCTTGTTCCAGATCCTAGAGGCAAAGCTTTCAACTTTTCACCATTCAGTATAATGTTGCCTGTGGGTTATCACATATGGTCTTTATTTTATTATGTTCTTTTATAACTAATTTGTCAAAAGATTTGATCATAAAAGGATGTCTAATTTTGTCATATGCTTTTTCTGCATCTATTGAAATGATTATATGTTTTTTATCCTTCATTGTTTAATGTGATGTATCACAGTTATTGATTTACATGTGTTAGACCATCCTTACCTCCCCGGGTAAATACCACTTGATTATGGTGAATAATCTTTTTAATGTGCTTTTGAATTATCATTGCTAGCACTGCTGGTTTTGAATGTTTGCATGTATGTTTATCAATGATATTGGCCTGGAGTTTTATTTGCTGTTCTTGTCTCATTTTGGATTCAGGTAATGCTGTCTTCATAGAATGAGTTTGCAAGAGTTCCCTCCTTTTCATTTTTTTGAAATAGTTTGTAAATAATCTGTATAAGTTTTTAAAATATTTTGTAGAATTTGTCAGTGAAAACCATCAAGTCATGAACTTTTCTTTCTTCTTCTATTTTTTTAGAGACAGAGTCTCACTCTATCACTGAGGCTGGCATACAGTGGTGCAGTCGTAGCTGACTGCAGCCTCAAACTCCTGGTCTTAAGTGATCCTCCTGCCTCAGCCTCCTGAGTATAAGTACACACCACTATACCTGGGGAATTTTTATTTTTATTTTTAGAGATGGAGTCCCGTTGTGTTGCCCAGGCTAATCTTGAACTCCTGGCCTCTAGTGATTCTCCTGCCTTGGGATCCTAAAATGTGAGATTACAGGTGGGAGCTACTGTGTGAAGTCTTTTGGATTTTCCTTGACTGACAGACTAAATCACTCCTTCAATCTCATTATTTGTCATTGGTGTGTTCACATTTTCCATTTCTTCTATCTTCAATTTTGATAGGTTATATGTGTCCAGAGCATATGTATTTCTTCTAAGTTTTTCAATTTATTGGTGTATAATTGTTTGTAGTACTTACTCATGATTCCTTGTATTTCTGTAGTGTCCATCATAGCATATCCTTTTTCATTTCTGACTTTATGTGAATTTTCTCTTTTTTTCTTAGTCTGACAAAACGTTTGTCAATTTTACCTTTTCAAAAAAGATTCTTTAATTAATCATTTGTATTTTTTGTCTTCATTTTGTATATTTGTGCTCTGATCTTTATATTCTTTTGCTAATTTGGGTCTTAGTTTGTTCTTGATTTTATAGTTCCTTGAAATACATAATTAGAGGGTTTATTCATTATCTTTCTTCTTTATTGATGTAGAAATGTATTGCTATAAACTTCCCTCTAAGGACTGTTTTGCTGTATCTCATAAGTTTTCATATGTTCTGATTTCATTTTTATTTGTCTTAAGACATTTAAAAAAATTTTTTTTTTCATTGACCCGTTGGTTGTTTAGGGATATATTGTTTAATTTATATGTATTTGCACAATTTCTGAAGTTTCTCTTATTGTTTATTTCTAGCTTTATTCCATATGGTCAGAAAAAATATGTGATATGATTTGATTTTTTGATTAGCTAAGACTTGTTTTGTGGTCTAACATATCTATCATGGACAATATTCCATGTGCAGATGAAAAGACTGAATTATTCAATTGTTGGATGAAATGTTATGTAAATAACTGTTAAATTCTTTTGACCTAGAGTGCAGTTTAAATGTTTCCTTGTTGACATTCTCTCTCAATGATCTGTTCATTACTGAAAATGGGATGTCAAGGTTTTTTACTATTATTGCACAGTTTTTTGTCTCTCCTTTTAGAACTATTAATGTTTGCTTTATATATTTAGGTTCTCCAATGTTGAGTGCATTATGTATTTACAATTATTGTATTCTCTTGTTGTACTGACCCCTTTATTATTACATAATGGCCTTGTTTGTCTGTGTTTATAGTTTTTTTACTTGAAGTATATTTTATTTGATATAAATATACCTACTCCTGCATTCTTTTGATTTCCATTGTCGTAAAATATATTTTTCCATCTGATCACTTTCAATTTATGCGTGTATTTAAAGGTGATGGGAGTCTCTTGTAGAAAGAATATAGTTAGGTCTTGTTTTTAATCCATTTACCCATTCTCTGTCTTCTTACTGGATAATTTAATCTATTTACATTCAAGGTAATTATTGATAGATAAGGACTTGTACTGCCGTACGTGGTTTTCTTGTTGTCTTTTAGAATTTTTGTACCTTTTTGTTCCTTTATTGTCTTCCTTTGTAGTTAAGTGATTTTTTCTGTGTGTTTTTGTTTCTTGTTCTTTTATTTTTAGTGTATCTATTAAATATTTTTGCCTTTTGGTTTCTATGAGGCATGTGAAGAATATTTTATGGTTTCAACAGGTAATTTGAATGGATAACAACTTAATTTTGATAATAAGAAATGGGGAAAAACAATCACTCTGCTCTTTAACTCAATCACTCCCCCACATTTTGCATTTTTGATGTCTGAATTTACATCTTTTATATCACTTATCCCTTAACAAATTATTGTAGTTGTTATTATTTTTGTTTTGTATTTTAACCTTCTTACTAAAAATATGTAAGTGGTTTACATTCAATTATTACTATATTAGAGCATTCTGAATTTGTCTGAATATTTATTTTTACCTGTGGATTTATACCTTCCAATTTTTTGCATTACATATTAGTGCCCTTTTCTTTCACTTTGAAGACGGTTCTTTAACATTTTTTTTAAGGCAGGTATGGTTACAATGAATTCCTTCATCTTTTGTTTGTCTTAGAACGTTTTAATCTCTCCTTCATTTCAAATGAGAGCTGTTCTGGATACTACATTCATGGTTGACAGTTTTTTTCTTCAGCACTTGATTCTATTATCCTACTCTCTCCTGGCCCACATTGCTTCTGCTGAGAAGTCTGCTGCCAGGCACATTATGTATTATATGCTTCCTTTTTCTTAGTGCTTTCAGGACCTACTCTTTGTTTTTGACCTTTGAAAGTTCAATTATAATATATCTTGTGGTTGTCTTATTCAGATTAAATCAGATTAGTGCGCTTTGGCCATCCTAAACATCTTAATGTTTCTCTAAGTTTAAAAAGTTTTCTGTTATTTCTCTGAATAATTTTCTAACTCTTTTTCATTCTCAGTTCCACTTTAACACTGTAGATTTTTTTTTTTTGATGGTGTCCCATGGATCTCATAAGTTTTCTTTGTTTCTTCTCATTTTTTTCTCTTTTCTACTCTTGACAGTGTATTTTCAAAGAGCCTGTCTTTGAGCTCACTGTTTTTTTCTTCTACTTGATCAGTTCTGCTTTTGATGCCCTCTAGTGCATTTTTCAATTTGTTTACTGAACTTTCCAACTCCAGGATTTCCACTTGATTTTTTCCCATTATTTTAAATTCTTTGTTGAATTTCTTATAAATTTCCATATTGTTTCTCTGTACTTTGTTGAAGTTCACCGATTTTTTTTTTAAAATCAGCTATTTGAATTTTTTTTGTCTGCCACATCATTCATTTGCATGTCTTTAGGTTCAGTTGCTGACACCTTATTTTCTCCATTTGGTGAGGCAGTTTTTCCTAGGCTATTCTTATTTTTTGTAGATGTATATCTCTGTCTACACATTGATGAATTAAATATTTATTTCAGTCTTCTCAGTCTGGGTTTGTTTTTGACTGTTTCTCAGTGGGCTTGTTTAGAAATTCGGTGTGGATTTCCATTATATTCCATTTTAGCATTAGGAGGTGCCCAAAGCAAAGGTTAGACATAAGTCTCACAATGGGGCTTCACCACTGATGCAATGTAACTGAATGGGCCCATGGGTGATCCACAGAAAGGCTCCTGGCTGTGGGGGAGAACAAGTCAGGCTATCAAATCTGGACAGTCTGTGTATCATGTTTCCCACAGCATGGTGCCCATAAACAACCTCTCTGGTGTAGTGTTTCCTCTGGTAGGAATGGCTAGCCACTGCTAAGTTTCATATAATGAGTATTGCTAACCCAACCCCTTCTCTATGTCCCTAGCATGCCTCGGGCGGTTCAGCTCTGTTGACACTCATGGTGCTGCTTGTGGGCTGATGCAGGAGTCTACTGTGAAGGGACTCAGTATGGTGGAAAAAAATATTCAACTTCTGCTCACTTTATTCAGTGTAAGAACTGTAAGGAGGACTTTCTGCATATAATACCATTATGGCCTGGGGGAGGAGTATCACAGTCACAGAGTACTGGTTCCCTTACTGTCCAAGCATGGTTCTACTCTTTGCAGTCCAAAGGGGCTTCATAGACTGACTCATGTATTCAGGGTTCGTTAGCTCTTGTAAAGGTAATTTTATATGTGGATAGTTGTTCATATAGATGTGTCCGTAGGGGTAAGATTACTGGAGAGATCGACTCCACTACCTTGCTCTGCCCAAATCCTTCCCCTTTCCAACAAGAGTTTGCCACCTCCTAGTTTTCTTTTTTCTTAACCAAACTAAGTTTAGCCTTTTAATCCTTAACTCTCCTCCACTTCTAATGCCATTGCTTCTTTGTATGCTTATTGTATTTTCCATGCTATATGACTTTCAGCTGGTTATTTACAGTATGTAAGTTTTAATATCCTGTAAAAGGGGGATAATAATAGCATCCATTTGATAGGGATGTTAAAGATATTAAATGACACTGTCCATGTTAAATAACTTTTTAAGATATATTGAGATGTTTCTGTACTTCCTTGTTCTGGCCTTCTTGTTGAACCAGAGAAATCTATTGCCATGAAAAGCAATAAAATTGTGATAGTAGAAATTAAAAGTGAGTAGGAACTTATTTAAAAATCATCATTCTCCTTTTCAATGCAAAAATAAGAACTAGAAACTTTTAATAAGGCAATAGTCTGAAGAAATAACTTATGGAAGAGAACATGGGTTTTTTAATCCTAAAGGGTTCTTTTATATATTCAAGGGTCGAGATTGCCTGCCTTGTATCCTACTAAAATTTCAATGCAAGTTTCAGAGAGGGAGGAAAGAGTCAAAGAAAAAATTGCACTGGAAAAAGTTAAATAAGTAAGGAAGATATTATTCAACAGGGGAGAGAGGCCAGAACCTAGTCTGAACTCAGCTCCCCTGATACAAAGGGCAGTGGAGTTTTTGAAAGCGAGAGTAAGGGGGTGATCATAGGCCACCTGTCTTTGCTAACTGTCTTTTCTCAAAGGAAAAATAAACTTTCTTTTATCTTTATAATATAAGGTAATTTTTACAACTTGGAGCAAGATTAGGCTCTTACTCTCTCATAGAGACTGGGAAATAAGGTATTATCTTTCTGGAGGATTACATTTGAAAGGGATGGCTCCCAGATCCTTGAAAAAGGAAATTTTCTGCTAACAAGTTACACATGCCACTTCTACCTACATTTCACTGGCCAAACCGGTCACATGTCTAAATCTGACCCTTACTTCAATAGGACAGAAATGTATAATCTTCTAGGAGATAGGGCCACTGCAGTAGGAAGACCAGATAATGGGAGAATGGTAATATAATCTACCACATTGACCACAATGAAAACATTAGTAATCCCCAGGGTTAAACCGAGTCTTCTTGGACACTTAGGTTGATTCTAGGCTATTGTGAATAGTGGAATAATAAAAAATAAAGAGAATAGCCCCTTTATTTATTGCAGAGAAGCTAGACAATTCACAGTAACTTATGGCCTAGACAATTTTATTTCTTGATCAACACAACTCTTTATAGATGCCTGTGGTCCAAAAATGCGGATTCCTAATCATCCCCAAGAAGAAAGGATCCACTGCAAGGCAACCTGGGAGGGAGTTTGGGATGGTTCTGAGGCAGTGAAAGCCATTGAAATTCACACGTAAGAGGGTAGAGAAAGGGAATTCACATGTTTTGGTCCCTCCATGTGCTGGATATAACTTGGTCTTCATTACATTGCACCACCTTTGGTGTCAGAGAGAACTGGATTTGAATCCCAGTTCCATCACTCACTATGATTTGATGGTCAATGTGTTTTTAACTCGTCTGAGCCTCAGTTTGCTCATCTATAAAAGATGGGATTGTTACGAGGCTTGCATAAGGTAAGTGTATAAAAATCTGGGAATAATGCCTATAATTTAATAGACGGGGTTGTGATGAGGCTTCAATAAGGTAAGTGTGTAAAAATCTGGACACAATGTTATTAATTTTGTAGGTTTTCAATATATAGAGAAGGAGGATTATTTTTCTCTCATTTAATTTTTAGAACAAGTTTATAAAATTGGTATTATTCATATTTTTGAGATAAAGGATCAGTAAGTTTAAATAAATCACCATAGTCACAAAGCAGTTCACAATATATTGACTGGACAATTGCTAGTGAAAAGTAGCAATGATGATCACATTGAAAATCTTGTGTTAGGTGGTGGTTTTCTCTTGCATAAGCCTCTTCATTTGTTCAAACCATAGATTCTAAGTTGCTCTATTAAAGTGATCATTAGAAAAATATAATGTACTTAGTGTATAAGTTTTAGAAAATTTCCTTTGTTAGTCCTGTTAATTTGATTGAATATGTGCATTTTGAATTATGAATATAAATATGAATATGTATGATATATGAAATATGACTTGACGTCACAGAGTAACATTAGGTCGTGGCAATGTTTTTTTCTGAAAGCACCTGCAGAAATGTGTCTTCTTTCTAGTTTCCAAAAAACTCAGAGGCCATGGGGGAAGAGGGGACTTTGACTGTCAGATAGTGCATGAGGTACATTAGCATACAGTAATTTAATCATAATTCATATTCATAATTCACAGTGAGGAAACCTGAAAGTTGCTACCAGCTACCAATAAATGAAAGGTGGGGCGGCATCACTGGGGGGCGCGGTTTTGTGAGCCAGTGCCTGGACTTCCACATCACAAATGGAAGGGCAGCACGTGGAGGGAACTCAAGGCCTGATTGGTTCTTCCTAAGCAGTACGCGATCTGGCTGGCAGGGCAACCGGCCTTCCGTTGGTGGCCTTCAGTTAGTGCCTTCAGTGGGTGCCTTAAGTTGGTGGCATTTGGTTGCCTTTCCTGGGGAGAGGTGGCAGGTGCTCAGCTCTGCAGACGTGGGGGCAAGCGAAGGCCCAAGCTGCCTCGAGAAGAGCAGAGGTGCCCCATGGGGACCACGATGACGAGTTGCATGTGCACCAAAGCCAGCCCCCGGCAGGGTCAGCGCAGGGATTCTGCGGGGCCGTCCTGTGGCTCTGACATCTATGAGTGGGCGGCCAGCAGAGGCACAGGCACCAGCAGAGAGGAGCAGAGACGCCCAGAACACACTGTCCCCCAATGCCAGCCCCAAGCGGGGCCAGCTCAGGGTGCGGTGGGCAGAGCCATCCTGCAGCTCTGAGATCCGCAAGGTGGAGGTGGGAGTAGCGCCAGGCTCCACTGTGTTGGAGCTTGCCCCGTTTGAGCCCAATTTGATTCCGGAGCCATGACCTGCAGCACATTGGCGACCAGAAGACACCCAAAGGTAAGGAGGCGACAGATACCGCTTGGCCTCAGGACCTCCTCTGGCCATTGCTGAACCAAGGTTCCCCCAGAGACATCCACAGCCTGGGGCTCCTCCCTTCTTCACCTAGTTCCTTTCCTAGGTCCAGGCCCCAAGCATGAGGACTGGCTCTGCCTGGCGTCCCCACCCCTTCGTCTTCCCCTTTTGCATCCAGCCGGTTTCTTTTTCCCTCCCTACCCAAATGCCCAATTCTGGGTCCTTTTGTTCCCAGAGGCTGGCCAAAAACTAAGTTTTCAAAATACAAAATGGATGCTACAGATTTCGTTGCTGTAGAGGAAATGTCTGGCAGCTCTTGAATTTAAGCTTAAGTAGCTACACTGGGATTCACAATTTCATATCTTGAGTTCTAGACCAGAGCTCTCTACCCTAAAGCAATGACAGGGGGTTAGAGGTACTCTTCTTGATTCTAATAATAAAAAATGATTTTTTTGTAGGGACAAGGTCTCACTGTGTTGCCCAAGCTGGTCTCAAACCCCTGGCCTTAAGTGATTCACCCACCTTGGCCTCCCACACTGTTGGGATGACAGGCAAGAACCACCACACCTGGCCATTGGAGGTGCTATTGCTTTGTGTGGTTGGGCTGGTCTTCAGGCACAGCTGTCAGTAAGATCCTCCTGCGGTATAGTTCTAAGTTTTTCTGCACAAATTCAGTGGATCCTGTGATTTTTTTACATGGAATAGCCCCTTTATTTTTTGCAGAGAAGCTAGACAATTCACAGTAACCTATGGCCTAGAAAATTTTATTTCTTGATCAACACAACTGTTTATGGATGCTCGTGGTCCAAAAATGCAGATTCCTAATCACCCCCACGAATAAGGGGGCCATTGCAAGGCACCTGGGAGGGAGTTTAGGATTGCTCTGAGGCAGTGAAAGCTATTGAAATTCCCACATGAGGGGGCAGAAAAGGGAATCCACATGTTATGATCCCTCCATGTTCTGGGTGTAACTTGGTCCTTGTTAAATTGCACCATTTTTGGCATCAGAGAGAACTGGATTTGAATCCCAGTTCCGTCCCTCATTATGATTTGATGGTGAATGTGTTTTTAACTCGTCTGAGCCTCAGTTTGCTCACCTATAAAAGATGTGATTGTTGCGAGGCCTCCATAACATACATGTGTAAAAATCGTGGCAAAATGCTTGTAATTTAAAAGAGAGGGTTGTTAGGAGACTTCCATCAGGTAAGTATGTAAAAACCTGGACACAATGCCTATAATTTTGTAAGTGTTCAGTATGTGGAGAAGGAGAATTATTTTTCTCTCATTTAATTTTTAGAGCAACTTTATAAAATTGGTGATACTTATATATTTGAGATAATCAAACCAAGGATCAGAAAGACTAAATAAATCACCATAGTCACAAAGCAGTTCACAATACATTTACTGGATATTTTCTAGTTAAAAGTAGCAATGATGATCACATTGAAAATCTTATATTATGTGGTGGTTTTCTCTTACATGAGCTTCTTGGAATTTAGTAAGATAACTTGCAGCTCAAAAAGCAGATCCGTAGAATATTTTATTCAAGAGATTGTAGTGGGGGCCAAAGTATTGCATGAGTTTTGTTGGGAACAAGGTGTAGGCTGAGAATCTTAGCAAACTTCAGTTGGTGGTTTTCAGCTGGTGGGCAGTGGTGGAAGGAGGAGGAGCTCCGTCTGTGCTCTCTCTTACCCCAGTCACAGCCCTCAGGCTTGTTGCATCCAGGCCCTTCTGAGTTAAACCCGACAGGTTGACAGGTTTATTTAGCATTTAGCAGACAAGTCAGCTCAGGGTAGGCAGGTAAGGTGGGGTGTAGGCTGCTAGTACAGTGCTGCCCTGTGGCCCAGGGCTGCCCATGCCCGTGGGGCTATTCCATATATTATATATTATATATATAAAATTATATATATATAAAATTATATATATATAAAATTATATATATATGTATATAAGCCTGTTGGTTTGTTGAAAGCATGGATTCTAAGTTGCTCTATCAATGTGATCATTAGAAAAATGTGATGTACTTAGTGTGTAAATTTTAGAACAATTTCTTCTGTTAGTCTTGTTAATACTCAGTTCTTTTCTAAAACACCTAGCCCAAATCTCCATAGGTTTTAATCGAATTATATTATAATTTGGATTTTCTGGTCTGCCTATCTTCCAAACAATAAACTCCTTAAAATCAATTTTCTATTGCTGCCATAACAAATTACCACAACTTTGTGGCTTAAATCAAAGACTTACGACCCTATAGTTCTGTAGGGCAAACCTCTGACCGTGGTCTTACTGGGCTTAACTCAAGGTATTGTCAGGGCTGTATTGCTTTCTGGAGGCTCTAGAGAGAATCCATTTCCTTTTCCAACTTGTAGATGCTGTCCCCATTCCTTGGATCATAGGACCATCCCTCTATCTTCAAAGCCAGTAATGTGGGATATCTGTGACCATTGTTCTGTGGTCATGTCACCTTCTGACTGCAGCTAGGAAAGATTCTCTGATTTTATATTCTGTGGTCATGTCACCTTCTGACTGCAGCTAGGAAAGATTCTCTGATTTTATAGACACATGCAATTAGATTGGCCCCCAAGATAATCAAGGATAATCCCCCTAACTCAAGGATTAATCACATCTACAGAATCCATTTTGCCCCATGTAAAGTAATATGGTCACAGATTCCAGGGACTAGAACATCTTTATGGGGTCATTATTTTGACTGTCACAAAGGCAAAGTCTTGGACTTACTCATATCTAGATTTTCTTTGCTTAATTTCAGAGCCTAGAACACATTAGACTCTAAATAAATGGGAATGAGTGATAAATATTTTAATTTACAGATTGCTGCCACATTGCAATTCTGTCCTCCCACTGGTGGTGGAATCCTATGTACTTTTTTTACCATCTCCATTTTGCATTCAGACTGAACATGGCTATGTTATTCCCTTCACCTGGGTGATGTGAAACCATCTCTCTATTTCTATTTGTAGAGATCTTATCTATCAAGCCCTTCTCAAATGCCGCTTCATATTACTTTTTCTAATCCCCAGTTGTCTTAGTCAATTTATGCTCTTATAGTGAAATAACAGAGACTAGGCAATTTATGAAAACCAGACATTTATCTCTCACAGTTCTGGAGACTAGGAAGTCCAAGATCAAGGTGCTGGCAGGTCTGATGTTTGGTAAGGGCTGTTCTCTCCTTTCAAGATGGTGTCTTTATGCTGCATCCTCCAGAGTCAAGGAACACTGTGTCCTCACATGGTGGAAGGTGGGAGGGCAAGAGGAATGAACTCCCTCCATGAAGCCCTTTCATGAGGGCTCCTAAACCCATTCCTGAGGTAGGAGTCCTGATGGCCTAATCACTTCCTGTAGGCTCCACCTCAACACTATCACATTGTCAACGCTGAATCTCGGAGGAGGCACAGTGAAACCACAGCACCAATCAAGTATGATCTTCCTCTCCTCAGAAACCCCCTCATATGTTTAGACCTCCCATGCACTTTTATACATTTTGTCTCATGGTTTTTTCCTGTACTAATAAGGTGCTATAAATGGATAGCTATAGTTTTGGGTTTCATTTCAACAAAACACCCTTCCTAGTTTTTTGAACCCCAAGCAAAGTATGAGGACAGGCCCCACCTTCCATTACAAAAGCTGAAAGGGAGTGCATGATCCTTTTTCCAGTTTCTTGGCCACTCAAGTGTGGGCACATATCTAGGCCCAGCCAATGGATGTCTCTTTATTAGAACTTGGAACCCGACGAAATGATGCAAAAGACCTGAAAGAATCAGAGATGATTCTGAGCAACTGAGCAGAGATGCAGGTCCAGGAATGTGGCAGGAAGTGCCTAAGTTCAGCAGAGCCCAGCTACATGGTGATGAGTGTCAAATGGCAACATCCTAGTTGTGGCATCCCAAGATCTGCTTCCGTAGGATGAACTTGGCTGTGCCAAGTTTCCCTCAGCTCTTACCTTGCTTCTCCAGCATCTTCAGTGATTTTGTGAACTATTCAGTATCCTTTCATTGAATTCCTATTTTGCTTAAGTTGTCTAGAATTTATTTGTTATTGTCAGTGAAAAATATAAACCAATTATCCCCTCACATTAAAACACACTCCACTTAGGCATCTCCTGTGATCTCACTGGAGAAAAGTGTGGATGTTATTTTTAATTTGACTCAGAATGATAGGATTAGTTGGCACTAGTAACAATGGAGATAAGTAACTAACTTTTTGTGAAACTTCCTGGGGTGAAACAAAATCTATTGTGGAAACTGTTTACAATCATCTCTGGAAATTTATTAAGTGACCTAGTATATAATGATAATTTACCATGATATTTGATAAAATAGTTTTGTGCATTCAGAATAATTTCTTTTTTCTTTACCTTTGAAAATAACGCATTGATAGTTAATTCTCTCCTAAATTGTCTGTTTTTATTTCCATAAAAGGTATTTATTGAATGTCTCTTTACTTTTAATATAACTAGGCATTGTGTGATCAAAGTAAAATTAATATGTTCTTGTTTCCGGAATTACTACCGCTTTGAAAATGGACTTATCTACCTCAAACCAATGGGACATATTCCCATGTGGCCTGCTCACCTATTAGGGTTCCCAGGGTAAGTGGTGATTCCTGTTCTATCTTTTTAAAGATTTTAGAAATGCAGCTTCTGCTGTGGGCCACTAGGCGGAGTACTTCAGAGCAGGGTTTGTGGGAGTACAAAGCTAACTTCCGCTGCTTTTGCTTGATGCTTCTGTAGCTTCCTTGACTACTGTGGATGATAAGTAACCATTTTCTTCCCTTCTTTTCTTTTTCCCCTCACTCTTCGGAGTGAACTTGAAACATCTAGGAAGTTTGTTGATCAACATATACCGTGTTTATGAAAATCCAGCTATGATAATATGGTAGGACTCCTTTGGTTATAAATAATAGAATTCAAACTCAAACTGGTCTAAGCCAAAAAAAAAATATTAATTTGTGGACTCGTATAATGGAAAAATCCAGGGTGTAGCTTCAGAATGGCTGAACGTAGGGACTCAGGACTTAGCTCTTCTCAGCTTTCTTGCTTTTTTCTTCCCCATTGACTTTATTCTCAGACAAGTTTTCCCTTTGTTCTGCAATGTGGCCATCATCACTCCTCCAGTTTACACTTCCTTAGTTCCACAGCCCCAGAATAAAGCAAACACAGAAACACTTCTAATAGTCTCAATAAGAGACTAGAGATTGACTTTGGGTGTGACGCTTGGATTTCATGTCCGTCTCTAGTCTGATCTGTGCCAGGATTAGAAGTATATTTATTGGCCAGGCCTGTGTCATGAGCTCATACAGAGTTTGCACTGTCCACACAGTGCCTTTGCAAGTATTAGAAAATGGCTACCCTTTCTGCAGTTAGATGCAGCCCTGTATCGGGGCATGTGGCTTGGAGAAGAGCATGTAGGCCGGATTTCAGCCCCCCTTTCTCCCTTAGCTGGGTTTCTTCCTTGAGTGAACAACATACTTGTTAGTAGCTGTCCTGTGCTTATTCCTGAAACTGGGGGTGAAATCAGCCCCCACGCCAAAACTGAAGGACAGAAGGTGGCTTCATCTAGGGTATCAGATAAAGGCTAATAACAAAGGGAGGGGACAGTGGGTGCTGTGTGGGCAAAAGGAACAAAAAATAATCGTAACCTGTCTAGACTTCATCTCAGAAACCATATGCAACCTTCTTCAATGGAAATATTTAACACTTCAAGAGTGCCAAGAAGGTTATAAGGAGCATATCTCTTAAGGACCTAAGTTAGGAGATTCTAGAATGTATGCTTTATGGATTTACCTTATAAATATATAACATTGACAAATGCACACAGAAAATATATTGCAGAGTAACACAGATGAAATACTTGAAATACATGACATTCTGCCACAGTCTATCATTATTTTCTAACTTATCAAAAGACTCAGAGGATCTTTTTTTTTCCATATTGATAAATTTCTAACCAGAGCCCTATTTACTCGTGTCTTGAAAAACAGACTATTTGCAAATATGTCTGAAGAGGGAAGAGAAAGAAAATGATTCCAAAAAAGCTGATAACATTAAGACAGCTTTTAATAGAAGATGTTAATTTGCAACCACAAATTAAAAACTTATAGGAGATACACAAAATGTGAAGAAGAAGAAAAGAAACCAAACCACTACAAGAAATAACCAAACATAAGAAGACAGCAAGAGAGGAAAAAAAAAAGAACTGCAAAACATATGAAAAACAATTAACAAAATGCAAGTTACTCCTTACCTATCAACAATGACTTTAAATGTGAAAGGATTAAACTATCTAATTAAAAGACATAGAGTGGCACAATGCATAAAAGATACTCATCAGTACATATTTATAAGGGAGTCACTTTAGATATAAAGATACATAGAGGCTCAAAGTGAAGGGATGGGAACAGACACTCTACACAAATGGTAACCAAAAAGGAGCAAGGGTATCTATACTTAGATCAGAAAAAATAGACTTGAAATCAAAAACTGTCACTAGAGACTAAGAAGGTCATTATGTAATGATAAAAGTTCGCTTCAACAGGAAGATTATGTATCCACCCAACATTAGAACACCTAAATATATAAAGTTAATATCAACAAAGCTAAGGGGAGAAATCAGTAACAATAAAAGAATAGTAGCTAACTTCAGTACCCCAAATGCAATAATGGATAGAACATCTAGGCAGGAAAAAAAAGAAAAAAAAGAGGAAACAGCTGACTTGAACAACATGGTACATTAAACACTGACATATACAGAACTTTCCATCCAACAGCATCAGAATATACATTCTTCTCAAGTGCACACAGAACATTCTCTGAGATAGATCAAATCTTAGGTCACAAGGCATCCTACAAATTTAAGAAGTTTGATATAATGCCAAGTATCTTCTCAGACCACAATGGAATAAAATTAGAAATCAATAACAAAGAAAACAGAAACATTTACAAAAATGCAGAAACTAAACAACACACTCTTGAACAACCATTGGGTAAAAGGAGAAATCAAAAGGGAATTTTAAAAGTATCTTGAGACAAACAAAAATGAACATACAACTCAACAAAACTTACAGGATGCAGCAAAAGAAGTGCTAAGAGGGAAATGTTATAGTGATAAACACCTACATTAAAAAATAAGAAAGATCTCAATTGAACAACCTAACTTTACAAATAAACAGTTAGAAAAAGAAGAACTAACTAAGCCCAAAGTTAGCATAATGAAGTAAATAATAAAGATTAGAATATAAATAAAATAACTTTAAAATAAAAAACAATATAAAAATCAACAAAGCTAGAGTTGTATTTTTGGAAATAAAAACAAAAATAACAAACCCCTAGCTACATTAAGAAAAAAAGAGAGACTCAAGTAAATATAATCAGAAATGAAAATGGAGACATTATAACAAATGTACAGGAATACAAATGATTATAAAGGACAATTAAGCAATTATATGCCAATAAATTGGATAACCTAGAAGAAATGGATAAATTCTTAGAAAGATGCAATCTACCAAGTTGGAACAAAAAAGAAATAGAACAGACCAAAAGCAAGCAAAGAGATTCAATCAGTAATAAAAAATTTCCCAACAAAGAAAAGCCCAGGTGCAGATGCTTTCATGGGCAACTTCTACCAAACAGTCAAAGAAGAACTAACACCAAAACTTCTTAAGCTCTTTAGAAAAAATAGAAGAGAGAATACTCCCAAACTCATTTCATGAGGCCAATGTTACCATGACTTAAAAGCTAGATGAAAACAACACAAGAAAAAATAATTACAGACCAGTATCCTTAATGAATATAGATGCAAAAATTCTCAATAAACTACTAATTGGAATTTATCTATGGGATGCAAGGATGGTTCAATGTGTAAAAATTAATAATGTGATATACCACATTAACAGAATGAAAGACAAAAATAACATTCCAATAGATGCAGAAAACACATTTGACAAAATTCAACATACTTTCATGATAAAACTCTCAACAAAATAGGTATAGAAGAAACTTACCTCAACACTATAAAGGCTGTATATGAAAAACCTGTATCTAATATAATAATCAATGGGGAAAAATGAAAGCTTTTTCTTTAATATCTGGAACAAGACAAGGATGCCTACTCTCACCACTCCTATTCAACATAGTACTGGAAGTCCTAGCCAGAGAAATCAGGCAAGAGAAATAAAAGGCATCAAAATTGAAAGGAAAGATGTAGTTATCTCTGTTAACAGAAGACATGATTATTATACATTGAAAACTCTAAAGACTCCACAGAAAATGGTTAGAAATAATTGGTTAGAAATAATACAGTCAGTCTTTCATATCTGCCAGGGATTTGTTTCAGGACCCCCTCAGATAACAAAATCTGTGATGATCAACTCCCTCATGTAAAATCATGTACAGTTGGCCCTGTGTATCCATGGGTCCACATCTGTGGATTCAAACCACCACAGATGGAAAATATGTACAAGTTTGGTTCATGGTTGGTTGAGTTCATGGTTGCAGAACCCATGAATATGAAGGACTGACTATATAATAAATTTATTAAAGTTGTAGGATATACAATAGACATACAAAAATCATTGCTATTTCTAAACACTAACAATGAATTGTCTGAAAGGGAAATTTAAAAAACAATATCAAATAAACTACTTTGGAATTAACTAACCAAAGAAGTGAAAGACTTAAACACTACAAATTACAAAAGATTGATGATGGAAATTTGAAGTAAATTGAAAGACAACCCATGGATTGAAAGAGTGAGTACTGTATTATTAAAGTGTCCATATTACTCAAAGCAATCTACACATTTAATGTAATCCATATCAAAATCCCAATGGTGTCTCTCGCAGAAATAGAAAAAATAATCCTAAAATTCATATAGAATCACAAAAAACCCTGAGTAGCCAAAGCAATTTTGAGCAAGAACAAAGCTACAGGTATCACACTTCCTGACTTCAAATTAAATTACAAAGCTGTAGAAAGGAAAACACTGTGGTACTGGCATAAAAACAGACACATAAACCAGTGGAACAAAATAGAGAACCTAGGTATAACCCACACATTTGCAGCAATTGATCACCCTGGAGGGTGACAAGGAGACACAATAGGGGGAGGATATGCTCTTGAACAAATGGTGTTAGGAAAGCTGGATGTCCACATGCAAAACAATGAAATCGGATCCCTAGCTCACATCATACATAAAAATTAACTCAAAATGGATTAAACATTTAAATGCAATACCTGAAACCATAAAACTCCTAGAAGAAGACAGGAGAAAACATTCTTGACATTGGTCTTGGCAATAATTTGTTTAGATATGATGCCAAAAGCACAGGCAACAAAGGCAAAATAGGTAAATGAATTACATCAAACTAAAAAGCTTCTGCACAGCAAAGAAAACAACTAATGAAATGATAAGGCAACCTATGAAATGGGGAAAAAGTTTGTAAACCATATCTCTTATAAGGAGTTCAAAAAATAAGGACACATACACATCAATTCCAAAATTACAAATAACCTAATTTTATTTTAAGGCAAAGAATCTAAATAAATATATCTCAAAAGAAGGAATTCAAATGGCTAACAGGTATATGAAAATGTGCTCAACATCTCTAAACTTCAGAGAAATGCAAATCAAAACCACAATGAGATATCAGGTCACACCTGTCAAAATGGCTATTATCAAAAAGGCCAAAGATAAGTGTTGGTGAGAATGTGGAGAAAAGGAAACCCTTATACACTATTGATGGGAATGCAAATTAGTAAAACACAGAAAACAGTATTGAGGTTCCTCCAAAGAAAATTGAAACTAGCACTGGCCTGGTGTGGTGGCTCACACCTGTAACCCCAGGATTTGGGGAAGCTAAGGCAGGAGTCCAGGAGCTCCAGACCAGCCTGGGTAACATAGCAAGACCCCATCTCTGAAAAAATTTAAAATTAGCCAGACATGGTGTTGTACACCTGTAGTCCCAGCTACTTGGGAGGCTGAGGTAGGAGGATCCCTTGAGCCCAGGAGTTCAAGGCTGCAGTGAGCTATGATCTTGCCACTGGACTTTACCCTGGATGACAGAGTGAGACCCCATTTCAAAAATAAAAAAAAGAACTGCCACAATCCAATAATTTCACTTCTGGATATATGTCCAATGAAATTGACATAAGAGTCTTAGAGAGGTGTCTGTCATCCCCTGTTCATTGCAGCATGACACACAATGACCAAAATATGAAAATAACCTAAATGTCCTTTGGCAGAGGAACAGATGAATGGGTAAAGAAAATGTGGCATGTATATATAAAATGAAATATTATCCGACCTTAAAAAAGAAGGAAATCCTTCTATTTGTGAAAACATGGATGGAGCTGGAAGATATTGCACCAAGCAAAAATGCAAGACACAGAGAAAAATACTTCATGATCTCACTTACATGAGGAATCTACAACAGTCAAATTCATAAAAACAGAGAATAGGACAGTGGTTGCCAGGGGCTCAGGGAGGGGAAACGGGGTGATGTTGGTTAAATTGTACAAAGTTCAAGTTATAATAATTTCTGGAGATATAATGTACAACATGGAACAACACTGTGTCATATTCTTGTGTTCTGCTAAAGGACTAGATCATAAATTAATTACTGTCAACACACACAATGGTAAATATGTAGAGATAATAAATATGCTAATTTGCTTGATTGTGGTGATCATTTCAAAAAGTATAAAATATCAAAACATTAAGTTACCTTAAATTTACACAATTTTTATATGTCATGTTATCATCATAAAGCTGTTAAGAAATATTTAGTAAATAATGTCTACAACCTGGGAACTTTCTCATGACAGGGAGGGCTAGAGTAGGAAAATGGAATTTTGCAACAAGGATAGGGTGAGGGACATGGGAAATGATTGATCAAGTATTTAAGAAATGACCTGGGTGGAAGCTACATCAGAGAGTATGAGCTTTAGAGCATCTGTCCTCAAATTTTTGGTTTCAGGACCACTTTACATTTAAAAGTTATTGAGGACCCCAAAGAGCTTTTATTTACTTGGATTATATCTATCTATATTTATCATATTAAACATTAAAGCTGAGAAATTAAAAAAATATACTTATATGTTTACATAAATCACATTTTTATTTAAAGTTATCATTTTTAAACAGTAAAGTTGGTGAGAACATTGACATTGTTTTATATTTTTAAGTATGTCTTTAATGTCTGGTTTAATAGAAGAAAACTTCGTTCTCCTTTCTGCTTCTACATTTAATTTCTTGTGACATCCCACGTCAGGTAGCCTCTGGGAAACTCCAATTATACTTGTGAGAGAATGAAATTGGAAAAGGTCAACAAAACCTGTGTATTTTTATGAAAAGAGTTTTGACCTTGCAGAGCCCCTGGAAGGGACCCAGGGACTTCTCAGGGTTCTCTGGCTCATGTGTTCACAGAGTAGAGGGTAAGTCCACAAGAGAAGGCAGTGATTGGCTGTGGGAGGTCTTGCTGAGTGGTGGTAGAGAAGAGGTTGGATGTGTAGAAAGTATGGTCATTGTTGTCATTTCTTTTCCCTTTCCTTTGGCTTCTTGTCGCTGGGATTTCCTCTTTAGCTGCCTAATGAAAGTTTTTGTTTTGTCTTTCTGAGTCTTGATACATTTCAAGAAGTCTTCTATCTCATTTATTTTTCCACCCAAATTTGGAATTTAGGAAGAGTCCATATAGCTATATTTAGATAATTTATCTCCCTGAAGACATTTTGGGATCATTTATAAATCTCTGTAAGCAATGCTCTGATGTCCCTTTATTTTGCTTAGAGACTGGGTCTTGCCGTGTTGTCTGGACTGGAGTGGCTCGATCGTAGCTCACAATACGCAGTACAATCAAACTCCTGGTCTCAAAGCGATCCTGCCACTCAGCCTCCACAGTAGCTAGGTCTGCAGGTGTGTGCCAGCACGCCTAGCTTTTTATTACTATTATTATTATTTCATTATGCTGCCCAGGCTGGTCTTCCAACTCCTGGCCTCAAGTGATCCTCCTGCCTTCTGCCTTCTGAAGAGCTGAGATTACAGCTGTAAGCCACCATGCTGGTCCCGATGTCATTTAAATACAAACAAGATACTATATTCCTTGTAGGAAGTGCTACATAAACATAATTTTTTTGAGCTAGGGTCTTGCCGTGTCACCCAGGCTGGAATGCAGTGGTATGATCACACTCACTGCAGCCTTGACCTCCAGGGCTTAAGCGATCCTCCCACCTCAGCCTTCCAAGTAGCTGGGACCTGAGGTGTGAGCCACCAAGCCCAGCGAATTTTTCAAATTTTTGGTAAAGATGGGTGTGTCATTGTGTTGCCCAGGCTGGTCTTGAACTCTTGGGCTCAAGTTACCCTCCTCCCAGGTCTCCCAAAAGTGCTGGGATTAAGCACCCGGCCCTAAAATTTCATTCACTTTCTTTGTTTGTCCACAAGGTGGTGTTGTTTCCCCACAAGGTGGTGCTGTTTCCCTTCTAATAACATGAGACAGCTCACTCAAGAACATCAAGAACACGACATTCTCTAAAAAATATCACAGTAGTTCCTTTTCCATAACTATTAAGTTTTCAAGGTGTTATCAGGTTTATCTCATAGAAAGAATGTGTAAAATTTTTCATGTACAAACATAATCTTTTAGCAATGAGTTAAAAAATTTGGCATTGTCTGAATGAAGATTTCCTTTTTCCTATAATTTTATTTATTATAATTATATTTTTAGTGATATCAATTGCTTTATAAAAACTCATTACCGAATGACTGTGAAATCGTCTGCTTTGAAGCACAGTGAAATCAGTCAGCATACTGGGTCTAACACGGTTCCTTCCATTTTAAGAAAGCTATTTACACTCCAATTTGCAAGTTGGACTTTACAAAAATTAAAACATTTATAAAATATACTAACTATGATTGTTTTAAAAAGTAATGGTTTTTTTATGGTAAGGAAATAAATTGAAGCTCTGTGTTGGAAAGTGCAGAAAACAAATCAGCATTCTTTATAAATAGATTTTACTGCTGGTTTAGAAATTACCTTATGTGCTTTATAGATGATGGAAAAATGAAATCAGCTGCAGTTAGCACTGTGCATGCGTCGTATTTGCTGTGTCACTTTTAGAAAGATTATGGAATATTGGCAGGTCAGGATTCTCAAAATGATCAGTTCTAAGAAGAGGCTAAATGAAAAAGAATTTAAAAGCAAGCCTAGTTGTTTAATATATACATGGATGAGTTAAGGGGAAATCCTGGACTGGGAGCTAGCAGATCTATGTTCTGACTTTTACTAAGTCATTGGCTGCTACAGCAGGCCGAGCAGACATAACTGCCAAGGCTGCCTGGGAGTTGGGTTGACTGGCAATTGGCACAGGGAGGGAGGGCAATTGCCAGAGTAATGGCCAAATATTCAGGGTTTCATGTTCAGTGAAGTAGGGCATGCATTTATATCCCAAAGGCAAAACTGACGCTAGAATCAGGCCTTCTGGCTGAATCTGAGTCCACAGTCTGATGGGTAGGATGAAGTAGTCTCAGAAATCCAAGCCAGCCAGAACCCATGAGGTGTGCTCTGCAGATATTGGCTGGCAAGCTGCATTAAGATGTTTCATTCCATTGAGCAAACATTCCTTGATTGATTAGGTTAGCATCCCACAGGAGCAGAGACAAATTCTTCAGAATTTGTCCATGAAGCTGTAGTCCCAGAGCTTATATTTCAAGGGCAGAAGGAGGAAACAGCATTTCAGGATGGTAGGTGATTACAGCTAAACCGAATTCTGAAAATAAAAGGAACCCTATGTCTTTGTCTGCTCAGGCTGCTGTTACAAACAACTGTAGACTGAGTGGCTTAAACAGCACATACTTGTTTCTCACAGTTCTGAGAAATCAAAGATTAAAATCTGGGCCAGCAGAGCCAGTGTCTGGTGAAGGCCTTCTTACTGGTTTGCAGGTGTTCTTGTTGTATCTTCACATGGCTGAGAGAAGAGGGCTCTAGTCTCCTTCTCTTCTTATTAGGATGCTAACCCCATCGTGGGAACTCCATCCTCATCAAAACCAAATTACTTCCCAAAGGTCCTCCTTCTAATGCCATTCTATTGTTAGAGTTTCAACATGTGCATTTGTTGATGCAAACATGCAGTCCACAGCATCTTATCTAATCAAATCAGTTGCCCCTTGAATAAAATTCTAGCTCCTATAACAAGACTTAAAATTATGACTTGGTTGTTGCCAAAACGGTCTATCTGGATTTGCTAGAAACCAAGCATATTTGAATATTTCCTCTAAAGATTTTCTCATTCCTACCCTATTATGTATATTTACAGAATTCTTAAATAATTATATACACAAGGCTTCTATTAGCTCTGACTAGAGCTTCTATTAGCTTTGACTATTGCAAGCAGCTTTATAGCACTGTAGGTAAAGCATGTGCTTTGAAATCATACAATAAAATTTATTACATGCTAAGCACTTTATATTCATTATTTAATTTTATCATCTTAATCACCTTCATTATTACCTCCATTAAACCCTATTTGTTGGCTACCTATATTATTCTGATTTTGCAAAACTAAATTTGAGAGCCTTTCCCAATGTCACATAAGTTAATAACTGGCATAGCTGGGGCTTGAATTAAAGTCTACCTGATTCCAAGATCTATTTACCATTGTTCTACAATATGTACTTTTTAGGTCCCTGAGAAGGCTAACAGCCTTTCTTTTGAAATCTGCCTTCTTCCTGGATAGCAGCTTTATTAATATGTGATTAGGGCACCATATTTCAGGCAACAAATTCTTTGAAATCTTTCATTTCCATAGTGAGATAAGGATCAGTTCTGTGGCATTGTCTGCCAGAAAACATCATTTGGAGACTATCTTGTACAAGAAGTAGAAGACACAGCTGGGGGCCTGTGGAGGACAGAAAGCTCACAGCTTCTGTCCATACCCCTTTCACTTCCTCCTCAAGGAGATGGACCTCTGTGGTTGGTCAAGCTTAAGGATCTTTTATGGGCCACAGCTAATGGTGAAATCTTCCTAACTGTAGGTGAAGATTTATGGGCAAGTTGGAGAGTTAAGGTAGCTTGTGGCTGCTCCTTTTAGAAGAAAGTCTGATCATTGCTCTCTTATTTGTGGAACCCCTATGCTTGGTAAGACATGCCTGAAGACCAATCCTGTGTCAGTAGACTTCATATCTACTCTCTTCTACCAATCACACAACTACAGACAAATAAGAAAAATAAAACAAAGCTCAGACACACTCCCCTGGCATGGAGGTCACTCTCTGGCTGGCTGCTTTTCTCTACCCTGGTGCCTCCTGGGTGTTCGGCTCTTTCTTAGACCAAATTGAGACATGGGTTTGGGATTAAAGAGAAGTAAGTGAGAGGGGTCTCTGGCCTGTTTTGGCATTAGACCAAGTAAATAACAGAGTTCTTCTGCCTTAAGCTCAGCTCTGTAGAGCTTTCTCTGTGTTTGGGGAAAATCTCCAGATAGTAATGAAGTGGTATTTTACTGTGCTTCATTTTCTGTACATATATCTCTTTCTTAGGTATCTTGTGGGGAGATTGGTTCCCTGGACAAATACCATCTTAATCACTTTCATTATTACCAATTTTATTTTATTTGCAGAATTAAAATTTAAATGGACATTCAGGAAACAAGTCTGGTGAGAGAATTATGTTATGAGGTAAATCTTTCAGCATCTGCCTTAGGGACATGGATTATTTTCCCCCTTGTTTTTCACCAAGCTCCAGGCTTGCAAAAGAATCGTGATGTGGTCTGAGGCAAACTTACTGATTGGCTAGTGGTAAGTTAAACCGTGGCCTGTAGGACCGCGGGGAACCATTGCCTGTCATCGGCCAGAATCCACTGTTTGGAGGTGTGCGCTGGGAAGGCCATTCATACTTACTGATACATGCTTTGTTCTTGGCACTGTGTTAAGTACTGGACACATGCAACAATTTGGAATATTGTTACATTCAACCCTCACAATAGTCTGATGTATATGTTATTAGTCCCGTATTGGAGACGAGTAAACAAGATTAGAGGAAGAGCAGCACACAGCTGGAACCACACAGGTGGCACTGGGATTGGAAGCAGTTCTGTCTCACCCTGGACCACCATTTCTATGCTGTGTCTCCACTAGAGGATCCTTTCTTTGGTTCTTCTAAGTCATTAGTCATCAATAATTTATCTCCAAACTGTAGGTTTCACAGGAGGAGATGCCACTTGAAGCTGCATGGCTAAAAATGGAGATGGAATGTGGAACATGGTGGGAAACACTGGGAGGGGTTTATTGATAAACTTCAAGTACTTTGTGGGGCTCTGAAAGGCTGTCTTCAAATTCTTTGTCCTACTACCTCTTTCATATTAGTTCAAATGTCATATGGGTATATCTTTTGGGTTAAATTAAGGAAAATCTCCATGATAAGTAAAAAACAAACAAAAAAACCCCAAAAGAATAGAAAGAGGTACTACGAAAAATCAACTCAGATTTCTCAGTTTTGTTAACTCAAAGAAGCCTTGGTCCAGTTGGAAGAAGACAGAATTGATTTTGACAATCTCTAGCAAACCCTTTAGCGTTCAATGCACTCTAGACCATGAGTATAAAGAAGTTCACTTAATGGGTTCACCAAATTAGTTAGTTTGTGTAGTTCAAAGGGAAACAGACACACAGGACTGTGAGGCTTTGACAGGGGTGAAAGGCAAGTGTGGGTCCAGTGAGCCCAGGCAGGCCATGAAGGGGCAGGGCAGGAGGAGGACGGTGCTGGGAGGCTAGGGAACTGGCCACCTCCGTGCTGGCTGAAGATCACAAAAATGAACACAGCTTTCTCCAAACGCTGCCCATGCCTGATGGAATTAAACAGAGCTCTGAGAAAGACAGCACCGGGGCCGAGGATGGGTCCTGAGCTGCCTACACTCATCAATATCTTGGCCAGTGGCTATGCCCTCAGGGGCAATTTGCCTAGCTTTCTTGATCCACACCAGAAAACTCGCTTTTGAAGTGGTTTGGAAAGCTCCAAAAGGGATGTGCTTCATGCTATTGGTATTGCTGCCAAAAAGAAAAGATTCTGCTTTTCATCAGCTGTTGATTTTTTCTCTGTGTATTTCTCTAGCATCTATTGCTGGTGGCCCTGGTTATGCTAACAAGCAGATAGTGTAGCTGCAGCAGCAGAACAGAAAAGACTCTCCTGGATTCTCAATTCCAGGCTGGCCTGGGAACAGGCTTAGGGATGTTTCGATGCTTGAATGCAGGCAGGCTGGAGATCTGTGGCAATTCTTTTGACATGAGGCTGGACATTCTTTATAGCTTCCCCAGACACAGAAATTGGCAGGGCTTGACAAAGAATCACTGGCAGGAAGTTCATTTTCTTTATTGCTACCTCCCCAGCCATAAAACTAAAAGCTTTTTACCTAAATCACGTTAGCCATCTCGTGGGAGTAGGAGATCATTTTCTTCAGAGTCTTTCCCAATTGGAGTCTAGTCCTAGGATGGTTTGAACAGTCCATTTGAATTTGAAGAGCTTTCTAATTGATGCTTCTCATCCCCTCTCCAACCAGTCCTATTTGGTGTCATCTGCCTTTCCCCTTCCTCCCTACCAAACCTCAGAGTCTTGAAACAAAAATCTTTGTATTGTAAACTTCATCATGCTAATTTCATCACTTCAAACGAACCTTCTCTTGTTTGAGTTTCCTCCAACTGTGTGACTTAGGGCTGTTGAACTCTTTCAAATACACAGGAAAATGGAAACCTCTTTTGGTGTCTAGTGATCGTATAATAAAACATTTTCAGATGCTAATCACGTGCTTTGTTAATGAATGAAAATCTAAGGATATTCTTATTTGAAAGGTTTAAAAATAT
Organism: Homo sapiens; assembly: GCF_000001405.40. NCBI lineage: Eukaryota > Metazoa > Chordata > Mammalia > Primates > Hominidae > Homo > Homo sapiens. The sequence continues at coordinate 189,899,221 of NC_000004.12, read as the reverse complement.
AATAACTGTCATTATATCTAATTCTGTCTACATTTGTGGTGTGAAATGAGAAGTCAGGAGCCCTGCCATCTACACAGTGCATGGTTCTACCAGCCGTTTCTGTGTCACTTCAAGCAAATCACTTCTTTTCTGCCTTTTCTTTCTTTTTATGTAAAATGTGGATAACTGTCTGTCTCACTGAATTCACAGAGTGACTGTATCATGTACAACAAAATTTATTGAAAAGTGTAAAGCTCTATAATTAGGTAGAATGTTACCTGTCATTTATAAGCTTTTTAAATCCTGGGGCGGTGGAGGAAGTATTCTTCTTACTGTAAAAGGACATCCCTCTAATAATCTCCCTTCTTTTCCTGACTTTTCAGGGATTCTGTTCATTGCTTTTCCATTTGTCAACTGCATCTTCAATCTCTCTCCTCCTTGATGCCTTCTGTCAGCATTTAAATATAAATTTTTCATTTAAAAAAATCTTCTATCTTGGAGAAACCTTACCTTTGACTCTCTATGTCTTTCTAGCTATCAAGCCATCTCCTCCTTTCTTGGCAAATTTTCCTCAAGGATTTTCCACACTTACTGTCTCCTTTTGCTCCTTTTCCTTTCACTCTTTATTCAGGTCAGTTTGGCTTTCACTTTCACCAAGCCTGTTAAACTGCTTGTGCTAAGGTCACCATATAAGAGTGCTAGGGGCTTCCATCACAAGCTGCCACAGATTGAGTGGTTTATCTTCTCACAGCTCTGAAGACTGGAAATCCAGGATGGAATGTCAGCAGGTTTGCCTTCTTCTGAGAACTGCTGCCTTGCAGACGGCTCCCTTCCTGCTGTGTCCTCAGGCTGTGTTGCCTGTGTCTCAATCTCTTTTTAGATGGACACCTGCCATATTGGTTTAGGGTCCACCCATACGGCTTCATTTGACCTCACTTACCTCTTTGAAGGCCTTCTCTAAATCAGTCCCCTCTGAGGCAGTGGGGATCAGCTCTTCAACATAGGAATCTTGGGGGACACAATTCAGTGCCCCCAGAATTGGTGATTCATAAACATCATGAACACTATTCCTCTTTCTCCCTTTCTTTCTCTTTCTTTCTTTCTTTCTTTCTTTTTCTTTCTCTTTCTTTCTTTCTTTCTTTCTTTCTTTTCTTTTCTTTCTTTCTTTCCTTTCTTTCTTTTCTTTCTTTCTCTTTCTTTCCTTCCTTCCTTCTTTCCTTTCTCTTTCTTTCTTTCTTTCTCTCTCTTTCTTTCTCTCTCTTCCCCCTTCCTTCCTTCCTTTCTTCCTTCCTTCCTTCCCTCCCTTTCATTTATTTTCCTTTCCTTTCCTTTCTTTCCTTTCCTTTCCTCGCTCTCCCTTCCTTCTTTCCTTCCCTTTCCTCACTCTCCCTTCCTTCTTTCCTTCCCTTCCCTTTCCTTTCCTTTCCTCGCTCTCCCTTCCTTCTTTCTTTCCTTCCTTCCTTTCTTCCTTCCTTCTTTCCTTCCTTCCATCCTTCCTTCCTTCCTTCTCCTTCTCCCTTCCTGCCTTCTATTTATTTACTTTTGTTTATATAAAATTTACGGGATACAGGTGCAGTTTTGTTCCGTGCATAGTGGTCAGTTCAAAGCTATTAGGGTATCCATCACCCAAGTAACATATATTGTACATATTATGTAATATATAAGTCCAATGGCGTCTCAGAAACATTCAGTAGAGTAGACCCCTGATCTCTTCCTCTAGCTTGAACTATTTTCTTATCAGCTCCTGCCTCTTTGCCCAAACTTTAAATGTTGAAGTTCCTAAATCCTGGGTCCTCTTCTGTTCTTATTCCATACTAAGCTTGTCCAACCTGTGGCCTGTGGGCCACGTGTGGCCCAGGACAGCTTTGAATGCAGCCCAACACAAATTTGTAAACATTCGTCAAGCATTATAGATTTTTTTATGTTTTTTTTTTTAGCTCATCAGCTATTGTTAATGTTAGTATATTTTATGTGTGGCCCAAGACAATTCTTCTTCCAGTGCAGCCCAGGGAAGCCAAAAGATTGGACGCCCGTGCCTACACAGACTCTAGACAAGGTTTTATTAATTCCTATGGCTTTAGATACTGTTTATATGCATATGGCTCCTACAGAGCTCTCCTCCCAAGCTCCAAAACATTATGTGCACCTGCCATCTTGAAATCTCCACTGGGATTTTCATAGGCATTCCTAAAATCAGAATTCAAAACTCTTGAGTTCTGCCCCCAAATCTATGCCACTTCCTCAATCATTTCCCTTTTGTTAGTTTATTTCTTCTTCAGCCTTACCATTCTTCGTAAAAATTATCTCCATTTACCCATTTGCTTCTTCCAGAAAGCATCATCATCCTTGATGCTTTCTTCTTCCTGCCACCCCCCTACCATCACAACTTGCAACCAAGTCCTGTTATTTCACCTTCAAAATATGTGCTAAAATTATCCACTTCTGTCATCCGCATGTTTCACCTGGTCTGCAAACATATACTCCTCTTTCCAACTTTTTGCCTCTCCAATACCTTCTCTATGGCACACCCAGAGAGGTTCATCAAAAATTTCAATTAGATCATGTCTCTCCTTCATTTAAAAATCTTTAATGATTTTCTACCCATGAAGTAATTCTGCTAGACCACAAGCTCTAAAGATGCAAGGAGTAGGTTTGCCTTATTTGTTTCTGTTTATGCAGAGCCTAGCCTTGCATTTAGTAGGAACTTAACACATTGACCTAGATCTTGTCCACCTTCTCAGCCTCACCTCTCATGGCAGCACTCATAGACCTCAGTCCAGTTACTCTTTTCTCAGATCCCTGAGCTGGCCTGGTCCAGGGCTGCCTGGGCCGTGATGCGTTCACTCCTGCTTTGTTGGCTGGTATCTGCTTATATTCTTGCTACTGTAACTGATGTCCAAGGCAGTCACATAGGCATCCCTGGGAGCTTGCTAGAGCTCAGGCACCACCCTAGATCCAATGAATCAGAATCTGCATGTTGACAAGGTCCCCAGGTGGTTCCTATGCACATTCAAGTTTACGGTGCTTTGCTCTAGATCCCAGCCTGAGGGTTAGTTCTTTAAAGAGACCTTTCCCAACTGGCCAAATCGTATTAGGTCATGTGTTGGATTCACCCACACAGTCTGTGATACAGAAGGGAAAAGGAGTTGAGGCCTATTGATCAGAAGCTGCTCACTTTAGAGTTTTACCTAAGGGTAATTATATCAAAATTCTGTATTTTGTAGAGAAGCATACAAACTATGTGAATAGTTTGAGCAAATTGAAAATTGCCAGTTTTGTTTGCTTTAACCAATATGTTTGCTTTCCCTCTGAAAATCCCTTGTTATGGGTCCTTAGTTTTAGTTTGCCACATTATGACACGATGGGAATAATGCACAGCAGTGATCCTCAGTTGGTTTGGGTTTTCAATACACAATTGATCCATGGTTGTGGCATGCATTGTAGAATGTCCAGCTAGAACACCTATTCTTTCAATTACTTTCATTACTTTCAATGGCAAAACCACAATTACTTTTGCACTAACCTGATAGTTTTGCTACGAGTCAATTGTTCAGGTGTTTTTTTGTTGTTGTTTGTTTTTATTTTTGCAAATACTTTAGATACTGCATAGTGGATGGATTAGTCTGTGGTTCCTGGGATCTTCTGTGTATTCTGTTGAAGCTCAATAATCACATTACTGCGGACCTCCAAAATTTTACAAAGGACTGCATAGTGAGTATTCAGCCGATAAACTAAACCATAGCTTATTACTGTGAGATGAAAGAAAGCACACCAATTAAAAGTAAACACTGTTTAAACTTATCTCAATGCATTTCTAAAGTGTCATACATTTATTATATTCTCTACTTGTAAATATTTTGTTGTGTGTATTGCCAAATATGTCAGGATTTTATGGGTATAATGTATTCTATTAATTTAACTGGAAAACTTGTAGTTATTCAACAAGCAAACAAAGTGTTGGCAGAGATGTAATTTTAAAGCACAATCCCACACACTCCTTGAGTATTACAGCTGCTCCCTGTTTATTTAATAATAGAACTGATGAGTAGTTAATTTGAGAGGAAAGCTGGTGCAGGTGTAGTGCTATTTAGATGTCATGGAGGACACATGTGACCTCTGCAGCTAGCTATATGGTAAAAGCAAAACAGAAGTTAAAATCAGCCCTATGTCAAATCTGCATAGTTTTAGGCTTCAGGGAGTTTCTCTGTATGTTGAGGCAGGAAGTTTAGTAGAATTCCAAGGGAATAAGAGAGGAACCAACATTTGTAAATTTTGCCTTCTATGGGGGAACTCATTCAATCATCAGGAGGACTCTTCGATAGGTTTTATTTGCTCTGGTTTACCTAGATGAAAAATTGAGACCCAGAATCCATGCTTTTCTTTGCTGGTTACACATTAGAATCACCAATGTGACATTAAAACACACACACACACACACACACACACACACACACACACCTGCACACCCATTAAGATGGCTGCTATCAAAAAAGAAAAAACAAAAAAATCAGGGGCTGGGCATGCTGGTTCACACCTGTAATCCCAGCCCTTTGGGAGGCCTAGGCAGGTGGATCACCTGAGGTCGGGAGTTTGACAGCAACCTGGCCAACATGGTGAAACCTCATCTGTACCAAAAAACAAAACAAAACAAAACACACACACACACAATTAGTCGGGCATGGTGGCACACATGTGTAATCCCAGCTAATTGAGAGGCTGAGGCACGAGAATCGCTTGAACCTGGGAGGCACAGGTTGCAGTGAGCCGAGATCACGCCACTGCACTCCAGCCTGCAGACAGAAGGAGATTTGGCCTCAAAACAAAGCAAAAACACCCAGAAAATAACAAGTGCTGACAAGGATGTGGAAAAATTGTAACTCTTGTGCATTGAGGGTGGGTATGAAAAATAGTACATCAGCTGTGGAAAACATATGGTTCCTCAAAAATTTAGACATAGAATTACCATATGATTCAGTAATCCCACTCATATCTGTAAATCTCTATATCTGTATCTATATCTACCTATACCTATCTTCAAAAGAATGGAAAGCAGTTACTCAAATAGATACTTGTACACCTGTGTTCTCTCCGTACCCTTTTTTTTTTTAATAGATGGGGTCTCACTATGTTTCCTAGGCCGGAGTGCAGGGGCTGTTTATAGGCATGATCCCCTGCTGCGGGGCTGTCCACGGGCGCGAGCCCCGCCCCCCCGCCCCGCGCTGCAGGCCTGTCCACGGGCACGAGCCCCCTGCTGCGGGGCTGTCCACGGGTGCGACAACCCCGCCTCCCCCCCACCCCCTCTGCAGGGCTGTCCACGGGCGCGACCCCCCTGTTGGCCGGTTCGCCACTCCTTAGGCAACCTGGTAGTCCCCTATCCCGGGAGGTCACTGTACTAATGTCTAATTTCATGCAGACATCTGATCAACACAGCACACTGCAGCCCAGAACTCCTGGGCTCAAGGGATCTTCCTGCCTCAGAAGCCTGAGTAGCAGGAACTACAGGCGCATGCCACCACACCTGGCTGCTACACCTGTGTTCATTGCAGCATCACAGCAGCCTTATTTACAGCAACCACAAGGTGGAAACAACCTAAAAAGTCTATTGAGGGATAGATGGATAAACAAAATGTGGTATAGACATAAAATGGAATATTAGTGATCTTTGAAAAGGGAGGAAATTCTGATACTTGCTACCACATAGATAAAACTTAAAAACATTATGCTAAGTGAGACATCAGACACAGACTACGTGATTCCATCTATATGAAGAACCTGGAACAGGCAAATTAACAGAGACAGAAAGTAGAATAGAGGTTTTCAGGGCTGGCAGGAGGTTAGTGTCTAATGGGCACAGAGTTCCTGTCTGGGATGATAGAATGTTCTGGAAATGGATAGTGGTGATGATTGCACAGCATTGTGAATGTAGCTAACGACATTGAATTCTTTACCAGAAAACAAAACAAAAACAGAAACACATTGCTTAGGCTTCCCAGTTGGACAGGTGACGTGCTTGGTGCAAGCTGGGGCCTGAGTCCAGGCTGCCCTTGCCAGAGCTGCTTCAAGATCCCTCTTGATTGTCCTTAGGCCTGATTGCTCTGGAGAGCCCCATACATGAAAGCCAGCTCTTGTTCTATCTCTTCTCACTCCAGTCCTCTCTGCCCCCACCGTCCCCCAGCTGGGCATTATGAGAAAAGCAAGATGACTATGAGTATTGTGATTATTTATATGAACAAATAATCTCAAGGACTATTGCTAACTAACCCATGGGACTCCCACTACCTTCATGAGGTTTGGACGAGGTGAAGGATCCCTAAAATCCTGCCACCTAGTCAGGAACTCAGTTGTCAATAATTTCTTTATTTGTGATACAAGCAGGGGTGGGGAAAGAGAAATGAACAGACTTGGAAGCTTCTCCGAGGCCTTAGAGAAGACCTCTGGGCTCCAAACACCAGATGCCGGGAGCAAGGAGGGTAGTTGATGACTCCCCACTCTTTCTCCAGCCCCTGCTCCTCTGTTTCTCCCCTTCACCCACTGCAGCTTCCTTAGGTCATGGGTCCTGTGCCGCCATCTCTTTGAATCACGTCCCTTCTATCCCCGTTAATAAAGGAGCATCAGCTAAGTGAACATGGTGATTCACATTCACTTACATTGATTCAGAAATTGTGTTTAGTTCCACACAAGAAAAAGAATGTGGATCTTTTTCACTGGGGAAAAAAAAAGTCGCTACGTATCATCTTAATCATGTTTTCCAGGGATATAATCAATACATGACGCCTATTTAAGCCTTCATTGCATCTGTGCACGTGGTTTGCTTTCCTCTCATGTGAAATAGCGTTGGACCACATGGGTTTGGGTCACAGCCCAGGAAGACACAATCCTGAACGTCATAATCCCAAATGTTGAAGTCCCAAAAGATCTAAATCTGTACAGTCTAAAATCCTGAAAATTACAATCCTCAAAAAACAAAATTCTGAAAATACAATTCTGGAAAAAAATTATTAACACATTCTTTAAAAAGCATTTATTGGGCAGGACGTGGTGGCTCACACCTTTAATCCCAGCACTTTTGGAGGCCAAAGCGGGTGGATCAAAAAGTCAGGAGATCGAGACCATCCTGGCCAACACGGTGAAACCCCATCTTTACTAAAAATACAAAAAATTAGCCAGGCATCGTGATGGGTGCCTGTAGTCCCAGCTACTTGGGAGGCTGAGGCAGGAGATTCACTTGAACCCAGGAGGTGGAGGTTACAGTGAGCTGAGATCGCACCACTGCACTCCAGCCTGGGTGACACAGTGAGACTCTGTCTAAAAACAACAAAAAAGCATTTATTTATATTTTTAAGATGGAATTTATTTGATAAACGTATAAAAACACAACAGAACACTTCCTAGGCTACTTTACACAATCAATAGGCAATAATAACATACATATATTTGCAAGCATAAAACTCAGGTATGCTAAAGAGCGTCTTATGGGTATAACAGTAATGAGCAGATGAGTTGTACTCGTAAAGAAATGGGTCAAAAAGCAAAATGTATAAAAGCATGGTTGGTAACTGGGTGCACTCAGCTTTATAACTTAGGTCATCTGGAATACTGTGACAGACAACCTAAGTCTTTTGACCAGATTCATCAAAAGCTGGGATGGGTCACCATCTAATATGCAGTCAAAGAGCTGAGATCTTGAGAAATTTTCTCTTTCCCAAATACAAATGTGCAAAAAGGATATCTTCTCATTTATTGAGGAAGCTTTAATGTTTTTATGTACAGGTACAATGCTTACACACAAAGTCAGTGTTGTGATAATGCACTCTTGTGGAGTCAAATTTGCAAAAATAAAAGCATAAAACAAATTAGAACTCTCTAAAAGTCTTTGCAAAATTTATACCTCCAGTATTGGAAATGATACTAAGATGAAATACATAGCATACCAAGTTGTAAAAAATGCTGACAATTTAAAATAGTGGAAAAAATGGAAAAAGAAACAACTAAAACGAAAATTGACATATAAAAAGTATATTACATGGATAGATTATGGGCAATTGCAGAGTTCATAATAGCTGGCTGACTCTCATTATCATTAACTGTATTTTGAAGTCTTTCATCATGATGCCTTTTTTGTTTTTAGGATTTGACTCTCCTCATAAAATATGTTCACATTCATTTTCTATGTGGCACTGCTCTTTTTGAAATTCTATAATTTGATACACACTGACATGAGCATTTCCTATTATATTTTCCAATCTTCTATGCCATTCTTGTCTATTGTTTTGAGTATGTGGAAATCCATTTTGCAGGCCCTCATATACAGGCCACTCATTTGGCAGAAACAATACTCTTGATTGAACAGCAACACCGTTGCCTGAATGACTTCTTATCCCACCTTGCACATCATTATTTTCAAACTAGTATGTAATTTTTCTGGCTTCTTCAGGCAATTGTGGTTTTAATTTATCAAAAGCTCCTGGAGTTTTATCAGGTGGAAGGAATGCCAATACAGACAAATGGCACATTTTAAAACTAAAATTTTCATCATTGCCATATGGCCTGGCCAATCCACTCACCTGAATTTTCTGGCAAATGAACTGGGCTGAATGGAAGATACAAACTTTACTGGTAACAACTTGCAATTCACTTTTAGAAGCCTTGATCACACCTAATTAAAAACTTGTCATTATAATTTGGGGATCTGATTGAAATCTATTTTCTTCTGCAAAGCCCTCCAAATCTTCAAATAAGCTTTTATAAAGTACTTCACTTTTTCCAGTTATTAAACCATAAACATGAAGATTAAATTATAGAATTTTGTAATTCATTGGGGGCATAAACTGTATAAAGTTGATTATAAAAACCCACTGGGGACAGTTTTGAAAGTGCCATTCATCAGCCAAAGTGAAAAATGCACCAGTTTTGTTATGTTAGACTTAGTGGTAAATAAATATGTTTATCTTTTTTGACAGTCAAATCCCTAATCAAGAATAGTTCATGATTTAATATGTCTTGTAGCACTGGAGGAAGCTCTGTGCCAGCAGGTGTCTGGTTCAGAAGGCCACTGAATTTGTTGAACTCTTTTTATTATCTGACAAAAGGCATTTTGTGAAGACAAGCATGGTGCTACGTGTAGAGGTGCTTGGTACATGATTACATAATTTGGCAGACAAGATTTTGTGCATTTTTTACTTTCATTTTCACTTCTGTGATATTCAAGACATTCAAAACATTGACAGCAGATCTTCCCCACCTAGTCCGCTCAGACCCACACACTGATCTCTTCTGAGAAAACCATCACAGACATACCCAAAATAATACTTTCCCAGCTTTCCAGGGATTCCTTAATCCAGTCAAGTTGACACCTGAAATTAAGTCTGCAAGTCCACCCCTTGTAGATTTGGCACCCATATGGACCCCCTTAAACCATACATAATTTCCAAATAAGAAGAAAACAAAGCAAGAGTTGTACCTAACATGATGCAACTAACGTGGTACAACTCTCCTGTGATTGTGATTTTCTGGATTTTAGATGTTAAGAATTTAGACTTTAGGACTGGGCATGGTAGCTCATGTCTGTATTCCCAACACTTTGGCAGGCCAAGTCAGGAGGGTCACTTGAGCCCAGGAGTTTGAAATCAGCCAGGGCAATAAAGTGAGACCCCATGATATGGTTTGGCTGTGTCCCCAACCAAATCTCATCTTGAATTGTAGTTCCCATAATCCTCACATATCATGATGGGGACCCAGTGGGAGGTAATTGAATCATGGAGGCAGTTACCCCCATGCTGTTCTCATGATAGTGAGTGAGTTCTCACAAGATCTGATGGTTTTATGAGGAGCTTTTCCCCCTTTGCTTGCACTTCTCCTTCCTGCCGCCTTGTGAAGAAGGTGACTTGCTTCTCCTTTGCATTCTGCCATGCTTGTAAGTTTCCTGAGGCCTCCCCAGCCATGATGAACTGTGAGTCAGTTAAACCTCTTTCCTTTATAAATTACCCAGCTTGGGTATGTCTTTATTAGCAGCATGAGAATGGACTGATACAGTAAATTGGCACTGAGGTAGTGGGGTGTTGCTATAAGGATACCTAAAAATGTGGAAGTGAATTTGGAACTGGGTAACAGGCAGAGTTTGAACAGTTTGGAGGGTTTGAAAGAAGACAGAAAAATGTGAGGAAGTTTGGAACTTCCTAGAGCCTTGCAGATTGGTTTTGAGGAAAATGCTGATAGTGACATGGACAATGAAGTCCAGGCTGAGGTGGTCTCATATGGAGATGAAGAACTTTTTGGGAACTGTAGTAAAGGTGACTCTTACTATGCAAAGAGACTGACGGCATTTTGCCCCTGCCCTAGAAGTCTGTGGAACTATGAACTTGAGATAGATGATTTAGGGTATCTGGCAGAAGAAATTCCTAAGTAGCAAAGTGTTCAAGAGGAAGCAGAGCATAAAGGTTTAAAAAATTTTGCAGCTTGATGATGAGACAGAAAAGGAAAACCCATTTTCTGGAGAGAAATTCAAGCCAGCTGTAGAAATTTGCATAAGTAACGAGGAGCTGAATGTTAATCACCAAGACAATGGGAAAATGTCTTCAGGGTATGTCAGAGACCTTCACAGTAGCTCAAGGCATCACAGGACAGGAGGCCTAGGAGGAAAAAATGGTTTCATGGGCCCGGTGCAGGGCCTTGCTGCTCTGTGCAGTCTCAGGACTTGGTGCCGTGTGTCCCAATCATGGCTAAAGGGCCAATGTACAACTCAGGCCATGGCTTCAGAGGGTACAAGCCCCAAGCCTTGGCAGCTTACACGAGGTGTTGGGCCTGTGGGTGCACAGAAGTCAAGAATTGAGGTTTGAGAATCTACGCCTAAATTTCAGAGGATGCATGGAAATGCCTGGGTGTTCAGGCACAAATTTGTGACGGGGACAGAGCCCTCATGGGGAACCTCTGCTAGGGCAATGTGTGCAGAAGGGAAATGTGGGCCCCCACACCATCCCCACTGGGGCACTGCCTAGTGGAGCTGAGAGAAGACGGCCACCATCCTCCAGACTCCAGAATGGTTGATCCACTGACAGCTTGCACCGTATGCCTGGAAAAGCCACAGACACTCAGCACCAGCCTGTGAAAGCAGCCAGGAGAAGGGCTGTACCCTGCAAATCAACAGGCACCCCTGTTGCCCAAGGCCATGAGAGCCCAACTCTTGCTTCGGCGTGACCTGGATGTGAGACATGAAGTCAAAGGAAATCATTTCAGAGCTTCAAGATTTGACTGACCCATTGAATTTTGGACTTGCATGGGGCCTGCAGTCCCTTCATTTTGGGCCAATTTCTCCCATCTGGAACAGGTGTATTTACCCAATGCCTATACCCTCATTGTATCTATGAAGTAACTAACTTGATTTTGATTTTACAGGCTCATAGGCAGAAGGGCCTTGCCTTGTCTAAGATAAGAATTTGGACTTGGACATTTGGGTTAATGCTGGAATGAGCTAAGACTTTGGGGGACTGTTAGAAAGGCATGATCATGTTTTAAAATGTAAGGACATGAGATTTGGAAGGGGCTGGGGGCAGAATGATATGGTTTGGCTGTGTTGCCAACCAAATCTCACCTTGAATTTTAGTTTCCATAATCCCTACATGTTGTGGGAGGAACCCAGTCGGAGGTAATTGAATCAGGGGGGTGGTTACCCCCATGCTGTTCTCATGACAGTGAGCAATACCTGAAGGTTTTACAAGGGGCTTTTCCCCTTTTGCTCAGCACCTCCTGCTGCCTTGTGAAAAAGTGCCTTGCTTCTTGTTTGCATTCACCATGATTGTAAGTTTTCTGAAGCCTTCCCAGCCATGCCAAACTGTGAGTCAATTAAACCTCTTTCTTTTATAAATTACCCAGGCTCATGTATGTCTTTATTGGGAGCACAAGAATGAACTAATTCACTCCATCTCTACTAAAAAGAAATGAATTTAGACCTTAGGAATTTTGATCTTTCAGGATTTCAACATTCAGGGTTATGGTGTTTGTGACTGGGTCTTCTGGGATTATGATCCTCACCTGGACTAAACAGCCTTGCAGCTCTCTTCAAACTATGATCCTATTCTCCCACTGCCTCCTGAGTTCAGCCTCTTTCTTCAACTTGGCTAAGCCTGCCTTTCCTTTCCTATCTGTCTGCTTTCTTCCCTCTGATTAATCCAAAGTAAAATTTGACTTTTTTTTTCACTCCAACAACTCCAGCTTCTATCACATATCTCCTTTCATGAAGCTGGCCCCTGATAATGTTTCCGTTGACAACAGTATAATATAGACAAGATTGCATATAGTTAAAGTACGTATTTTATTTATTTGGTGGCAGCATTCTGATAAGGAATTAAAACTATTTCTTTTAAAATCATAATTTAATCACCAGGCAGAGCAAGTAAAGAGAAATACATTCCAGAATCTCACATCTGTCAAAAGTAAATGCTGATTTTTATTGAGGACTTCCTTATTTCTGTTGCTAGTTGACTCTCATACAGCTTGTCCCCAACAGAATCTAGTGTGGAATTGGCAAATGGGATGTCATACATGCAGTGCTCTACTGGAGCTGATAATTAAGTACCCAGGAATTTTATGAAGTGTTTGTCAAACCATCAGTAGAAATATTTACACAATGGAAATCAGCAAATGCTACAAATCTGGGCTTCTCCCCACCCAACCAATAAGTTTACTAGCATACCACTTTTATTCGTCTTGTAAACATTCAGAATTTCTATAAATATTCATAGACTCTCCTATACTGAGTGTCTCAGAATAACTTGAAGTTCTTACAGTAGCCAGTGAGGCTGAGTGTGAGTTGACCCACCCCAGTCCCTCTCTCTGACTTGTCTCCTGTTAGCCTTCTGACTCCCAGTGTTCTCTACTTCATGCACCTGGGCTAGGTGTGCACCCTGCTGTTTGCCTGCCTTTTCTTCCTCGAGTGCTCTTCCCCAGATATCTGCATAGCTGGTGCCCTCGCCTCCTTGGAATCTTTGTTCAAATGTTGTCTTCTCAGTGAGACCTTCTATATGTTTTCTATGACTGCAGGAATAAATTAACACACCTCTAGTAGGCTAAGAGAACACACACTCTCTCTAGGGGAGAGAGACCACTTTCTTACCTTCTGCAGCTTTGAGAGGATGCCTGCATCCCTTGGCTCCTGGCCCCCTTCCAGGCAGCCACCACGTCATTCTGACCCTAGCTGTCACGCCTCTTGCCTCGGACTCTCCTGCCTCCCTCTTTTGCTTTTAAGTACTCTTGTGATGACATTGAGCCAACCTGGGTAATCCAGAATAATCTCCTCATCTCATGATCCATAACTTCATCACATCCACAAGTCCTTTTTGCCATATAGGGATATGGACATGTAGAAAGGCCATTCTTCTGCCTATTACTCCCTCCTTGAGCATTCTAACTACCTTCACATCTACCCACTCCCAGCATTCCTGAGCTCCCTTCCATGCTTAATTTTTCTCTGTACCACTTATTACCTTCTGGCATATTCTATATTTTACATATTTATTTTATTAATGATCTGTCTTTTCTCACTGGAATGTAATTTGCCTGAGGGTAAATATTTTTGTTTTATATCATTGCCATATTTTCATTATGTAGAACAGTGCCTTGCTCTTAGCAAGGATTCAAGAAATATATATGTTTTGGCTGAATAAATTAGGTTGAGAAGTTTGGGGGAAAATCCTGGCACGATACAGAAGACAGTTCCCAGTGATGGGAAAGGGCCATGTGGTGGGGCCTCTACAGGAAGCCGGGATGCTCCAGAGGCCCCCCAAGGCAGAGATGCTTTGCTCACATTTAACTCTTTGCCCAAGCTCTGATTTCTAATGTTTTCTTTCATATTTGTTTTTGCTCTGCCTTTTTTTTAATTAATTTTTTTTATAGAGATGAGGTTTTACTATATTTCTCAGGCTGGTATCAAACTCATGAGCTCAAGCAATTTTCCCACCTTGGCCTCCCAAAGCGTTATTACTACAGGTGCAAGCCACCATGCCCGGCCTGCTTTTCTCTTTCTTTGAAATATACTCACAATGTTTATATTGGTTTCTAACTACAGATCATGAACTCCTGAAGCAAAGTAACCACTTTGTTCTTCGTTATTTCTTTCACTCTTCTACTCTGCACGGTGCCAGATATTGGATATGTAGGTGCCAAACATTTGCTTTTCTAATTTCTTACATTTTATTTCTTAAAGATCAGCCTAACCATGTTGTAAGAGGGATGATTTCCTTCCTTTGTTTTGAAAATTTGTGCATGCCCAATGCTTACATTGAGCAGTTCAATGTCACTACAGCTTTTTTTTTTTTTCTATTTTTGCCAGACTTTCAAAACTCTTAAAACTCGTTTGTGGTCAGCACAACAAGGAACACACTTTAGCTTTGAAAAAAACTTTAACATGAAAAAATGCACTGACATTGTTTTTAATGTAACATAGGCTAGAATTTACCTATGTTTGCACATGCTGAGAATTGTCCCACCAGGCTGACGTGTTCACCTCTTCAGCTTGGATCCTGTTGTGGATTTTTTTACAAACATCAATTGCCTTCAAGCCATCCTTTCTGCTGTATGTTTTGCAGCCTTCTATAGTAGATACGCAACAGATAATGTGGAGAAAAAAGACACAAGAGGAGGAAGGTAATGAGAGACTTTGTCAAGGTTGTAACCTTCTTGGTTTCTTTGAAGAATTTGTTGCCTTTCTACTATGACAGCAAAGCAGCATTTTGTTACTGACCACCTAAAACCACTTAATCTCAGGTGAATGCATCACTTGCTATTGGAACGCTATTTGTGTTTTGTTGCACAATTTTTTGGTTGTTTATTTGGTTGGCTTTTTGGAAGGTAAATTTGGAAAGGGGACCTACACAGAAGTGCTGACCCACCCACATTCCCTTATTATCATTACAGACAAGAAGAAACTAGCAGAGCTAAGAATGGAGTGAAGAAAGGCAGTGTGATAAGCACCAGCAAAGAGTTGAGGGCTGTTGCTCTCTAAAATTATTATTTGATTATTTTAAAAATATGGACGTTTTCTAGTCACTGAAGAAAGGAGGGGAAAGTGCACTTATTTTTATATAGAGTTACTTAACTACCTCCTAAACACATACATGAAAATTGTTTTTGCTGGTGCAAAGTATTTTAATTAGCAAGAATTCATATATTGAGATTATAATTAGAGAGCTCAATTTATATATTTGCTATCCTGCTCAAGCCTGACATGGCAAAAAAAAAAAAAAAAACCATATAGCTTCAAAATAACAAATACTGGAAAGTTTGCTGTGATAACTATTTTGTACTTTTGTACAAAAAACCTAAAGAACAAATTACCTAAAGAACAATTTGCTAAACATGAGAAATCGCTCCCTTTGAGTATATACAGGTAAGATAGGAAGAGCTATCAGACCAGTAAATTATAGTTTATATTGAAGATAATATTCAATTGACTCATAACAAATAACGAGCATTCATGATAACATTTCAGCATTTCCAAGGTGCCAAGTGTACTGATTTTTTAAAATATATTTTAGAAGGAATTTAGATCTGGTGTTTTTAATGAAAACCAGCATCTCTGATGTTGCAATATGTATGTGAAATGGGTGTTACATCTATCCTGCCCTTTAACCCCACCGTTAACAAAGTGGCTGAAAATAACAGTAAGAAAAAATCAGTCTAAGGGAGAAAAGGACTAATGCTCTCAATTCTCTCTCTCTCTCTCTGTGTGTGTGTGTGTGTGTGTGTGTGCATGTGTGTGTGTGTGTGTTAAGGAGGATGGCAGGAGGCAGTCTTAACTCTTGAAAGAAACCTTCTTTGTATAGGAAGCATATTTTGGTTTAGGTACAATGATAAGAAAGTTTAATTATACAGTCCATAAGACCAGATACCTTCAGATTTTTCCCTGCGGGGATTTCTATGACTGGTATTCTGACTAGTGTGAAATGATAGGTTTGTATGTCTATATCTACACCCATCAAAGCCTCAGAGCTTCCTGCACTGCTATAACTTTTCTGTTAACTCTGGGTAAATTAGGAGGCTGGTACAAGGAATAATTTTAACTTCAGATTTTACAGTTTGTTTATGTTAAGGGCAGAAAGATCTACTTTTCAATGGTCTGTATTTTAAGATAGATATTGACTTTTCCTGGTGCTATTTTATGATTATGGAGAAAATAGAATTCTTATTAGAAATCTCAACTCCGAATTGAGAATAGATGTTTTGATACTTGTCCTGCTGTGGCCTGAGACTTGGAATCATGAAATAAAAGAGATCTTGCTGTTTATCTACAGATTAGAACACACAAATAAACAACAGTGTAACATCCTCATTAGCATTCTGGTAGTTACATTTACTTATTCCAGAGCAAAATTAATATATGATAAGAAGTAGAATATTTTCTGTGGATATCTAGGGTATTATGACAACAACCTTCCTTAGAAAAGAAACAGTGTGTTATGAGGACAGTGGATGCTACAACATTACTTGCCTTCAAGGCATTGCAAACAACTGGAATCAATTGAATAACCTTCTCAAGCACAAGCCAACAGTGAAATGAAAGTCATTTATCTGAAACAGCAGGCAAGAGCTTCATTGGTACACTTGGAAGGTGGCTCACTAACCCTGCCGAAGCTTTGCTCCATCTGATCAGGGCATAAATGTTTCATTGGCCCAATAACCAAGGTGTTTGGGTTTCACAGTGTTTTCTCTCCGACAGCTAATACGGGGAGCATTGCTGACATTCTGCCATGGTTGCCCAGGCTGAAATCAAACGTGCTTCGAATAATACTATAAACACTTTGAAATGAATCTTTGCCGTAGGAACCAATGTTCAACTGTGGGCTCTATTCAAAGACACTTAAGGTGGGAGGGAGCAAACTTTTCAAGTTGGTTTTAGGTAACAGAAACAGACGTCTTTATTGGATTTGCCTGGAAAAAAAGTAAGGAAAATCCCACCATTGTCTGTTCTGGGTCAAGAAGTATAAGGCTCAGTCCCGTTTTATTTCTCTCCTTCTCCTTTGGATCCTTTTTCTTATTCTTGACTCTATACATGGAGAAAAAGTTCAAGTGCCTCTAAAGCAGTAATGCTGGGAACTTGCCAACTTATTCCCATGATGCTACTGTTGCTTATAAAGCATTTTGAGGACTCTTGTATTCAGAGCTAGTGATAAGCTGTAAGAGGAAGTCAGTCTTGGTGTACAGCTGCGTTTTGGGCTCATGTATAGAAGAGCTAACATGGATTTCAGAGTCTCCCAGGTGTTTAAAATCCAAGCTCTGCTCTCAGGACCTGCGAAGGCTTAGATAAGTTGCTCAATCTCTTTGAGCCTCAGTTTTCTGAGTACAATGGCACATACCTTACAGGACTGTGGTGTGGATGAATTGCGATGATGTGTATGAATCCAGCTCAGAGTCTTCTTTCCTTCCTTCTTTCTTCCCTGCCACTGAATTTCCACCAAGCTATACTTCTCAGGTCTGACTCCTGAGAGGCTAGACACACAGTGAAGCTTGATGCTTGCTAGAAACTGAGGGGCTAGGCTTGAGTGTTAGGGAACCTGGGAATGACATCGGTCATCCATCCGGGAAGGCCGAGGAGGAAAGCGAGGCAGGGCAGCAGAGTGGGAAGTGGTAACCATGGAGGCCACCTTTGGGCTGGAGCCTGCTCAAGGCACTTTAGTGCTGAGCCATTTGGGGCCCAAGGTAGGGGCAGACAGCAGAGAAGGACGGCAGTTATCGCCTAGTCACAGGGGCAGATGGAAGAGAAGGATGGCAGTTATCGCCTAGTCACAGGGGCAGATATTAGAGAAGGACGGCAGTTATCGCCTAGTCACAGGGGCAGATGGAAGAGAAGGACGGCAGTTATCGCCTAGTCACAGGGGCAGATGGAAGAGAAGGACGGCAGTTATCGCCTAGTCACAGGGGCAGATATTAGAGAAGGACGGCAGTTATCGCCTGGTCACAGGGGCAGATATTAGAGAAGGACGGCAGTTACCGCCTAGTCACAGGGGCAGATAGAAGAGAAGGACGGCAGTTATCGCCTAGTCAGGAGTTTAACAATCTCTATTTCCTTTCAAACCTCGTTTCATCCCTTCCTTCCCAGTGAAATTCACAGGCAATTAAACTTCCTCCTGCATCTCGGAGCAGGCCCCTGCATCATCATTTCTCCTCTGCAAGTGTATCTTCTTCGGGCACGTGGGAAGGTCTTAGTTCACCTGGGTATTTAGGGACTTGATCCTCTTTCCTCTTTATTGTCAATGTTGTGGCTTGCCGAGGTCATGACAGAGTCTGGTTATGACATGTTAGCAATCGTCACCTCCCATTTTTGAGTAAATATACTTTTATGCAGTTTGAGCTCCCATTCGTGTCATTTATTAATTTGTTCATTTGTTAACACATTCATTTGTGGAGCATTTGGCCTAGAAAAGAGAAGAAACCCTTCCTTAGCAGTAAGGGAGAAGAGAAAACAAAACGCACAGAGATACATGCTTGGTTTTGTATAACTTTTGACAGTTTCTAAAATAAAATAAGGTCTAACTTGGAAAACCAAAACCTATCACTGAGATATTTTCATAATCTAAAAAGTCAGTTTCAAAAGAACTTCCAAAATGTTTTAAAAAATGACTATCCTTTAGAACAATGATGTAGCATTCCAAGGTTTTAGTGTTCAACCAGCATTTATTACCGCCTGCTGGGTGCCTGAGGCAGGACAATTGTAATGAGAGCCACAAACATGATTTGAAAAACCGCTGCCCATAGGTCCACAGTTCCTGTCAAAGCATAGAGCCCCCTGTAGACAGAGCCCCCTGTATAAGGTGCCCTGTGTTCTGGGTGAGAGACTACGCTTGGTCCGCAGGTATATCTGGTGGGCAGAACAGGAAAGGTGTCACTGAGGAGGTGCTATGTGAGTTAGTTGTGAAAAATGAGTACGGGTTTATGAGGCAGATATGAGAGGCACTTTGTTGAAGTTACAACTCCTACCAGGCGCTCGTTTGAATTTTCTGTGTCATTTGCTCTTTGGAGGTTGCTTGTTGGTACACTTACATTTTCTATGCCCAGCTAAAAAGAGAGGAGTGAGTGTGTGTGTGTGTGTTTGTGTGTGTGTGTTTGGTATTTTTCTCAGAGTTTCTTTGTGTTTCCAAGCTTACTTTAGAGCTGAAGCTTGTCAGAGTTTTCATAACAAACGCGTGATTGAACTAAATTCCAACCGGCCGCCTCTGGCGTTGGAGCCTTACGGCACCTCAGTGCATTGAAGGGGTGTGCTCTACCCTCTACCTTCGTGATTTATTTAAAGACCAAATCGTAATGAATAACAATTCTTAGGTTTAAACCTATAGCAGGGGTAGGAAATAGTTCAAACCTTCTGACTTACATGAACAAATGCAATCTTCAAAAACTGTTTTCTAATCTGCGTGAATGTACTGAACTCGTTGCCGCCTTCATTTAAATGTGATGTATCAAAAGTGCTTTGTAAACTGTTAAATTCCAACGTTGATATTGTCATAGATATACTTTATTAAATACTGGATAATGATTTCATAAAGTACAGGGTTTTTAACTGTGAAATTATTCTGAAATATGTAGAAAAAATTTGAAATACTCTTCCCATTTTGAACACAATGATTGTTTTTAAAATTCCCTTGATTTATATGTTTGTATACTGTGGATTCTCAACTGAGTGAATTACTGTCTTTGCAATGTAGTAAGATTTTGATATCGTTTTTAATCTATCAAGGAAAGGGCTAGATAAGTAGCATCTCATTTGTCTCACATCCCATTATTTGAAAGATGATTTCAGACCATAGGAAATACTGACTCTCCTTTTCCTTTTTTTTTCAGGATACATTATAGCCACTTATTTGCCCATCTTTGCCTCAGTGGATTTTAAGGAGAGGCCCCAAGGCTTATACATGTTTAGACCCCAATCCCTGGAGTAATCACTTAGTATTTTTTTAATGAGCAAATAAACAAATTAATAAATAAAAGAATAAATGGGTGAATGTATGTGGATATACCTCCAAACATCCACATGTATGTCATGTATGTAAATTATATACTAAGAAAATCTCAAAATTGAATTATATAAATTTTAATGGACAGTTTGACTTTAGTCTTATTATTTTCTTTTTTTTATTATTATTATACTTTAAGTTTTAGGGTACATGTGCACAACGTGCAGGTTTGTTACATATGTATACATGTGCCATGTTGGTGTGCTGCACCCATTAACTGGTCATTTAGCATTAGGTATATCTCCTAATGCTATCCTCCCCCCTCCCCCCACCCCACAACAGTCCCCGGAGTGTGATGTTCCCTTTCCTGTGTCCATGTGTTCTCATTGTTCAATTCCCACCTATGAGTGAGAACATGCAGTGTTTGGTTTTTTGTCCTTGTGATAGTTTGCTGAGAATGATAGTTTCCAGCTTCATCCATGTCCCTACAAAGGACATCAACTCATCCTTTTTTATGGCTGCATAGTATTTCATGGTGTATATGTGCCACATTTTCTTAATCCAGTCTATCATTGTTGGACATTTGGGTTGGTTCCAGGTCTTTGCTATTGTGAATAGTGCCGCAATAAACATACGTGTGCATGTGTCTTTATAGCAGCATGATTTATAATCCTTTGGGTATATACCCAGTAATGGGATGGCTGAGTAAAATGGTATTTCTAGTTCTAGATCCCTTAGGAATTGCCACACTGACTTCCACAATGGTTGAACTAGTTTACAGTCCCACCAACAGTGTAAAAGTGTTCCTCTTTCTCCACATCCTCTCCAGCACCTGTTGTTTCCTGACTTTTTAATGATCACCATTCTAACTGGTGTGAGATGGTATCTCACTGTGGTTTTGATTTGCATTTCTCTGATGGCCAGTGATGATGAGGATTTTTTCATGTGTTTTTTGGCTGCATAAATGTCTTCTTTTCAGAAGTATCTGTTCATATCCTTTGCCCACTTTTTGATGGGGTTGTTTGTTTTTTTCTTGTAAATTTGTTTGAGTTCATTGTAGATTCTGGATATTAGCCCTTTGTCAGATGAGTAGGTTGCAAAAATTTTCTCCCATTCTGTAGGTTGCCTGTTCACTCTGATGGTGGTTTCTTTTGCTGTGCAGAAGCTCTTTAGTTTAATTAGATCCCATTTGTCAATTTTGTCTTTTCTTGCCATTGCTTTTGGTGTTTTAGACATGAAGTCCTTGTCCATGCCTATGTCCTGAATGGTATTGCCTAGGTTTTCTTCTAGGGTTTTTATGGTTTTAGGTCTAACATGTAAGTCTTTAATCCATCTTGAATTAATTTTTGTGTAAGGTGTAAGGAAGGGATCCAGTTTCAGCTTTCTACATATGGCTAGCCAGTTTTCCCAGCACCATTTATTAAATAGGGAATCCTTTCCCCATTTCTTGTTTTTGTCAGTTTGTGAAAGATCAGATAGTTGTAGATATGCGGCATTATTTCTGAGGGCTCTGTTCTGTTCCATTGGTCTATATCTCTGTTTTGGTACCAGTACCATGCTGTTTTGCTTACTGTAGCCTTGTAGTATAGTTTGACGTCAGGTAGCATGATGCCTCCAGCTTTGTTCTTTTGGCTTAGGATTGACTTGGCAATGCGGGCTCTTTTTTGGTTCCATATGAACTTTAAAGTAGTTTTTTCCAATTCTGTGAAGAAAATCATTGGTAGCTTGATGGGGATGGCATTGAATCTATAATTTACCTTGGGTAGTGTGGCCATTTTCACGATATTGATTCTTCCTACCCATGCTGACTCACCTTTTCTAAAAAGACAACTGATTTTCTTATGCTTTTAAGTTCAAATGTATCTTGTCTCCTTTTGATTAATTAAAACAACACGTTATCAAAAACTTTAACAGAAAATATTCTTATTATTTATTGAATCAGAAGAGAAACAGGAAATACTGTGCTTTCTTGGGCCTGTTTCCTATACCCCAACATCATAAGAATTGTTGTTGCTTCTATAATGTTCAGCTTCAAATTATTTTGCTTGATCAATCAAAATGAATTACCTGAATTTTCTCCTCCGTTCAAAAAGGAACTGCATTCACCTACCTACCCCCAGCCCTAGGACTGTTTCTTTTATTCCAATAGTTTGTGATATCCTTGACTTCACAGCAGAAAGCTGTGAGTCTCCCAAACCCCTTCAGTCAGGTCCCGTGGAGGCTGCCTTCTAAAGTCTCTTCGGTCTTCTTTCTTTGAATGTTCATGGCCACCTTGTTGGTTAGACTCTTATCCCTGACTGTAAGAGATCCCTCAGGTCTTCCTGCCTGTGGCCATGCCTAATTTGTAACCTTCCTAAAATGTGATGTGATCATGTCACTGCCTTGCTTAGAAGCCCTGCACTGGCTTCCAACACATGCAGAATCAAGTGCTTGCTGTTTAACATGGTCTACCCAGTCCTCCAGATTCTGGCTTCCAGTTATTTTCTCAGCCTCAAAAAAGCACCTCACTCTCAAACATATCAAATAGCTTGAGCCCTCCTGCCTCCTGTTCATACCACCATTCCTTCCCCTCTACCTGGATGCTCCTCCCTTCAGCCGCCCCTCCAGCTGTAAGCTCCCATGGATTGACTGGTTCTTGAGTGTTTTATTGCACTTTGGACCTCCCGTCTCTCACTCCTGGCTTCTGTCTGTCTACTTGTCTTGACCCGCCACTTGCACTGCCTCTGGCTTATCTGCCTAATTCTGGTTGACAGTGTTATTTGTTAGCTTCATATCTACTGGCTCTCTCAATTATTTCTCAGCCTCCCCACACCAGGCTCCTTGCCCTGTATTTATAAGCTGCTATTGGCTTGAGGGTGACTGTGACTTTCTAATAAAACTATTTTATAGACTGATAGTTACAAGGGTATAGTAGAAAAGAAATGAATCTACCTTTGAGTGTATTTCAACATATCTAGTGATCCATAAATATTTTCTTCTTATTATTATCATTATTGTTATTTTTAAATAGACAATCAGGGAAGGCAGAGTCTAGGCCACCAATCTGAACTTAGGCATTCATCTTTATTAAGATATTTGGGATCTCTGCAAGTATTCTGAATTTTAAATGGCATTCAGTGATTCGATAAAATAGGAATTTTGTTTTACTCTGAACTGAGTAGAGTTTCAGCAACTGGCTGGCTACTGTGTCATTATTTCTATAAGTTCAAAATGTAAAAGGAACATTTACCTTTTAACAAGGGAGTATCCCGGGTCTCAGTTCTCAACCGTTTTTCTAGGTGCACTCATGCCTCTGTGATCTCATGAAGCCCAATGGCATTAAATTCCATGTGTGTGTGCACGGTCCATGAATACATATTTCCAGCTCCTACCTCTCCTCTAAAATTTAGACTCATATCTAATTATCTGCCAGTTATCACCACTTGGAAGACTAATAGACAACTATCACACATCCATAAGGGAATTCTTGATCCTCCACCTTCAACCCCTGGGCCCAACACTCCTCAGTCTTCTCCGTCTCAGTAAATAGCACCTCCAGCATACCAGCCGTTAGGCCAGAAAACTTGCCCTGACCCTTCTTTGTTTCTTGCACTTCATATCAGCATACACTGTTGAACTGTATTCAGAATCTGAGCTTCCCTTGCCACACCCATTGTGTACACCCTGCTTCACTTTACGTCATTGCTTTCATGGATTATCAAAATAGCCTCCTAACTCCTCTCCCACTTTCTCTTTCTCCCTGCACTTTGTTCTTCACTGAGCAACCAGAGTAAGTATTTATTTTTGTTTTTTGAGACAGAGTCTCCTCTGTCACCCAGGCTGGAGTGCAGTGGTGCAATCTGGGCTCACTACAACCTCTACCTCCTGGGTTCAAGCGATTCTCCTGCCTCAGCCTCCCAAGTAGCTGGGACTACAGGCATGCATCACCAAGCCTGGCTAATTTTTGTATTTTTAATAGAGACGGGGTTTTGCCATGTTGGCCAGGCTGGTCTCGAACCCCTGACCTCAGGTGATCCAGAGTAAGTCTTTTTAAAGCATAAGGCAAATAATATTTTCATCTGCTTAAAACCTTCCATGGCTAGGAATGTCTTAAACCATCTTGTCCCCTGACACTTCTCTGATCTCTAGTCCCATCAGTCTCCCCTCTATTATTGCAATCTTCAAAGACACCAGGCAGATGTGCTTCTGCCTCAGGGCCTTTGCATGTGTGGTCCCCTTTGCCTGGAATGCTTTCTCATCAGGAATCAGCATGGCTTACTTCCTCTCTTATCCAGGCCTTTGCTTAATTATTAATTATTACTCTGTCATAAGAAGAATCTTTTCTGACCATTTCACTTAAAATGGCACCTTCTTACTCTCTATTCTCTTATTTTACTTTATTCTTCTTTAAAGCACTTCTTATCATCTGACCTATCTTGTATACACATTTTCAAATTTCTTCACTGGTTGCTCCCACTTTGCCCTATGCAAGCTCCATGAGAGCAGAGACTGTTTTGTTAATTGCTGAATCTCTATCTCTTAAAATAGTTCTTGGCATAAGTAGGCATGCAGGTTAGTATTGCATGCATGAATGAGGACAATAACAGGCCCAAATTCTTCTGGAAAGTTTTTCCTCAGTCTTGAGGCTAGTTTACTCTCATCAGGTTTCTGGGTTTCTTGACCATTAACGACTCACTGTATCTCTGTCCTATTTACAGACACACGTTGGAAATATTGTGAGTTCGGTTCCAGACTACACTGCAATAAAGTGAGCCACACATATTTTTTGGTTTTGCAATGCATGAAAGTCATGTGAACACTATATTGTAGTCTATTAAGAGTACAATTTCAATATGTCTGAAAATACCAATGTACATGCCTTAATTTAAAATAATTTATTGATAAAAATGCTATTGATCATCTGAGCCTTCAGCAAGTTGTAATCTTTTTGATGATGGGGGTCCTGCCTCTATGTTGATTGCTGCCAACAGATCAGGGTGGTGGGCACTGAAGGTTGGAGTGCCTGTGACAATTTCTTTTTTTTTTTTTTTTTGAGATGGAGTCTCAGTCTGTTTCCCAGGCTGGAGTGCAGTGGCAGGATCTCGGCTCACTGAAACCTCTGCCTCCAGGGTTCAAGTGATTTCTCTTGCCTCAGCCTTCCAAGTAGCTGGGATTATAGGCACCCAACACCATGCCTGGCTAATTTTTGTATTTCTAGTAGAGACGGGGTTTCACCATGTCAGCCAGGTTGGTCTCAAACTCCTGACCTCAGGTGATCCACCAGCCTCAGCCTCCTAAAGTTGTGGAATTACAGGCATCAGAAATGGCGCCTGGCCAGCAATTTCTTAAAATAAGACGACAGTGAAGTGTGCTACATCAATTGACCCTTCCTTTGATGAAAAATTTCTCTGTGGCATGTGATGCTGTTTAATAGCATTTTACCCACAGTGAAACTTCTTTCAGAATTAGAGTCCATCCTCTCAAAGCCTGCTGCTTCTTGATCAACTAAGTTTATTGAATATTCCAAGTCCTTTATTGCTGTTTCAACAATGTTCATAGTATCTTCACCAGGAGGAGATTTCATCCCTCCCAAAAAAAAAACACCACTTTTCTTTTTGCTCATCCATAAAAAGCAAGTCCTCATTTCATCAAGTTTGATCATGAGATGCAGGAATTCAGTCACATCTTCAGGCTCCACTTCTAATTCTAGTTCTTTTGCTCTTGCTCTTTCTACCACATCTGCAGTTATTTCTTCCACTGAAGTCTTGAATTCCTTAAAGTTATCCATGACAATTTTAATCAACTTCTTACAAACTCCTGTCAATGTTGATATTTTGCCCCCCTCCCATGAATCATGAATGTTCTCAATGGCATCTAGAATGGTGAATACCTTCCATAAGGTTTTTAGTTTACTTTGCCCAAATCCATCAGAGGAATTATATGACAGCGATAACCCTATGAAATGTATTTCTTAAAGAATAAGACTTGGAAGTTGAAATTACTCCTTCATCCCTGAGCTTCAGAATGATCTTGTATTAGCAGGCATGGAAACAAAGTTGATTTCCTTGTATATCCCCATCAGAGCTCTTAGGTGTCATGGAGTACTAATATTTTGAAAGAAAACTTTTTCTCTGAGCAGTAGGTATCAACAGTGAGCTTAAAATATTGAGTAAACCATAGTATAAATAGACGTGCTGTCATTCAGGCTTTGTTGTTCCATTTGTAGAGCACAGGCAGAGTAGGTTTAGCGTAAGTTTTAAGGGCCCTGGAATTTTCAGAATGGTAAGGGCACATTGGCTTTAACTGAAAGTTGCCAGATGCATTAACCCGTCATGAGACTCAGCCTGTCCTTTGAAATTTTGAAGCCAGGCATTGACTTCTTCTCTCTAACTGTGAAAGTCCTAGATGACATGTACCTCCAGTAGAGAAGGCTGTTTTATCTACACTGAAAGTCTATTGTGTAGTGTGGCTACCTTCATCAGTGATCTCAGCTAGATCTTCTGGGTAACTTGCTGCAGCTTCTCCATCACACTTCTTGCTTCACCTTGCACTGTTATGCTATGAAGAGCACTTCTTTCCTTAAACCTCATGAACCAATCTCTGCTAGCTTCAAACTTTTCTTCTGCAGCGTCCACACTTCTCTCAGCCTTTAAGGAACCGAAGAGAGTCAGGGCCTTCCTCTGAATTAGGATTTGGCATAAAGGAATGTTCTGGCTGGTTGGGCCTTCTATCCAGACCATTAAACTCCACATACCAACAGTAATGCTGTTTCACTTTCTTAGCATGGTGTGCTCACTGGATTAACATCCTTCAAGAACTTTGCCTTTGCATTCACAGTTTGGCTGTTTCATCCAAGAGGCCTAGCTTTCAGCCCGTCTCATGTTTTGACATGCCTTCCTCACTAAGCTTAATCATTTCTAGCGTTAGATTTTAAGTGAGAAATGCATGAGACTCTTCCTTTTACACGAACAGTTATAGGCCACTGTAGGATTATTATTTGGCTTGTAGGATTATTAATTGGCCTAATTTTCATATTGTTGAGTCTCAGAAAATAGGGAGGCCCAAGGAGAGGAAGAGAGATGGGAAAACAGCGGGTTGGTGAGGCAGTCAGAGTCCATACAGTATGTATCAATTAAGTATGCCATCGTACATGGTTGCAGCTCATGGTGCCCCAGAACATAGCAGTAACGTCAAAGGTCACTGATCACGGAGCACCATAACAAGTATACTAATACATTTTGAAATATTGCTAGAATTACCAAAATGTGACACAGACACAAAGTGAGGCTATGGCATTTGAAAATGGCACCAAAGCTTCTGGTTAGCTGAACACGTGGAGGTTCGTAGAGGAGGGTAGTGTCCAGGGAGGTGAGGAAGTGCCATGCCACATCCCCCATACCGTGCCTTATGTGTCTTTTCACCTGTATCTGTTGTAGCATCTTTTGTGATAAGCTGGTAAACGTGTTTCTCTGAGTTCTATGAGCTGTTCCAGCAAATTAATCAAACTCAATGCGGGGATCATGGGAACTTCAACCTGAAGCCAGTCAGTCAGATGTTCTGGAAGCCCAGACTTGCAACTCGTGTCTGGGAGTCTGGGGAGAATCTTGGGTACTGAGCCCCCAATCTATGGGACCTGATGCTATCTCAGGGTAGACAGTGTCAGAACTGAATTCGAGGACACCAAACTTGTGTCTGCGCTTGATGCATGGGGAAAAGACCCCCATACATTTGGTCATAGAAGTCTTCTTCTGTGCTGATGATTTTTGTGGTGTGAGAGTAGAGGGAAAAAAAACAAGGTTTGAGAGAGTTTTTCCCTACATAATTGTCAGTGAAGTGGGATTTGCTTAAATGGCCCTGACTGATGGAAGCATGTGCTTTGAAAAGAGAAAGGATTAAAGGGTGGGAGGATGAAGAATCTTCGATTCCCAGGTGGCCACGTGGTCACTCATGGTATGAAGCTGCAGCTATGTTGAGATCAGTTACTAAAGGTAAAAGTTATCAGCCGAATTTAGAGATGGATCCAACCTCCCAGGAATTAGTTCACTGGATGCATAAGGAAATGCAAACTAACAAGAAAAAAGCAAAAGATTCAGTCCCTTGGTTATTGTTATCTATAATGGCTAAAATGAAAGTTAAAGACGGTGCTGGGTAAGGCCTTGAGGCTGGAATAAACTCAGATGTGGGTCTGTCTCAACTCAGGCCACCAGCCTCAAAGCCACCCAGAAAGGGGAACATTAAGCCTGGACACCAGAAAGTACCTTCAGAACTGTGGTCACCAAGAAGGCAGTGAATGTGGGAGAAGGGAAAATCCAACTACTGTTGAAACCAGAGGGTGTCCTGTGAAGGAACTGCTCCATTTTGAACATTGATATCATTAACTTCTCGAGGAACTTTTACTAAAACAGATCGAGAGTGACTAATTTAGGAGCAGCGTCTCTGGTTTTAAATGCTGCAGAGTGGAAGAGTTGTTTGGGCTGGTGCAGGACCCACACTCACTATTGAACAACCACAGATGGGTATATGTGATCCAGACACACAGGAGGTTATTCATGCAGGAACAGCCAGACGAGTGGACTAGAGAAAAGCCACAGGAAGGTCTGTTTTCCGTGATAAGCAGATGGTCCAACTCCACCTATAAATGCCAAGCAGAGCACCCTAGATGACCCAGCTGATATGCTTTGTATGTTGGGGCACCCCAGATGACCCAGCTGATATGCTTTGTGTGTCGGAGCACCCCAGATGACCCAGCCGATATGCTTTGTATGTGAGCCGTGTGGGGCTGACTTTATGATGACTGGGATATTCCCCAGCTGAATAGGCCTGTTACCCAGGTCATGATAAATGCTGTGAGTAAAGGGGCTCCTTCTACATGGGCACCCTTTGTGATATTACTCCTACAGAATCCAACAACAACTCCAAAAGCCTTAACAAATTTGCTATCTCAGCTTCCCCTGTAATCTCAACGATTTGGGAGGCTGAGACAGGTGGATCACTTGAGGCCAGGAGTTGGAGACCAGCCTGGCCAAGATGGTGACACACTGTCTCTACTGAAAATACAAAAATTAGCCAGGTGTGGTGGTGCATGCCTATAGTCCCAGCTACTCAGGAGGCTGAGGCAGGAAAATCTCTTGAACCCAGGAGACGGAGGCTACAGTGAGCTGAGATCGTGCCATTGCACTCCAGCCTGGGCAACAGAATGAGACTGTCTCAAAAAAAGAAAAAAAATATGCAATTTACTCCTCTACAAAGTCAGTAATAAAGACGGGGAAAATAAGTTCAAAAGTAATCCCTCTGTTACAGCATTAGAGACTCTCCTTCATCCCCAAATGTAATATGCTATTACTTAACCTTACCTTTTGTTTTCTTTTATTTAGTTAGTTGAATCCCTTTCACCATGTTCATGGTAAAAGAAACGTGGCTCAATTTTGTGAGTTGAATTAGACAAGTCCCTGATTTTTCCTGTTTGTTAAATTTAGGATACTTTCTTTTATGAATTAGCATTATCTTAATCAAAAGAGCTTAATGAGATTCACTTGGCATGACTGGTAAGGTAATTATGTTTCAGAATTTACTGAAAAAGAAAAGTTCTTTTATTTGTTATGCTTTCAAGGAGTAGAAAACAGCAGTTGAAAATTGATACTGAAAAGGGTCAAAGTATGTTGGGGCATGGTTGAGCTCCTTTGAAACAGACTGGTGGGAAAGAAGTTTGTGTAAAGTTCAGCCTGTGTCTGCAGCTGAGCCTCTGAATGAGACACACACTACAGAAAGAACACACGGGCTGTGGCCATTCAGCAACTGAGCACCTATCCCAGGCACTGCGACTGCAAGGATGAGTAAGATACACACTCCCTACTCTGCAGACGTGTTATGCTGGGGTCCCAGGCACTGCGACTGCAGATGAGTAAGATACACACAGTCCCTACTCTGCAGATGTGTTATGCTGGGGTCCCAGGCACTGTGACTGCAAATGAGTAAGATACACACAGTCCCTACTCTGCAGATGTGTTATGCTGGGGTCCCAGGCACTGCGACTACAAGGGTGAGTAAGATACACACGGTCTCTACTCTGCAGACGTGGTATGCTGGGGTCCCAGGCACTGCAACTTCAAGGATGAGTAAGATACACACAGTCTCTACTCTGCAGACGTGGTATGCTGGGGTTAGCACAAAGTGGAAATGCAGGATTTTCTCATTTCAATACAGGATGATCAAAGCTCATACGCAGGAGGTTCAGGGTGCTGTAGGAGCACATTGGGGGAGCACCTAAACTCTTTAGAACTAACTGATGATGAATACAGCTTATATTTGGAACTGTTGGTAGGAACGGTATAAAAAAGTTGGGTAAATGAGAATAGTGTACTAGTTTATTTATGTTAGTTAGCACAGAGTAATAATGTAGATGATTTAGTTAGCATAAAAAATAATTTTTAAGGCCAAAGAAGAAAGACACATGAGAAGTTTTTAGTTTCACTGTTGAAAATACACATTGCACACTATATAAGTCTCATAAAAAACATAAGAACATGTGTAAATGCAACGCATATGAAGCTGTAGAAAGAATAATGTTGCATATTATTCACTTATTACTCTTTTTTTTTTTTTAAATGACACAGAGTCTCGCTCTGTCGCCCAGGCTGGGGTGCAATGGCGCAATCTTGGCTCACTGCAACCTCCGCCTCCTGGGTGCAAGTGATTCTCCTGCCTCAGCCTCCCTAACAGCTGGGACTACAGGCACCCTCCACCACGCCCAGCTAATTTTTG
Organism: Homo sapiens; assembly: GCF_000001405.40. Classification (NCBI taxonomy): domain Eukaryota; kingdom Metazoa; phylum Chordata; class Mammalia; order Primates; family Hominidae; genus Homo; species Homo sapiens. The sequence goes on along the minus strand of NC_000004.12, from coordinate 189,868,565 downwards.
TAATTTTAGTAGAGACAGCGTTTCACCATGTTGGCCAGGCTGGTCTCAAACTCCTGACCTCAAGTGATCCACTCGCCTTGGCCTCCCAGAGTGCCAGGATTACAGGCGAGAGCCACCGTGCCTGGCCTCACTTATTACTCTTGACAGCACAATTATAGGTACTTAGTAGACATTTAGTTACTTAGTTGTTAGAATTCAAGGAGATTCTGAGGGGTATAATTAGTTGAAACTGCAATTCAGCAATGACTGTATCAGAAGACCATTTTCAATGAACTTACTTCTAATGACTGAGATGGAGGAGCTGTACCAGGGTTGCATCCCAAGTGAGGTCCACATCAGAGAATCTGGGGCGGGACCATCCAGCCACTTCCCTTACAGGGAAATAGGTTTCTCTTTCTGGTGAACTTCCTGACAGGCCCTTTAGGCTGGTGCTTTTGGTAAATCCAAGGAATGGAGTCTATTTTGGAATCCTGAAATACTCAAAGATGGCTTTGTCTCCCAGGAAGGGCATCACAAGTGGCATTTGAGAAGAAGCAGATGCAGGCAGGTCACTCTCTGACCCCCCAGGAGCAGATCATAAGACCTCATTTGAGAGGAAGAGTCCTTATACCCAGAAGAAAGAAACATCCTTATCTCTGAAGACACAGGGACACAGAGAAGAATTTGAACACACAGGCCTTGCTAAGTTCCCCCAGTTTATCTCCATGAGAGCATACTCACTCTGTCCAATTGTACCAATACCTGAGTCCACTGTTCATCCAACCTAACTAAGCACTATGATACACAAGATTTCCTGTTTCTTTGGGTCATTTTCTTATGAAGACTCCTGTGCCACATAAAGCTTTTTAAATACATGTGTACACTTTTCTCTCAATCTGTACTTTGTTACAGGGGCATCGGCCATAGTCCTAGTGATGGGTGAGGAAAAGAAACCTTTCTTCCCCTACAAAGGAATAAAAAAAGAATTATTGGGTATATATATTCTCAACCCAAAGAGAGAATTCCATTCTATGTGTCTTATTTCCTCCCTATGTTTTATTATTCATGGACAGACCCTCTACTCTTGATCCATTTGATCAAAAAATCTGTGAAGACTGCATCCTGGACTGTGGCCCTAGAATGGAGTGTCTTGCAGCTGTGTGTGAAACTGGATACTTGTGGACTAGAGCTCCTGAGTGAGGAGAAGAATTAATGACCCCCGTGAAGCCATCCAGTGAGCTCTTAGGATGAGCTGATAAAGAATTTGGGAGGACTCTTGCTCTGGACTTTCTGGGACAATTTCCTTCTTCACAGCAGAGTCCAGGTCTTCTTGAGCCCTTTGCCATGGGAAAGCTGTGCCCTCCTATGTCTCCTCTGAGGCTGTCTTCCTCATGGGAAAGCTGTGCCCTCCTACGCCTCCTCTGAGGCTGTCTTCCTTATGAGAGAGCTGTGCCCTCCTATGTCTTCTCTGAGGCTCTCTTCCTCATGGGAGAGCTGTGCCCTCCTATGTCTTCTCTGAGGCTCTCTTCCTCATGGGAGAGCTGTGCCCTCTTATGTCTCCTCTGAGGCTGTCTTCCTCATGGGAGAGCTGTGCCCTCTTATGTCTTCTCTGAGGCTCTCTTCCTCATGGGAGAGCTGTGCCCTCCTATGTCTCCTCTGAGGCTGTCTTCCTCATGGGAGAGCTGTGCCCTCCTATGTCTCCTCGGAGGCTGTCTTCCTCATGAGAGAGCTGTGCCCTCCTATGTCTCCTCTGAGGCTGTCTTCCTCATGGGAGAGCTGTGCCCTCCTATATCTCCTCTGAGGCTGTCTACCTCATGAGAGAGCTGTGCCCTCCTATGTCTTCTCTGAGGCTGTCTTCCTCGTGGGAGAGCTGTGCTCTCCTATGTCTCCTCTGAGGCTGTCTACCTCATGAGAGAGCTGTGCCCTCCTATGTCTTCTCTGAGGCTGTCTTCCTCATGGGAGAGCTGTGCCCTCCTATGTCTCCTCTGAGGCTGTCTTCCTCATGGGAGAGCTGTGCCCTCCTATGTCTTCTCGGAGACTGTCTTCCTCATGGCTCAATTGCAGTTCTGCAGCCAAAAATCGGGGTATTTCCCAGCATTTTATATGTTGTGCCTGAGAATGAATCTGCACAATCTGGCTAAGCAGGAATTAACTGTTAGGCACACAGGGCCTTGTGAATTGCTAAAAGGCTCTCCTCTGGACAACACTCATTATGGGTTGTGATCAAGTTACAGAATGTTCACGTTGCTTTCTTAATCAGCCTTGTTTGTGACTATTGATATCTTTGATCAAGATTGCAAATTGATTTTAATTTTTGTGCTTATATATTAAGGAATTATCTCTTTGTTATTTCAAGTGAGCCGTTCATAACATTAATTTAGTCACCCATTCAGATCTACAGACTACAAAAATGAATATTATATAGATATAGACACTGCATTCATATAAAAAATTTCCCAATAGATATATCTGGGCTACAATTGTCATAAAACGAAGGCTCACTTTTAGTGAGCTCACTTTTAGAACAAGCAAAATCATATATATTATAGGTTAAGAAAGATAAAATAACGAAAGAAAAAGAGAATGGAAATAAACTGCAATTCTTATTTTCTTGTTCTTTATCACTAGGTTTTGCAGGATTCAGCTCCATGAGAAAGTTTTCCCCATTATTAGTCTCCTAGTAGGCTTTGTAATTAGGAAAAAAACTCAAAACTTCCCCTGCCCCTTGCTATGTTTTGGTTGTATAATCTTATTCTTGGATTTGGTCAACATAAATTTAAGGCTTATATTCAAATCAAGCTTGTAAAATAAAATATTTCTTCTTTCAAATTTGCCTCTGTAGTCTCCATCCCTCATCAGATGCCAAGAATAATTCAGATGGTGGATACAGGATTTGTTCTTTAAATAAGAAAGCAAGCCTTGTTTTCTTACCAATGAGTAGAAACTGGTGAAAGATGGGGCCCCTGCCTCACATTCTATCTTATGTTCCTGGGAGAGTCATGGTGCTGAGATATTATCTATCCTTCTCCCTGATTTCTCTAAAGATCCCTAGGCCTCCTATGTGCTGGAGAGTGAGAGAGGATTTAAAGTCTTTCTGAGAGTGACTCCTCACGTTACTGTGGTTTTCTGTTACTAATACAAGTGCTTACTTTCCCAGCATCTGTGACAGTTTTCTTTTTCTGTCTGTCTTTCTCTTCTCTAAGGTAATGAACACAAGGTAACTCCTCTTAAGAAACAGACAGTGAAACATAAGCCAAATATCGGATGGCTTACACTTCACTCCAAGGGTTCCGATTATTCATCCTCTGATTTCCCCTTGGCTTTTCTAAGAAAAGTGCAGCTTTATGTTTACTAAGACTAGAGAAATTCAGCTTTGCAGAAGGAACATAACATCTCAGTTGCTGTAGTCTTTGTTGTTAGTTATCATTTATAACCAGGAGCTTGAATTTTCTTTCCTGGACTTGACCATTGTAGAGTGCAGCAGGGTCTTCTCTGGTGCTGCAGGAGAAGGGATGGAGTCCTTCTCTCTGGGTTCTTTTGGCCCAAGAAGCCTTCCAAAATGGGAAATGTAGGCTCCGAGCAAAGGTGTTTTTGACTCTTTCGTTGGCTATTCTGTCCTGATGTGGGGAATAGTGCTTGGCACACAGTAGAACCTCAGGAAATATTTATAGAATTAATGAATGAATGAATCCTCCATGAAATAGGTTTATTGGATGGGTTTACTGGAGCTTGACCTCCAATGACCTTCACATGGGGAGACAGTGTTGCCAGTGAGTGCCATGGTTGCCTTTCTATTCCAGCTCTTTGTCCTGGGAAGAGTTTGCTGCATCTTCCAGTTTCAGTAATCAAAGAAGCAAAGTTCCCTGCAGTTCTTCAAGGAACCTTGAGAATTCAGAAGGTCTTGGGGTGGCTGCATCCATCCTGCAGACAAATGCCAATCAGCAGAGGGGCCATTCCCAGGGACACATGTCTGGCTGACTTGGGCCTTGGCCAGGTAAGACACACAGCATGCATGCCTGCATTTCTGAATGCCATAGACCTGACAAGTCATAAAATAGCAACCAATAATTTTATGTTAGAGTGCTCCCTTCCTCACAGAAATCTCAGCATATGTGAAGATAGGTTGGAATGTGTAAAGAAAAGCTAAGAAAGCAGATTTCTGATAAGAACAGCGTGTGACTTGTACAGCAGCTCTGAATTACAGCCCGTAGGATGGAATGCTGACAGTTCCTTCTTCCTTACCTGTGATGGCTAGAATTTTATTTAGCACATCGTTTTTGAGCCAATCTCAAAATGAGAAAACTTTTGAGGAATTATGCATAGTGTGAAGTATATTCTTTCCCTTGTTGCCCGTGGAGATTCCACTGTGACAGGGCAGATTTCCCACTGCAGGGTCGATGGAGATGCTGCTGCTGTCTTTGGACATAATAGTTTATGACAAAGAGACCAAAATAATTCCTGTTTAGCCATGCGGTTGTCTGTAAATCTGCTTAGTTGGTCATCCAAAGTGATGACATTTAAGATATAGTTGATACACTGTTTATCTTAAAGAAACATTTTAAAATTAATTCTTCAGACCTATGTAATATTTTATCTTTTCTGTTTAATAATATCCAAATGTGCTTTTGTGAAGCACAAAACACATGTGTATTTCTTCATAAATCAGTCAGATAGCTTTGAAAATATATTTCAAGTATGTAGCAAAGACCCTCAAAACACAATTATTGAAGCATTATAAAAAGGTGAATTTGCTTCAGTTTTGGACTTTTAATAGACTTCACTGTTATGTAGTAAAGATAGAAATATGCCATAAAAGTCTCTGGTTAAGAGCCAAGACTTTTTCTCCTGTATCATTTCAGATCCCGTCATTTCTACCTGATCTTTAGGATAGACTATGCACATTCAGAGTGTTGAGTAAAATTATTAGAAAATATAATACCCATAACATGGTTCTTTATACCCTTTAAGTAAATATGTTGGCACATGAATTCACAATTTAAAACGCTGACTTTGTAAGAAATTTGCATGTGTCTCCAGTGAAGATATTGTTGCCCTTGTGTTCTTTGTGCGTGATTTATGACAAAATTATGAGACCTTTACATTTGTGGAAATAAAACACGTAAAGTTATTTCAAATACACATCAAGTCCATCACTGTGTTCTGTCAATCTTATCTCTAAATATTTCTCAAGTTTCTTCATTGACTTTCATTTCTACTCCCACAACCAGAGTCCCAGATCACCATCATTCCTCACTCTCCGGACTCCTGGAATATAGTCCCATTCTCCATGCCTCCAAATAATTAAAGACACAGAAAAACACATTATGTAAAAAAAGTAGGAGTCCAAATTGAACATTCAAGTTGATTGTAATGAAAACTCACTAAAATGTTAACAGTCATAGAATTAGCCGTGATACCTATTTTGCTCTTTTATACTTTTTAACATTTTCTAAATGTTCTACAATAAGCATGAATTATTTTTTAAAATTTTATTAAGGTGCATTTTCATTTGGGTGCGGTGGCTCACACCTGTAATTCCAGCACTTTGGGAGGCCGAGGCAGGTGGATCACGAGGTCAGGAGATTGAGACCATCCTGGCAAACACGATGAAACCCCATGTCTACTAAATATACAAAAAATTAGCCCGGGGCAGTGGCGTGCACCTGTGGTCCCAGCAGGAGAATTCTCCAGGCAGGAGAATGGCGTGAACCCGGGAGGCGGAGCTTGCAGTGAGCCGAGATGGCACCACTGCACTCCAGCCTGGGCGACACAGCGAGACTCCGGCTCAAAAAAAAAAAACAAAGTGAAAGTGAAAACAGATACCAACTAAAATCTACTACTTAGAAATTCTGATTATTAAATTAGGTGAACGTCATGTCAGACATCTTATTGTTTCTCTCCGTGTATCTACTCACAGACAGGTGCGTGGACACACACATATGGAGAGGGTGAAGAACCGCTAGTCAGCGAGTTAGAGACAGGCAAAAAGTAAAATTTTATATGTACAAGATCAAACTATGCATCATCTTAAAAAGATTAAAATGTATTAGGTTAACAATTTGTACCTAAAAAGTTAAGCCTTATTTAAAATGCAGGGTGTCAGCTATTGAAATAAAAACATCACACGACCTCAACTTTTTACGTTGTGGACTTAGCCACCCTGCGCCCAGCTCTGTTCCAGTTCTTTCCTCTTGCCTTTGGCTTCTACCGCTCCATCGTAGGCCTGACTTCTAGAAGAAACACGGCTAACCTGCTAGGGCTTTAGGCCTGATCTGCCTTTCTTAGGAAGAGAGAGAGATGGAAAGAAAGAGATGGCTTCTTCTTAGCAGAAACATGTCAGCTGCCTTCTTCTCAATTTCCCTGGACAATATTTATGTTCACTCTCCCACCAGTGAGCAGGTAGATGCCTGCATGGGTAGCTCATTCTTACGAAAACGTTGAACTCCTTACGTAAAACATTTTGAATAAAAACAATTGATCAAAAAGAATAAGAAACATTTTGAATAAAAACAATTGATCAAAAAGAATAAAATATGCAGCTTTTCAAATTATACAGACCAGGTGAATTTAGTAGAGAATGAACAAAGTGGTTTACAATATAAAGATTTCTGAATTCAGTGGTCTGGGTGTTCACTGCCCCAAAGAAATGAAAACAGAAAACACTGAGAACCCGTTAATGGGACCATCAGCAGAGATTAGCTCTGTTTCCTTTTCACCTGTGACTTGGGCATCATAAGAATATCTCAGTACCACTGTCCTGGTCTGAAAGCCACTTTGTTTCACATGGCACTGTTGTGATGTCCACAAGAGCCAGTCTTTGCAGATCTTTGCTCTGCAAATTACTACCAAGTGTGACTCTGGGTACAGCCGTTAAGCACTGCACCCCAATCCCCTGTCTGTAATATGGAAATAATAAAATCTAACTCTGAGACATAATTTAAATTACGAGGGGGTACATTACAGTAGGTTATAAGCAAAGGTTCATTCTCTTTCCTGCCTCTTATCATCTAATCTAGTTTGTTTGGAAGAGAGAGGGAGCTTGTGTGTTTCAAATATGTCACTTATATATAATTTACTACTGAATTAAAGACTATGTCTAAAATTTTGTTTTTAAATTGATGATTTTGATCCACATATTTTGTATGATTTCTTTTAGAGTTGGATTTATTGTCATCATCTAGTTTTGTGCTTTACATTTTCCTCCTGTTACTATGTTGTCCTTTTCTTTCCTTTTTTCTTTCTTTTTCCCTTTCTTTCTTTCTCTCCTCCCTCTCTCCCTCCTTCCCTCTTTCTCCCTCTTTCTCTCCCTTCCTGCCTGCCTTCCTTCCTTCTTTCTTTCTCTGTTTCTCTCTTTCTTTCTCTCCTTTTTGACTGAATTTTGATTTTAAAATTATTTTTACCCTCTCTACTGGTTTGGAAGCCATAAACCCTTTTTTAAATCATTCTGTGGCTGCTCTTAATCTTAATAAAATCCAAAATGAATCTGTTCTCCTTCCTAGCAATGCTGTATCTTAATTCTCATCAATTGCCACCTGCTTTACATTGTATTTTTGTGTGTTATTTAGATTCTGCCTCCACATATTTACAGTGTTTTTATTATTTCATTTATACCAGTTTCTTGGTTTATTGTTCCTTTTTTCATCCCAGACCCTTTTTATGGAATCATTTTACTCTATCTGAAGTATTTCCATTAGCAATTCTTTTTTTTTTTTTTTTTTTTTTTTTTTTTTTTTTTTGAGACGGAGTCTCGCTCTGTCGCCCAGGCTGGAGTGCAGGGGCGCGATCTCGGCTCACTGCAAGCTCCGCCTCCCGGGTTCCCGCCATTCTCCTGCCTCAGCCTCCCGAGTAGCTGGGACCACAGGCGCCCGCCACCGCGCCCGGCTAAATTTTTGTATTTTTGGTAGAGACGGGGTTTCACCGTGTTAGCCAAGATGGTCTCGATCTCCTGACCTCGTGATCCACCCACCTCGGCCTCCCAAAGTGCTGGGATTACAGGCGTGAGCCACCGCGCCCGGCCTTCCTTTAGCAATTCTTTTAGCAAGAGTCTGATTATATTAAACATAGATTCTGTTTGCCTAAAATGTGTTTATTTTGTCCTAATTATGACACAATAGTTTGCTGAGCAAACATCTTGAGATGGATGCTATCTTCTGTCAGAATTTTAGGCTAGTGCTTTGTTCTGGATCCACTGATACTGTTGGAAAAAATTGTTTTTCATATAACGGTTATTTCACTGAAGGTAAACTTTTTACTCTGGCTATTTTTAAGGTCTTTTTTTTTTTTAATTTTGGTGGCCCGAAGTTGAAGTTTGTGCCCAGATGTGGGTTTCTTTTCATCTAATCTGCTTAGAAATGTTTGGTTTCTCTTATTTCCCTATCTTCACCTCCTATTTTTTTCATTTTTAATTTTTAATTTTATAGAGATGGGGTTTTGCTATGTTGCCTGGGCTGGTCTTGAACTGCTGGGCTCAAGCAATCCACTTGCCTTGGCCTCCCAAACTGCTGGAATTACAGGTGCGAGCCACCACGCTTGGCCAATCCTCGCCTTCTGGCCACTCTTCAGAACCTGTTGTGTCTTTGAGGGCTGATCTTTTTGTATCTTCACCTTCTTTCATATTTTGCATTTCATTATCTCCATTATGTCTCTGAGCTTCATTCTAGTAGTTTCTGTATAAGTCATTTTCTTAGCTACATTAATCTTTTGTTTATCTTACCTACTGAATTTTTAATTTGAGTGATTACATTTTCTGTTTGAGAGGTTCTTTTTGGTTCTTTTTTCAAATAGCCTGTTTTCTTTGGTATAGCATTTTGTTTCTAGTTCATAATTTCAATTTCTTTTTTGGATAATTTAAAAATACTTATTTTATAATTTGTATCCAATATTTTTATACTTGAAAGTCTTTGGTGGTTTTTTCTGCTGTTGGTTGTTTCCGTTAACTCTTGTATTTTGCTTTTTCAAAAACATATTTTGGATTAAGCTCACATTTAAGTGTTTGGACTTTACGTGCAAGAATCTGTCAAGGTTTATGTTGAGGGTGCACCTTCCGCAGAGAATTTGTGTTTTTGTTTCTTGGGCATTCCTGACTCAAGGTTGTGTAAAATAGTTTCTCGGTTTGAACTTTCCTGGAGTTACTGCGTGGTATGATTTTAAACCCAACTCCAGAGCGTGTCAACTGTACAGATGTTGTCATGAAAAACATCTATTTTTGTCACTTTGAGTCCAAACTAAGGATGACATTTTTTGGTCACCTTTTGTCATCTTTTTAAACCAGTGGATGGATATATATAGAGAGATATATTTTTATGTCTTTCTATATAATCTATAGAAAGTATATAAACATTTACATCAATGTTGTGGGCGCTGGCTTTATTTGGAGACCTTATTTGTAACTTCCTCTTTGGGCTGAGATCATGCCTCTCCTCCTGTCCTGTGTATCATGCAAAATGCAAGCCTTCAGGCCCAGAGGCTGCTGCCTGATCACTCCACAGCCGCAGTGATAGCTCACCGTTCGGGGTTTAAGTCTTCTTTTTATTTTTTGGCCTGTGAATATTTTTATGCCCTTTAAAGTTAATTATATTATTATTATTTCTTGCCTTGCTAAATGTTTTAAATATTTAGAAATATTTATTTATATAATATTTATAAATATGACGAAAATTTTTCAGAACACGTCTACCAAAATGGAATCCAAAATAGCCTCTCAATCCATCTCACCCTTCTTCTTTGACTCTTTCCGATCCGTTTTCTGTCAAGTAGCTAAAGTGATGTTAAGTGAAAATAGGATCATATTGTTACTGGAAGGAGGGCCTTGAGTGTCAGTTGTCCAGGTTCTTTGGTGTTTTGAACAAAGAATTGGACAAAACCCACAAAGCAACAAAGGAACGAGACACAAGAACAAAGCAGCGAAAGCTGAATTCACTGAAGCAAGACAGCCCTCCACAAGGTGTGAAAGCTGGAGTCACTGAAGCAAGACAGCACTCCACAGGGCGGGGGAAGGAGCCAGTTTTCCGGGTTTTAAGTACCCCTTTTGAGGCTCCTATAAGTTACCTCTTGTCTGGATGAAGGATTTGGTTCCTGGCTAATTAAAGGCTGAGGTGAATTGGTGCCCTATGCAGAGGAAGGGGTGGCCCATGCTTGGCCAATCAGGGCACTCTCTCTTTCCATCTGAGATGTGCTGGAAGCGGGAGGGCTGTAGGGAGATTTGATCCTTTGCTGCTCGGCGTGGGGAGATGGGATTTCCCCTTCTGGTTTAGTTTTAGGAAGTTCGTGTTAATTGGCCTTAGGTTCCCTACCCCCAGACCCAGGTGTCCTCCTTTTGATCCAGCTTTGAGAAGTCAGCACCAATTGGCCCCCAGACCCTGGTGTTTTTCCTCGATTCAGCACAAATTGGCCTTAAGTTCCAGACCCTGTTTTCCTGCCTCGATATCACTCCCTTGGTAAAAATCCTTCAATAGCCTTCTGTTATTGGTTAAATTGTATCCCTCAAAAAGACTTGTTTAAATCCTAACCCCTGGTACCTTGACTATGGCGTTGTTTGGAAATAGGATTTTTGCAGATATCATCAAGGTAACATGAGCTCATACTGACTTAGGGTGAGCCCTAGCCCACAGTGGTATTCTATGAGGGAAACGTGTACACAGAGACAGAGGCACTCCAGGAGAAGCCATGCGACCGTGAAGGCAGAGGCTGGATTGACAACGCCACAAGCCAGGGGATGCCAGGGACTGGCGGCAACCACCAGAAGCTGGGAGGAAAGCGTGAGACGGCTCCTCTCTCTGAGTCCCCAAGTAGGAATCGACCATGCTGTCATCTTGCTTCCAGACTTCTGACCTCCAGAACTGAGACAGAATAAATTCCTGTTGTTTAAGTCACCCAGTTTGTGATAGTTTTGCTATGGTTGCCCACTGGTAAATGAATGAGCTAGTGAAGAAAACTGGTACAGCAGACCAGAGGGAACGGAAACGCAAGTGCTCTCACAGGGAGGCCTGGAAGCGAGCTGATTGATGTTGCAGAGCAAATACACTTCCCCTTATAATTAGTATAAAGTAAAAGATCATTAGCGTTGCTGGTGGTGTCTGTTTCATCTTTCCACTCTACTTTCGAGCTTCAGGTTGCTGTCATTGCTTTCACTGGCCTTTTTACAGTTTCTTGAACAAGCTCTTGTCTGACCCAGGAGTATTGTACATGCTGATCCCTCTGCCTAAGAGACTCACCTGAGTTTTGCTTGAATAACTACTGCTTATCAGATCTCACTTCCTCGAAGATCTCTTTCATAACAGTTTCCCCCATCCGTCTCTAAACTACGCCCCTTATTTTTGTTTCTGCACTTTCTTTGCCTTCATAGCATTTATCACAGATTATGACTTGTTTGTAAGATGATTTTGAAATGTCTGTCTTCTCTGCCAGACTATAACCCCATTAGGTAGTGAGGTGCCTGTTTCACTCTTCTCTGTTTCCCAACTACCAGCACAGAGGTGGGTATGCCATAAATATTTTTGAAGAAAGGAAAACACCTTTTTAGGCTTGTAATTAGAAGGATGGATACAAAAAGAGAAATGCCTATTTTCAAGTTGTTTTTATATTAAGGCCAGAGTGTTAGACATGCTGCTCCAATCATTCTTATTTAAGCAGCTTTCTGACAGGTTAGTAATAAATGCCACAGTGTTAAAAGAGCAATCACCCGTCATTCAAGCAGAGCCACACCTTGAAATACACTTGAAATGTCATATGTTAGTACAGTCAGTGTTATTTCACCGGTTACTTATAGCAGGTACTGCTGAAATGCTTAATGACTAGGTTGGTTCAGTGTTCAAACTCAGTACTCTGTTTATACCAAGAGAGCAGAAACATTCACTAAACGTATTCTAAAGCATGTGCTTTCTTTAAAAAATTAGCATAAACTTGTCATTTCGTGCTGAATTACAGGCAATATTTAGGGTCATTTGGGATCTTCGAGGTAACAATGTACAAAATTTCTTCTAGTATGTGGTTCTTCAGGCCTCATCACGGAATTCTCTACCTGCCTTGGTTTGGCAGAGGGCTAGCTTACTGACCCTCAGAGCAGATCACAAATTCATCTTTTAGACTATGTTTATTTCCTGACTGCGTTCTCTGTGCTTGTGCCCTGAGACAGTTAAATTATGAAGAGTACAATTCTATAAATCCAAACATGTCACAAATAATTGTGGCCCCAGGGCCCAAAGAGTTATGAGAGAATATAATGGAAGAAACAGCTACTATGTTTGCCACTCCATTAAAAAAAGAACTCATTCTAGCTAACCTCATTTAGTAGGTAAACTTTGCAACAGTGTTGAAGAAAGTAAGAAAACACATAGGCGACCCCACGTGGAAATGCCACTTTGCTAAAATGACATTTTGATCTATTGCTTATGGAATACTGTGGATGGTCCTTAAATCCGTTAGATGGTCTAATAATGTTATGTGCTCTCAAAATTCTGGAAATGTTTTTACAGTTGTAACTTGCATTCAGCAAAATTGATAATTGTGATTTGGAGTGATGTCAGCAAGATGGCAGAATAAGAGGACCCTGGCTTCACTACCATCTCCTGCCGCCTGCCACACACAGAAAGTTCAGCTAGCAAACACCTGCAGACAAGAATACCTTGGTGAAAACCCTAACATGTGGGAATAAGCCAGAGTCAGCTGTGTGGTCCAGAAAGGAATAAACACTACATTAAAGGGTAAGAAAAACAATCCCATGTTGACCATGTCTCTCCTCCTCCTCCCCTAAGTCAGCACAGCACCTCGCAGATGGAATTCCCCAGAAACTACAGTTCCTACAGAGCAAAAGGAGAATCAGAGGCAGACATGAAGCTTCCCTAGCATTCTGAGATGCTTCCCAGGAAGCCCACTCTGGTCTCACCTCAGGAGGAACAGAGGGGAAATGGCATGGCTAGACCACCTTGGGTGAGATAGAAGCAAAGCGAGGAGGCAGAGTCCACAGTGACAAGCAGACAGATCCTGGCTGTAGCTCTGCACACCTGCCAGCAGTAGCACCCAATCAATAGTACCAGCTAACACCATACCCACCTGCAAATCTGAGCTGGTCACCCTCAGAAGCGGTGGGAAGTTCTACCTGGCTTGAATCCTTAGATGACCAGCCTCAGACCCTACCCTGAGAACATGTCCAGGGAGGGAGATAACCACTACAGCAAATTTTGGCAAAGATCCAGGGCTAGTGTTGTCACACTCAGGAGTTTATTACTATTATCACTTTCATTTGAGATAGGGTCTCACTCTGTCACCTCAGCTGGAGTGCAGTGGCGTGATCACAGCTCACTGTAGCTTCGACTTCCTGGGCTCAAGTGATCCTCCAGCCTCAGCCTCCCAAGCAGCTTGGACTACAGGTGCATGCCACCACACCTAGCTAATTTTTAAACTTTTTGTAAACACGGGGTCCCACTATGTTGCCCAGCCTGGTCTTTAACTCCTGGGCTCAAGCAATCTTGTTGTCCCAGCTTTCCAAAGTACTGGGATTATAGGGGTGAGCCACCATGCCTGGCCACACCGAGGAGTGTTTAAATAGTACTTTGCATGGCCTCAAAGCCCACACACATATCCCACCCAAGGAAGGGGACAACCACCGCAGCAAATTTCAGCAAAGAGCTAGGACTTGACCTAGCACACCCAGGAGTTTAAATAATGCTCAGCCTAGTCTCAAAGCCCACCCCAAGACCTCACTTAAGCAGGTAGGCAAACCTCAACTGTGCATTTTTACCGAGCATAGTAGCTGGTCCCATCCATCCTAGTCAGTGACTCCACCTAACCTCAGAGTGCTTTCTGCAACCCTGTTTAACTGCTGACTTTAAATTGAGGTACCAACTGGCCAGAGAATACTACACTTCATGGCCCAGTCTAATCAGAGGCAAATTGCAGTGCCCATCCAGCAGTCCATCCTCACTGGAGAGTTCAGCTTAGTGGTCTTGCTGAGCTCTTGCTTGGGTAGCAGATCCCAGCCAGCTGCCCCATTCAAACTCACAGAAAAGGCAGCACACCATCAATGAAAGAACCCCCAAATAAGCTCTACATATTCAGGGTTGTTATGAGCTGATGTGTTCAGAACCACAGGCTACACTACACTGTGACAATTATTCCTGCCAAAGAATACCTGCAAAAACTGGAAAAGGTGGCTATCACCTCAAATATGCAGACACTAATGTAAGGATAGAAGGATAACGTCCTTACAAGGGTAACAAAGACTCAGGAAATCATGACACCCCTAAAAAGAAAAATCAACTAAAATAGATTTAACAATGAACCCCAAGGAAAGGACAATTTATAAAATGACAGACAATGAGTTTAGAAAAATCCTCTTAAAGAAGATCATGAACTACAATAATATAGGGATAGAAAATTAAATGAAATTTGGAAAACAATACATGAACAAAATGAGAACTTCGATGAAATAGAAATAATTCTTAAAAACCAACAGAAATTCAAGAGTTGAAGAATACAATGACTGAACTGAAAAGATGCAACTGAAAGCTCCCACAGCAGGTTTGATCAAGCTAAAAGAAGAATCAGTGAACTGGAAGATAGAACATTTGATATTATCCAATCAGAGTAGCAAAAATTAAAAAAAATAAATTTAAGAATGAAGAAAGCCTGCAGAAATATGTGCCACCCTCAAGAGACTGAATATACACATAATATAAATTCCAGAAAGAGAAGAAAGACAAAAAAGGGTAAGAAAGCATATTTAAAAAATAATGGCTGAGAATTTTCCTAATATGAGGATATATACCAATATCAAGGTATAGGAAGCACAGAGGTCTCCAGTCAAATTCAACCCAGAGAGGAGTTTACCAAGACACATAATAAACTATCACAAATAAAAGACAAAGAAAAAATTCTGAGAGTGGCAAGAGATAAAAAGCCACACAGCACCTAGAATAGTCTCAATAGACTCTCACCAGATTTTTCAATGGAAACCCTGAAGGCCAGGAGATAATGGGATGATAGATTCAAAATGTTGAAGGAAAATAAAAATAGCCAACCAAGAATATTTTACTCAGAAAATCCGTCTTTGTGAAATGAGGAAGAAATAAAAATTTTCCCAGACAAACCAAAGCCAAAGGAGGTCATCATCACTGGGCCTGCCTTACAGGAATTGCTAAAGGGAGTTTCTTAAGCTGAAATAAAAGGCCAATAATTATTAACAGAAAATGTACAAATGCACAAAACTCAATGGCATAATAAAGAATCATATGTGGAATGCTCTAGGACTGTAATGATGATGTGTAAGGCAATTTTATTCCTAGTATGGGGGTTAAAAGACAAAATTATTAATAAAACTTAGCTAAATACATTTTCAAGGGATAGATATTATAAAATGTAAATTCGTACATCAAAAACGTAAAATATCAGGGAGATAACAGTGGAGAGTTGTGTGACTTTGACTACCTACAACTGTTATAGCATAACAATTATATGAACTGTCAAAATAGACTGTTACACTTGTAAAATGTTTTATGTAAGCTTCATACTAATCACAAAGCAAAAATCTACAGTAGACACACAAAACAAAAATAGAAAGAATTCAAAGTATACCACTAAAGAAAATCATCAAGCCACAAAAGAAGACAGAAAGAAAGGAAGATGGAAACAAAGTATCTACAAAACAATCAGAAACCAATTCACAAAATGGAGGTAGTAAGTCCTTAACATTCATAATTACCTTGAATGTAAATGCTCCAATAAAAAGACAGAGTGGCTGAATGGATTAAAAACAAGACCCAGTTATATGCTACCTACAAGATACTCATCTTACTTTTAAAAACACATATAGGCATGCGTAACAAACCTGCACGTTGTGCGCATGTGCTCTAGAACTTAAAGTATAATAAATATATATATATATCACATATAGACTAAAAGTGAAGAGATGGAAAAAGATATCCCATGCTTGTGAATTGGAAGAATTAATATTGCTAAAATGTACATACTACCAAAAGCAATATGCAAATTCAATATAATCTCTTTCAAAACTTCAATGCCATTTTCACAGAAATAAAAAGACAACTAAAATTCACATGGAATTGCAAAAAACCTTGAATAGCCAAGGCAATCGTGGGCAAAAAGAACAAAGCTGTAAGCATCACACTACTCATTTCAAACTATACTACTACATCAGCTTAGTGCTGCCATAAAAATAAACACATCAAAAAACAAACAAAAAAAGAAAAACAGACACATCAATGAATGGATTAGGATAGAGAGCCAAGAAAGGAACCAACACATGTATGAACAATTGATTTTCAATAAGGCATCCATAGATAATTATTAAATAAATGAGTCTGGCTGCATTCATAGGACAAATAAAACAGTTGATTGTCAGAATTTGGCCAGTGGCTGGAGTTTACTGACCCCTGATCTAGGCATTGAGCATTAAAGACTGCCAACATAAAAGAGATAGAGTCAACTAGATAGTATGTGATTCCTGATGGGAGAACATGCTAGCAGGTATAGTCTTGTCAAATAAACCTCTGGATTCAGTTAACAATTTGCAGCAGAAGCAGAGTTTGGAAGAACATACTGAATTGTACTCTAAATAGGCAATCAGCCAAGTCAAAACCACAAGCACCTCTCCAGGTTCTGCAAAGGATCAATTATAAAACTAAATTACAAAAGATCGTAAGTGTGCCAAGAATACACAATATAAAATGGATATCTTTAATAAATGTTTTTGAGAAAATTGGATATCTATATATAGAAGAATTAAATTGAAACCTTTTCTCATATCATGTGAAAAAATTAACTCAAAATGGGTCGAAGACTTAAGCATAAAATCTGAAACTGTAAAACTACTAGAAAAAAACATAGGGAGAAAACTACATGAAATTGGTTTGGGCAATTACATTTTCAATTTTACTCTACAACCACAGGCAACAAAAGCAAAAAGAGATGAATGGGATTTCATGAAATATGAAAGCTTCTGTATAACAAAGGAAACAACAGAAACAACCTACAAATTAGGAGAAAATATTTGCAAGCCACATATCTGATAAGAAGCTAATATCCAAAATGCATGCGGAACTCAAACAACTCTAGAAAACAAATAAGACTAATTTAAAAAATGGGCATAGGACCTGAATAAACATTTTTCAGGAGAAGATATACAAATTACCTACAAATATATGTAAAAAGAAAAAACTCAATATCACTAATCATTAGGGAAATGCAAGTTAAAACCACAATGAGACAGCACCTCACACCTCTCAACATGGCTATTTAAAAAAAAAGAGAGAAGGGATTAAAAAGTTTTGGTGAGAATGTGGAGAAAAGAGAACTTTTGTACTCTGTTCTTGGGAATGTAAATTAGTACAACTTTTATGGAAAACTGTATGGAGGTTCCTCAAAAAACTAAAAATAGAATTACCATATGACCTGGCAATCCCGCTTGTGTGTATTGACACAAAACCCATATCTATGCCAGAGAGATGTCTGCACTCCCGTGTTCATTGCAGCTCTGTTCACAATAGCCAAGTTACGGTATCAACTTAAGTGACCATCAGATGATTGGATAAATAAAACATGGTCTATACACATACAATGAAATTCTATTCAGCCTTATAAGAGAAAGAAGCTTGGTCGTTTGCAACAACCTAGGTCAATTAAGCCTCCAGGCATATGAGGTCCATTGTTGTGAGTTTATATGTGTCCTGAAGGGTCCTGAATCCCTTCGTAGGGAACTCTGGTCTTTAAAGTTCCAGGTGAGGTCTAAGATTTTCTGGTGGTTTTGACATATAGAATCATAAACTTTTATAGCTAAAGGAATCTTTTCTTATATTTCATTTATTCTTTTTCCCCTAGTTTATAGATTAGATCTAAAGAGGTCCCTTGACTTGCCTGAAGCAATGCCTCTGGTTAATGATGAACCAGTATTGGAACCCAAGTCTCCAAATTATTAGTCAGCTCAGTGCTTTTGCACTGAACTCTGCTACATCTGAAAGATGCCTTGTTCCTCATGTTCAGTAAAGAATGGTCTACAGATTAGACAAAATCGACACATTTATAAACAAAAATAGCAACACCAACAAACAAAAATATTTTGCTGCCCAGAGACGGGTGGGCCCTGTTAGTGCTGTTTGGTTTAGGATACCTTGGGCTTGTACTAGAGGTGAAGTAACTCACCCCTCGACAGGAGCAAGACCTTTTGAAACACCAGTCTGTAAAGAGTAAGATCTACCCAGCTTAGCTGCCAGAATCATCACTTCCATTGTCAGTTGAGTTCCTCTGGTCTAGACAGTCATCTTATAAATTCCTTAACCAGCTTTTAAAAGGCCATAAAAGGATTAGTAGATAGAATGAATGAACCTAGATGTAGAACGAGAATTATATATGCATACATTTTTTTCATACAGGAAACAAACATTAATGATCAACAAACTAAATGTACATTATAGTTATGGTAAAATGTTAATATTCAACAAACTAAATATATTTTACATTGTGGCTATGCTATTAACTCTGAATCTTCCTTACTTTGTAATTCATGAAAATCAGAGCCAGAACTGGAGAACAGAGGTCTCTGAGGTGTCTCATTTGAGTTATCTTTCTTCGTCATCTAGATTGCATGTTGCAGGATGACCTTTCTGTTTGTCCTGTGCTGAGCTGTCTAGGATTGGTTGCCCATGTGTATCCTAGTGTTCAATACTAATTGTACAGAATTTTTAGGACTTTCTGAAGGGTTTCAAAGTCTAAATTTAAGTAAAGACAGTTTTTTTTAAAATCAACTTAAGAGGTATATAATTTATATACAACAAAAGGCCTACATTTTAAAGATCAAGTACAGTGTGTTTTGACAAATGTATGTGTTGGTGTACCCAAGGTGTAGAACATTTCTGTAACTCTAGAAGTTCCCTCTTGCCCCTTGTCAGTCAGTCTTCACCAGTAATTTTTCAGCCCCAGAAAACCACCAATTGCTCTGTGTCCCTATAGATTGGTTTTGCTGGTTTTCAAACTTCATATAAGTGGAATCACACAATATGTATTCATTTGTGTCTGATATCTTTTGCTCAGCATAAAAGATGGCATATTTTATCAAATATTTCTAAGGAAGGTGATTTCATACAATGCATCCTAAAAACACAGGTTGGTCATTTTATCTTGTCAATAACCAAACCCTTCTGGCTGCGTGTCTTCCCTACACATCCTCTGAAATAGTGTCTGCTGGGTCTCTTGCCTAAGCAGCCTCTGACATAGTGTCTGCTGGGTGTCTTCTCTAAACAGCCTCTGACATGGTGTCTGCTGGGTGTCTCCTCTGAACAGCCTCTGACATAGTGTCTGCTGGGTGTCTTCTCTAAACAGCCTCTGACATGGTGTCTGCTGGGTGTCTCCTCTGAACAGCCTCTGACATAGCGTCTGCTGGGTCCCTTCTCTAAGCAACCTCTGACATAGTGTCTTCTGGGTCTCTTCTCTGAGCAGCTTCTGACATAGCGTCTGCTGGGTCCCTTCTCTGAGCAGCCTCTGACATAGTGTCTTCTGGGTCTCTTCTCTGAGCAGCCTCTGACATAGTGTCTGCTAGGTCTCTTCTCTGAGCAGCCTCTGACATAGGGTCTGCTGGGTGTCTCCTCTGAACAGCCTCTGACGTAGTGTCTGCTGGGTGTCTTCTCTGAGCAGCCTCTGACATAGTGTCTGCTGGGTCCCTTCTCTGAGCAGCCTCTGACATAGTGTCTGCTGGGTCCCTTCTCTGAGCAGCCTCTGACATAGTGTCTGCTGGGTGTCTCCTCTGAGCAGCCTCTGACATAGTGTCTGCTGGGTGTCTTCTCTGAGCAGCCTCTGACATAGTGTCTGCTGGGTGTCTCCTCTGAACAGGCTCTGACGTAGTGTCTGCTGGGTGTCTCCTCTGAGCAGCCTCTGACGTAGTGTCTGCTGGGTGTCTTCTCTGAGCAGCCTCTGACATAGTGTCTGCTGGGTGTCTCCTCTGAACAGCCTCTGACATAGTGTCTGCTGGGTGTCTCCTCTGAACAGCCTCTGACATAGTGTCTCCTGGATGTCTTCTCTAAGCAGCCTTTGACATAGTGTCTGCTGAAGCTTCAAGGGTTGTTGATTGGGACTAGATGTTCAGAGGTCAACATCAATTTTGAACTAAAAAATGGATTCCCCACCAGAAACTATTCTAGCACTTCCCATATATGATGATTAAACACCCCCTTGGTTGAAACTGTCTCAGCTTTTAATATGCCACCATTTTGTTGCTACTGGTGAGCTTCAGAGCTCTTTTTAAGAAACCTGTCCTTGGTGCCTTTCCCATGACTCCGCTTGTTTACTTCTTTTTTCTTGTCACTCCCATCAATCCCTCAGATATCAGCAATCTCCTGTTGTTATTCCCATTAAGGCCTGTCTTCCATACCTTTCTCTGCTAACAAAACCTTCGTTTTCATGTTCTTATTTCACCACTGCTCCCAGCTATCTCCCACTCTAGACAAGATCGTTGATCGAATCACCCTAAGTTATAGGCTGCAGCTGTGTCCAGCACCGTGTCAGCCACAAAGGGCGAGGAAAACAAGGCCCTTGTTCTCAGCAAGTCCACAGGGTGCTGGGGGATAGGCATACAACTCTCATTGACAATTGTCTTTTCTATTCCCCTTAAGGGTCCCTGTCATGGATTTGAAGACAGATTTGTGGGCCACCAGCCTTGAGTTAGTCATTTGGCCACCACTTCTCCAAGTCCTGTGCTTTCCCCTGCATGACTGTGGACCCCCAGTCGCTTTGCTAGTAGTTGTGGTCTGGAATTAAGGATATACACCCCCTCACAGCCATTGTGATAGCACTGCATGAAACTGGGGTAGGGCGGGCATGTGTGACTATACGGCAGGTGTCACTTCTCCTAGTGAACCCCAGCGTCCTGTCTCAGGGTCACCATCATTCACAGTTATGTAAAGAAGCCAGAGGAATTGCAGTGCACTTAAGTAAACTTAAAAATCATCTCCTAATTATTATTGATCTTCTCATCAGAGACAAGGTGCCCAAGAACTGAATGGGAGGGAGGTGGGCACGCCACCTTATAGCCCAAGAATCATTAGTCAGGACAGCCTATTTATAAAAATAGCTTGCTAAGAGGAGTTTTAAAGACCACAGAAGAGTACATTTCTTTACTAGTTTTATTTACTAAAAGTGTAAAAATTAGACTTTTAAATCATTTGATTCCAGAGGCACATTTTTTAAAAAATGTAGTTTTTGAGAATTATAAGAGGTATATTAAAAAATTTTAAGTTTGTCTCTTTTTTTTGAAAGCTGAAAATTAATCTAATGCTATTCTTGTCAACCAAAATAGGAGAGAGCTGAGGGACACAGCATGGAAAACATGAAAGAGCTGAGGGACACAGGATGGAGAATATGAAAATAGGAGAGAACCGAGGGACATGCAAGGAGAATAGGAGAGAGCCGAGGGACACGGCACAGAGAATGGGAGAGAGCCGAGGGACACGGCACGGAGAATGGGAGAGAGCCGAGGGACACGGCACGGAGAATGGGAGAGAGCCGAGGGACACGGCACAGAGAATGGGAGAGAGCCGAGGGACACGGCACGGAGAATGGGAGAGAGCCGAGGGACACGGCACGGAGAATGGGAGAGAGCCGAGGGACACGGCACGGAGAATGGGAGAGAGCCGAGGGACAGGGCACGGAGAATGGGAGAGAGCCGAGGGACACGGCACAGAGAATAGGAGAGAGCCGAGGGACACGGCACAGAGAATGGGAGAGAGCCGAGGGACAGGGCACGGAGAATGGGAGAGAGCCGAGGGACAGGGCACGGAGAATGGGAGAGAGCCGAGGGACACGGCACGGAGAATGGGAGAGAGCCGAGGGACAGGGCACAGAGAATAGGAGAGAGCCGAGGGACAGGGCACGGAGAATGGGAGAGAGCCGAGGGACACGGCACAGAGAATAGGAGAGAGCCGAGGGACACGGCACGGAGAATGGGAGAGAGCCGAGGGACACGCAAGGAGAATAGGAGAGAGCCGAGGGACACGGCACGGAGAATGGGAGAGAGCCGAGGGACACGGCACGGAGAATGGGAGAGAGCCGAGGGACAGGGCACGGAGAATAGGAGAGAGCCGAGGGACAGGGCACAGAGAATGGGAGAGAGCCGAGGGACAGGGCACGGAGAATAGGAGAGAGCCGAGGGACACGGCACGGAGAATGGGAGAGAGCCGAGGGACACGGCACGGAGAATAGGAGAGAGCCGAGGGACACGGCACAGAGAATAGGAGAGAGCCGAGGGACACGGCACGGAGAATGGGAGAGAGCCGAGGGACAGGGCACGGAGAATGGGAGAGAGCCGAGGGACACGCAAGGAGAATGGGAGAGAGCCGAGGGACACGGCACGGAGAATGGGCGAGAGCCGAGGGACACGGCACGGAGAATGGGAGAGAGCCGAGGGACAGGGCACGGAGAATGGGAGAGAGCCGAGAGACACGCAAGGAGAATGGGAGAGAGCCGAGGGACACGGCACGGAGAATGGGAGAGAGCCGAGGGACACGGCACGGAGAATAGGAGAGAGCCGAGAGACACGGCAAGGAGAATGGGAGAGAGCCGAGGGACACAGCACGGAACCATAGTTCAAGTGATCTGAAATTACCTGATATGGTTTTAAGCTCATGGAATAGGAGAGATTTGGCACTTAAGAATGTTTAAGGGGATATATTAACCTTTTCTCAGGGGTTATGTAGCCGATGAGCACAGTTCTAAAAAAAGGCAGGCTTTAGTGCAGCGTAGTCAAATACAAACTCCAAAAAAGGGACCTGAATGAATAGATTGTCCAGGAAATTATGGTTGAAATGAATGCTGCTGGAAATGATGAGTTTGGAAAATGAATGTGTTTTTACTAAGATGTGAAGTGAAGAAAAAAGGAAAAAGTAATATGACTCATGAAGATTTTGTGATCTGGTACTAAGCAATGTGAACTGGTTCCGGTGATTCAGCCTCTGGGAAGACACTGTCCTATCATGATTTACAACCAAGGGTCTGGGACTGGATACAGGATGCTATTCGTATTGATCACATAGTCTTATTTCATCAGAATTTAGATCTTTAAGATAAATGGAAGGCATTTGATCACATTTGTATTAGTAAATTGCTGAGATTTGACTGCAAGTGATAAAATAAAAAGAGGTTGAAAATGAACTGGTAAAAAAGATTAAAAAACTGTAATTGCTGGTGAAAGTAAAACTGGTTTATGTAGCTGTGGACTCAGGCTCTATTTTCTGACAGTTTGACAGGCAATTGAAACACAACATTAAACAGTAAAGGTTATGCCTTTAGCAATAAATTAATCTAAAGAGCCATCTTTTCTTTTAATCTCACATGCAATGCAAACTTATTACAAATCTACTTTCTTGTCCCAACATTCCTTTTATGTAGTAAAAGCTTTTGTTTGCAGGAGGTTATGGTGAATGACCAACATGGATTTCTTGTAAGATTTCATCACTGAAGGAGCAGTTTTAGTGAAATATGCGAAGTGATTTTTGTTCCTGATCTTCCATCAAAAAGCTGTGCAAGAGATAGCCACTTGCAGAACCTACTGTGGGATGTTTTGGGGGTTGGGGGGTTTTACATTTAATTAAATTAATTAATTTATTTATTTTGAGACGGAGTCTCGCTCTGTCGCCCAGGCTGGAGTGCAGTGGCGCCATCTCAGCTCACTGCAAGCTCCGCCTCCCGGGTTCACGCCATTCTCCTGCCTCAGCCTCCCAAGTAGCTGGGATTACAGATGCCCGCCACCACGCCCGGCTAATTTTTGTATTTTTAGTAGAGACGGGGTTTCGCCATGTTGGCCAGGCTGGTCTTGAACTCCTGACCTCAGGTGATCCACCCACCTTGGCCTCCCAAAGTGATGGGATTACAGACCTAAGCCACTGCACTGGGCCAATTTTATTTGTATTTTTGGAAAGTGCTACCTATGTTTTCCTGCCAGTCCCCACTCTCCCAGAGGCAAACAAAAGATGCGTTTCCAGGATTTTTTTCTCAATGATCACCCAGAAGACTCCCTGGATCTTAGGGCAATAAGGTGCTTTTGTTCTAAAGCTGGGAGGCAGGATTGGTGCTGTGAATGTGTGGCCGTGCGCTCAAAAGTGCTCTATGCTTAGCAGGACCCTGCACCTGATTTAATGGTTTGTGGCTTTGGTCTTGAAATTCTTAACGAAGTTTGAACAAGGGGCCTTGCATTTTCATTTTGTACTGGGCCTCGCAAATTATGTCGTCCGTCTTACTGATAGTAACATAATAAGTGACATTGATTGTGTTCTTAGCAGGAACTGTTTTAAGCTTCTTACCTGTATCAGTTCATCTAATATTTGTAACAATCCTCTGAGTTAGGTGTTATGGCTCTCAATTGCAGATGAGAGACTGAGCACAGAGAGGGGAAATTGCTAAACTAGTAAGCTGTGGGGCAGATTCTAACCCAAATCACCTGCTTCTGGAGCTGGTGCTCCTAACTGCTGACCATGCCGCCTCCACCCCACTTGCTTTCTGAACTTCTCATGGCTTGTGTGTGCTGGAACAGGCACCACCTAAAGCAAACTGCATAAGGCTTGTTTGCTGAGAATGCATTCAGCAAATGCAAATATACGACCTGAAGAAGTCAAGCAGAATTCCTCAATCTCATCTGAAATTAACTAGCTGTTACCTTGGGCAGGTTTCAGATGCAGTGGAGGGAAGAAGGGAAATGAGCAAGGGAAAGAGTTTTAAAAAATGTAAAGTCAGCACGAGCGACAGAGTGAGATCCTGTCTCAAAAAACAATATTAAAAGGTGGGGGCATAGTTGCACCTGGCAGGGCCCCTGGTGGTCAGCTTGGGAGGAGTGATGTGGGGTAGGAGGGGGTCAGGCTGGAGGACAAGGGAAAACATGACAAAGTACAACCACGCTGCCAACTTAGCCGTTTGATTATGGCCGACGCTGGAGACAAGTCACGCAGTTTTAAATTGTTTCAGGGACTGAGTGAGAATACTTTTCTGATTTCCAGGTGACTGCACATGTGAGTGCTGGTGGGTGTGTGGCTGGAGGTGGCTGACGCAGCCCAAATGTTGAAAAATGCAGTGAGACACCTTCCAGCAGCTGCGGCTGGGCCTAGGATTTAACAGCTTCCTGCAGCTGGGGCTGGGTATAGGATCTACAAGCTATTGCCAGGCTGCAGGGGAGACTTTGTTGCCACCCTTCAGAACGCACCACCTAGTAGGCGACACAGCGTAGGCACTTCAGAGTATGTGAGCAATGAACACATGAATCTCACAGTTGTCCACCCTGCTAGTGTTTAAGGTGGGTTCAGTATTCAACAACTCTCTTTCTGACTGACAGATTAGATCTATCAAGAAAATTTGGGCTGGGTGCGGTGGCTGATGCTTGTAATCTCAGCACTTTGGGAGGCTGAGGTGGGCGGATCACTTGAGGCCAGGAGTTTGAGACCAGCCTGGCCAACATGGTGAAACCCTGTCTCTACTAAAAATACAAAAATTAGCCAGGTGTGGTGACGTGTACGCTACTCGGGAGGCTGAGGTGGGAGCACTATTGAAATGGGGAGGCAGAGGTTGCAGTGAGCCGAGATTGCACCGCTGCACTCCAGCCTGGGCAACAAGAACGAGACTCCATCTAAAAAAAAAAAAGTTACAATTTGTTGTACTTCTGCTTACCACAACTGTTGATCCACAGAGTAGAACAGGGTCCTTGAGTACGCGAGTTTTGTTTGATGTTATGCCATTGCAGTGCCCAGCATACTGACTCTGTGATTGCCTGTTGTTAGGATAGGATAAAAAGAAACCCAATCTTTTAGGTCCCAAGTTTCTCGTTTCCCACCGTAGGCTAAACATGGTGCCTGAATCTCAATGTCGTGACAAGGTGTGTTCATTCCTAGTAGGCTCAGACGAAAGCTTCTTGCTTCGAGTCGCCGTAGTGCTCAACGGTGGTGTGATCTGCGGCATCCTAAGAAATATGTGTTTGACCTTTGTCCCAGGTTCTTTGCACAGAGTTCCCACAGCCCTTGTAATTTTCTGGGAGACGGGGTGGGAGGACCATCTTTTGCTGTTCATAATAAACCACTGACAACCGTGCCTGAGTTTACAGTAAGGACCCTTGATGGGTCCCTAGATAGCTTCAGAATGGGGCTGGTTGCCAGGAGAGCCAACTACGTGATCAGAGGGTTGGGTGGACAAATTTGCTTTGAAGGAGAATTGATTTTTGAGGAGGATATAAAATATCTACTTTGTAGCCAATGACCTCCTTGGAAGAGTGTTTTTTCTTTTTAATATTACCCACTATGAACTTAAAGAGCCAGTAGCTATGTGATTATAGTTAGATGTATTCGATGTCTGTGCCATCCCTGCAATAAAGTACATCACAGCGTTCCCAAGGCTGTGTTAACAAGGCAGTCCCAGATGCTCTCGGCGTCTTCCTTCTTTCTGGAGATTTTACCTTTTGTTTTCCTTTTTTCTTTTCACATAAGACCTGTATTTCTGATCAGAGAGGTTAAGGACTGTTGCTCCTCACTGTTTTTAAAACATGACCTTGCTACAAGCCACCTCTACTTGTTTCTAAATTCAGGGATATTCTATGCTACTTAAGATGCGTCACTGCCCATCTCTGGTCAAAAGTATTCTTTTAAATTTCAGCATTCATCTAAAAGGCATGATACACTAAATATAAAGAAGTAATCAGCAAATATTAGGCATTTTACAATCTCAATTGCACCATACCAAAAAATACCTGTATGTGGTTTAACATGTTTACACACCTTGAAAATCTAAAATTCAGACATTTTATACATGGAGTGCCTGTGCCTCATGAGCAAGGATCTTGATCATGTTATTTAAAGCCCTGCACCACTGCCTAGTGGTGGGCCTGGGAGATCCTTCTGATCTTAGCATTCTTGACCTTAAATTTTGAAGATAATCAAAATTATTGATAATTTTTAAGGGATACAAGTATTATTATCCAACTCCTAACCTGTGCACTTGAAGGGGTGATAGATTAGTCCCCTAGACATTCTGAGCATTGCTGCTGGATACATTGACAGAGGGCTAGAGGGCAGAATTCACAGGACAAGAATTGCCATCACCCTTAGTTCTCCCTGTTTCTGTATTGAATATAGGACTAGTGAGAGGACCAGGAAGGGAGCACTCTGGAGGGGAATGTGGAGGATGGAAGGATGGGTACCACTAAGGTGCAGGTGTAATATGTCTACCATCTAGTCATCTCCTTCTCTGCATAAACACCAGGGGAAAGGATGGTTTCTGAAAGAGCATCTTAGGAATGCCATGAAAACAAAGGGTGTGCATCTGTCCATGTGTGGGTGTTCTCTACTAGTGAGTTTGGAAATGAGAGTGCCTTTGAAACAAACAGACCACTGTAACCACCCAAGGGGTTCTTTTTGCCCACTGCCAAGATAGAGCCCATTTGTCAAGACTGGGGGATTGCAACTGGGAAAGAGTCTAATACACGTAGAGCCAGCTAAAAGGGAGACTGGAGCTTTCTTATGACTCAGATCAACTTCCCTGAAAATTCAGAGGCTAGGATTTTTGAAAGCTGGTTTGGTGGGGTGGGAGCTAGGGAATGGGGAGTGCTGATTGGCTGGGTTGGAGAAGAAATGACAGGGAGTTGAAGCTGCCCTCTTGTGCTGAGTTGGTTCCTGGGTGGGGGCCACAATACCAGATGAGCCAGTTTACCCTTCTACGTGGTGCCAGCTGGTCCATCAAAATTCAGCGTCTGAAAACACCTTGAACACCAATCTTAGGGTTACAATAGTAATGTTATCCACAGGAACAACTGGAGAGGTCCGTGATTTTGTGGCCTCCGGTTGCATGATTCCTGAGCCATAATTTCTAATCTTGTGGCTAATTTGTTAATTTTCCAAAGGTCATCTGGTCCCCAGGCAAGGAGGGGGTTGTTTCAGGGAAGGCTGTTATCATCTTTGTTTCAAAGTTAAACTATTACCTAAATTCCTCCCAAAGTTAGCATGGCTTACACTCAAGGATGAGCAAGGGCAGCTTGGAGGCTAGAGGCAAGATGGACTCGATCCCATAGTTAGTGTGGCTTACACTCGAGGATGAGCAAGGGCAGCTTGGAGGCTAGAGGCAAGATGGACCCGATTAGGTCAGATTTGTTTTGCGTCGTAATGTTTCTGTGTCAGAGTCCTCTCATTGTCAAAATTTTTGCAAAAGTGTTTTCACTACTAAGTCCTAGGAAAACATTTTTTCTTTCTGTAAGAAACCTCAAGAGGTTGTGTACTTATCTATTTGCTCTTCAGCGGCATAATTCTAGGTGTCTGTTAAAAGTTTAAAAGTGATCAGCTGGAAAATATTCATGTGGTGTTGGGGCACAGGGGGCAAAGCACCCGCCACCTACAGCAGTTTTAACAGTGCTGGCACCTGCCGGCACTGTAGGTAGCAAAGAATATTATGAGTAATTCTTCACTTCCTTAAGTATGTTAGAAAGGTAAAAATCTTCAAGAGAAACTCCAGATTTTGGGTGGGTTTGAAACTGCATTACAAGTTGGTCCTGCAAAATCCATGTTGCCTGTAAGCTACAGCCTTTGAAATGAAACACACTTCACAAATTGAGCTTTGCCCGTATTTCTTTCAGGGAAGCAGCTGTCCTGTTTCCTCTAATAAGGTAATATGCCTGAAAATGCAATATAAGCCTCCAGGGTCAATGATTAGAGAGGTTTGGCCCACACAGGCTGAACGGACCCTCCAAGCAATTGGACGGTCCCTCCGTCAGTTGCAGCAGCTCCTTCGCCTCCACGGAGAGGGAGTTTGGCTGATTCTGTGTCCTTCGCCTCCACGGAGAGGGGATGTGGCTGATTCTGTGTCCTTTGTCTCTGTGGAGAGGGAGTTTGGCTGATTCTGTGTCCTTCGCCTCCGTGGAGAGGGAGTTTGGCTGATTCTGTGTCCTTCGCCTCCGTGGAGAGAGAGTTTGGCTGATTCTGTGTCCTTTGTCTCTGTGGAGAGGGGGTTTGGCTGATCCTGTGTCCTTCTCCTCGCTGGAGAGGGGGTTTGGCTGATCCTGTGTCCTTCTCCTCGCTGGAGAGGGGGTTTGGCTGATCCTGTGTCCTTCTCCTCGGTGGAGAGGGGGTTTGGCTGATCCTGTGTCCTTCTCCTCGGTGGAGAGGGGGTTTGGCTGACCCTGTGTCCTTCGCCTCCGTGGAGAGGGCGTTTGGCTGATTCTGTTGTTCTATTTTGTGGTAGATTGGGTGTGGGGAGTGTTGGCGTCTAAGAGCAGAACGAGGCTGTGTGAAACCTTTTCGAATGTGTAGGTGTGTTAGGCTGAAGCACTTGTTCTGATCACACAGAGCACACCCTGGAGTGGAGTCATCGAAGGACTGTTTGACTTACCGACTGGACGGACTCACTGCTTCTGTCCATTGGAGTTGGGAAGGAATTCCATCCAGAGAGATTCTAAAGAGAGTCAGCACGAGGACAGATGAGGAGAGAAACGGCTGTGAATGGAGCTTGACTTTCCCTGGAGTCCTGACTTTTTTCAGAATAAATGCTCCTGTAGAGCCTGATATTCTGCAAGTTACAAGTGGCTGCTTGCCCTTCTCATTTGCACCCCAGCTGACTCCTAGATAAAGTAGGTGGAACATTTTATGTGACGATTATTGCCAGGGAACTTTATCTGTTGCTAACAGGCATGGTGAAAACATTTGCACAATATGACAAGAATGACAGCATTCGATTAGAGAGGGCTCACCTTAAGCCGGGTCATGTTCCAGTGCTTTAGAAAGAGGACTACCGCTATCAGTGCTTTCTCTTACCACATGAGATGGGTATCACCGCTTTCATTTTAAATATGAAAAAGTAGAGGCTTAGGGAGGTTAAATGCCTGGTCTAGGATCGAACAGCTAGGAAGAGGCAGAGCCATGGTTCAACAGGTCAGTCTCACTCCAAAGCTGGTGCCTATAACCACCGCCCTCCAAGATGAAAATAAAAATGGGAAAGACCTGCATAATATTTGTACAATGCAGTGGTTTTAGTCTCAGGTAAACGTTCCTCAATGATTCTAATTCTCCCCTCCCTCTTTTTTGCCATGACCCATTGGGAATTACTGGTATTACACATATAAGGCTGTAAAGGGCCTTCATGTACTTTTTCTCATTCACAAATTGTGATTTCTCCAGCTGTTCTATCCCTGACAGCTGTTTTATTTTCTTTAATGATGGAGCAAGTTCTAAAATACAATGTAAATCATCAGAGAGTAAAATTAAAGTTACCAGGTAAAACCCAAAACATCAGATAAATTGATTTTCAGGTAAACAACACATAATTTTAAAAGTTGTAAGTATTTACTAAATACTGCATGGGACATACTTACACTAAAGTATTTTTCATTGTTTTTTGAAATTAGAATTTAATGAGGTGTCTATGATTTTATTTGCTGTGTCGGGCAGCCCTGCATTAAATTAGAGAGGTGTATGTCCAAAGAACGAAACTTGGATTTGGCGTTTCATGATATTCCACAGAGGTCAAGGGAAAACTCCCGTGAAATGGGTAGAAGAGAAACATTGGGAAAGTAAATAGTTGAATCGACTTGCTTTGTATAATTAGTCTTTTCATACAATCTTGCCCATGTCAAACGGTGTTTTCGGTCATTGATATTTTGTGTAGAATGGTAACGATTAGAGTCATTGCAAGAATTATTTTGTCTTTATCAATAGTTCCGCTGAAGCTCCCCCAAGGTAAGACTCAATGCAAACCTAGTTTTAATATTTCCAAATGTTTAATTTTTATCTGAGGGTACTGCAGGGCCTTTGAGGTCTTATGGAAAAAAGTCCTTCCATCAGTAGGAACTTGCAATTTTCAGTTGTGATGAGCGTTTCTGCTCTGGAACGCAGGCACATGGACTCGTAATGCTGTCCCTTTAACTCTCAGTTCTGCATGGCTGACTGGACACAGTAAGCTCTGTAGTTACTTCCCTAATAGTTCTGACTCTGTTTCACAAAAGCTGCCTCTTTCCTTGTGTAATGAAACCATGAAGTCTTGAAGAATGCCTGATTTCCTGGGTAAAGGAGCTTCCGGAGTAATAATATTTAGTGGGATTGAGGTAGTGGCAGTGCTAGCGGCAGTGGTGATGTGGTGGTGGTGGTGTGTGTACTAGTGCAGTGGTGATGTGGTGATGGTGTGTGTACTAGTGCAGTGGTGATGTGATGGTGTGTGTACTAGTGCAGTGGTGATGTGGTGATGGTGTGTGTGTGCTAGTGCAGTGGTGATGTGGTGGTGATGGTGTGTGTACTAGTGCAGTGGTGATGTGATGGTGTGTGTACTAGTGCAGTGGTGATGTGGTGATGGTGTGTGTGTGCTAGTGCAGTGGTGATGTGGTGGTGATGGTGTGTGTGCTAGTGCAGTGGTGATGTGGTGGTGGTGTGTGTACTGGTGCAGTGGTGATGTGGTGGTGGTGGTGTGTGTACTAGTGCAGTGGTGATGTGGTGATGGTGGTGTGTGTGCTAGTGCAGTGGTGATGTGGTGATGGTGTGTGTATTAGTGCAGTGGTGATGTGGTGATGGTGGTGTGTGTACTAGTGCAGTGGTGATGTGGTGGTGGTGTGTGTACTAGTGCAGTGGTGATGTGGTGATGGTGTGTGTACTAGTGCAGTGGTGATGTGATGGTGTGTGTACTAGTGCAGTGGTGATGTGGTGATGGTGTGTGTGTGCTAGTGCAGTGGTGATGTGGTGGTGATGGTGTGTGTACTAGTGCAGTGGTGATGTGATGGTGTGTGTACTAGTGCAGTGGTGATGTGGTGATGGTGTGTGTGTGCTAGTGCAGTGGTGATGTGGTGATGGTGTGTGTGCTAGTGCAGTGGTGATGTGGTGGTGGTGTGTGTACTGGTGCAGTGGTGATGTGGTGGTGGTGGTGTGTGTACTAGTGCAGTGGTGATGTGGTGATGGTGGTGTGTGTGCTAGTGCAGTGGTGATGTGGTGATGGTGTGTGTATTAGTGCAGTGGTGATGTGGTGATGGTGGTGTGTGTACTAGTGCAGTGGTGATGTGGTGGTGATGGTGTGTGTACTAGTGCAGTGGTGATGTGGTGGTGATGGTGTGTGTACTGGTGCAGTGGTGATGTGGTGGTGATGGTGTGTGTACTAGTGCAGTGGTGATGTGGTGATGGTGTGTGTACTAGTGCAGTGGTGATGTGGTGGTGATGGTGTGTGTACTAGTGCAGTGGTGATGTGGTGATGGTGTGTGTACTAGTGCAGTGGTGATGTGGTGGTGATGGTGTGTGTACTAGTGCAGTGGTGATGTGTTGGTGATGGTGTGTGTGCTGGTGCAGTGGTGATGTGGTGATGGTGTGTGTACTAGTGCAGTGGTGATGTGATGGTGATGGTGTGTGTACTAGTGCAGTGGTGATGTGGTGATGGTGGTGTGTGTGCTAGTGCAGTGGTGATGTGGTGATGGTGTGTGTATTAGTGCAGTGGTGATGTGGTGATGGTGGTGTGTGTACTAGTGCAGTGGTGATGTGGTGGTGATGGTGTGTGTACTAGTGCAGTGGTGATGTGGTGGTGATGGTGTGTGTACTGGTGCAGTGGTGATGTGGTGGTGATGGTGTGTGTACTAGTGCAGTGGTGATGTGGTGATGGTGTGTGTACTAGTGCAGTGGTGATGTGGTGGTGATGGTGTGTGTACTAGTGCAGTGGTGATGTGTTGGTGATGGTGTGTGTGCTGGTGCAGTGGTGATGTGGTGATGGTGTGTGTACTAGTGCAGTGGTGATGTGATGGTGATGGTGTGTGTACTAGTGCAGTGGTGATGTGATGGTGGTGGTGTGTGTACTAGTGCAGTGGTGATGTGGTGGTGGTGGTGTGTGTGCTAGTGCAGTGGTGATGTGATGATGGTGGTGTGTGTGCTAGTGCAGTGGTGATGTGGTGGTGGTGATGTGTGTGCTTGTGGTATTGGTGATGTGGTGGTGGTGGTGTGTGTGTGTTGATAGAGGGTGGAGGGAATCAGGGGTGCATTTCCTTTGTAGAGTAATTTTGACTAAAAAACTACTTGGCTCTGGAAACTTGCTAGAAGAATATTTTAGAAGTACATCTGTGCATTGAGTACTGCATATTTTAAGCAACAAATCAACCTGTAACGTGCATTGCAGCAGAATTTATTAAAAGAGAGGTGCACGTGGTATGTAGAGAAACATTAGTGGGACTTAATGAAATGAAAGAAATAGAAAAATATTCATTTTCTGACAGTATTTATAGGTTTTTAAGGCCCTGATTGCCATTGCTTTGTGAGTTTCCTTCTTTCTGATTGATGATGTGTCCCGGATTTGGTTCCTTTTCCCCACATGCAATTTCAGATGTTTTTCACTGGAGGAATATGGATTGATAATATACAGGAAAGTAAAAACACACAGGAGAATTTTAATACACAATGAAAAGAATTCAGTTGTAAGTGATCTGAAAGCCCAGTCCTCTCACCCACTCTTTGATTTAACAGCTCCCAGTCTATTAAGACTTTGCTTTACTCAAGGATTTCGTGTTAATCATCTTTTGTTTTATAGCCCTTTATTTTCCTGCTGGAATCAATATCCCATCAACTTCACCCACCGGCTACTCTGTGATCTATGAGATGGTGCTAGTACAGGACTGAATTTATACCAGAGCAATTTGCCTTAAATGTTACCAGCTCTTTATCCAAAACATTTCTTCCAGCTTATTCTCATAATTTTACTACTTCTCGCAAAGCTGCTTCTCTGCTTTTAGAGAGTAGAGAGTGGCAAGTGAAATGTAAAATGCCTGGAGAGAGGATATAAGAGGTTGGGCTTGGAAGCACAGAAGTTAAATCCGCGAAGTGATGTCAGTCAACAGGAGAAGTGTTGGCTGTTTTCACACTGTGTGGCTGCTCGTGACACAGACTTGATGAATTCATTTCCACCTTGCTGGCAAAACCAATTTGTTTCAGTGAGACCACATTTCAGAGCAGTTTGGATCCTGCTGGTATATTCAGATTGCCTGAAAATCAAGCAAAAGTAATCAGTTTGGTGCCCTGTATCGTAGGACGATCTCGCACCCCTTTCCTTCCCTAGGGTTACCCTCATTTGGCTGGGTGGACGTTGTCCTTCAGATCATTTGTATAAATCCAACTTGCACATCACAGGGGTCTCTAAGTTCTTTGCAAATATTAATTTAGAACTTAAAAGTGCATTATCCCCCTTTAAAAATACATTATCCGAATTGTGATGCCAGCATTTTAAATACAGTAAATGATTAGTTACTTCACTTAATCTTGTCACTGAATATAATTGCAGTCACTGAGAGCTGGACATTGATCTACGTTCTTGATGCCTGTTAAGACATTTTATCTCATAAAAGGATGTTACTGGTAATTATGACACCTTGTGCTTTTCAATAGTTACATTTATTTTAAAAGACACTGTTTTCTTCTTAAATGGAATAATTTCCTTTCAACGTGGGAGGAGGTCTGGTTCCCAGTGTCCACATGAGGCAAATATACAGGCAGCTCTCTGTGTCCACAGGCTCCCCATCTGCAGGTGGTTGAAGCCAGATGGAAAATAGTACAGTTGACCCTCCATGTCTGTGAGTTTCTATCCAAGGATGAGAAACCCATGCATAGGGAGGGCTGACCGTATTTTAATTTGTTTCAAGATGTCTTTTTCCATTCTGTTTTGAGTATTTAATAAAACAGTCAAAAAGCAAATTTAATATCTGTGCAAACTCATTTTCTTGTGAAATTGCTTAGACTTGGTCCTTTAAGGGAATATTTGGAGAAGCTAATGTTAGAGGTCAGAATCTAAGAAGACTTTTGGTTTTAGCTTTCTTCGTTGTAAAATGGGAGTAGTAATTCCTGTCCTCATGTCTTCTCAGGGCTGCATGGAAATATGAAAATGCTTTAAAAATGAAATTAATACACAGATTCAGACTTACTTTAAAGAGAGTGAAGTATATGAGCGTTCTATAGGACAAGGAACATGACAACATATATAGTCCACTTCTGATGTTAAAAATTATTGCAGGACTGTGTTAATTACACTTCTACGGACACCTTCTAACTTCAACCATGTCTTTTTTCCCATGTGACTCTTCTTAGAACTTGGTCTGTCTATAAGAATATTCCTTTTGTAGTTGTTTCTCTACTTATCACCCTCTTAACTCTACAGTTTTTGAATAATATATTACAGCTTGTCATATCTGGTGGTCAGAGGCAGACGGTGCTTAAACAGGCAGTTGACATCCAATTACTCTCTGAGCATCCGAGCCCACTAGGTGTCTGGCATGGCCACCCTGGGGGATAGTCCCCCTTTCTGGAACAGACGGTTGCTTTGTAAGAGGGTTTCGTCTTTCCCTGGAGCATCGTGCGGACTAGATTAGGCCACCTGCAGAGTCTCTGCCAAAGCTCATTCATTTCTGACCTGGCACCCAGCAAAGTCCTCACAGACACCATGAGGATGACTCCCAACTAGAAATGAGTCTATTTGGTGAAGGTTTTGTCTCTCAGTAATAAAACATGGAGGAAGCTAGAGCTATTTATTAGGTAGCAATTACTCAAAGGCAGTGTCACACATTTATAGGAAAACTTGTAAATCTAAGGAAAAGTGATTTGCCCGCAGTGGGAATAAATTAAACAGAGATTGGAAACATCGTTTCCTCCTTTTCTGCCTTACTTTTTGTATTTTATAAGAGGTTAAAAATGGCTCTAAAGTATTACTTGTGAGTGTTTTATTTTTACCGGCAAAAAGAAGTTTTAACCACATGTGAAATTTCACCACTTACTAATGACGTCTACCTTTGAAGCAAAACTCTTTCATTGAAGGCATGAATTATATTATGGATATGATGTTGTGCTACATCAACGTGAATTTTTGACACACTAATTTATAATGACTGGGAAATGAGAAGACCATAGGGGAAAGATAAGACTGGCATCCAGACAGCTAAAATGCAGAAGGATGATTGATTTAAAGATCGGCTTTAAGGAAAGAATTATTTTTAAAATGTGTATTTAAATGTGAGTAGGCAGACCATGATTACTTTTTAGACTGCCAGAACAATGAGGTTGAGGATCGGGTGATTTGGGACAGTTCGGACTTATCCTGATTTGACTGTGAACCTAGCAAAAATAACAAAAGCAAAACCAAAAACAGATCATCCGAGGACATGGGTATCAGCAAGGCCGCTGGGCTCGGGCAGGGCTGCCCAATGTCAGCTGTGCAGTGTGGTAGCTTGTCTCCTGAGACGGTCCACAACATTCCACCTCTCTCCGCATATGCTTCCTGCCCATCCTGTCAAAAGACAGAACAGATTTCCCGTCACTAGAATCCAAGCTGGCCTTGTGACTGCTTTAGGATAGAATGTGACAGAGATGGCATTTGGAGCTCCTAAGCCTAAGCCTTAAGTGACAGCCACTTCATTTCTCTTGGAATGCTTGCTCTTGAGATCCTCAGTCTTGGGAACCTGTCTCCATACTGTAAGAAGTCCAAGACGCAGGGAGAGGCCATGTAGAAGCGAATGGAAATGCTCCCTTAGATGCCCTGGATGAGCTCACAGCTGATGGCCAGCACCAATGCCAATCACATGAGTGAAGCATTTCGCGTATTTCAGCCCAGTTGAACCCCAGACAACCACAGCTTCAGATGCTATCACATGGAGCAGAACCCACAGAATTGGAGAAGGTGCTGGAGGATTGCTTCTCTCTAAAGAGAACCTTTTCTCATTCCCTGAAGGGCCCTTGTAGACTGGTCATGGCTCTCGGTGTTCGAGCAAATCAGGTTACAAGTTATGTCACCAGATAAGGATTCTATGTATCTAAAGTTTACCAGCTCACAGTGAGCTTGTGCCTTCCTATTTTTCTTTAAAAGAGATTTTTGCATTTTTGGTGGGTGACTGGGAGTGTGCTGTGCTGTTGACAGCTCAGGGAGACATGGCGCCAGGGAGGTTCAAGTGCGGAAGGTCAGAAGGTAGACATTGTTGCTCAGATGGAGGCATCTCCTCAGTTCCGCAGAAAACGGTGTTGCTTGTGGAAGTGACAGTGGGTGAGATTTTGTCACAGAGATCTAAAGGAAACTCGATCTTTGTTTAAGCAGGAATTATCCTGCTTTCATGTTCTATTTCATGTGGCAAAGAAATGCAGGCTTTGTCCAAAAGCTACTTATAAACTTGTGCTTTGTGTTAGTTTTACATTTTATGTGTTTATGTTATATTTTAGCTTTTTGACATATTTTATTTTAGGTTTTTTCTTTTAAGCCAGTTTATTTGTCAGCTGTCTGACAGCAATAACCACAGGACAGCCCTTAAGAAATTGGGGGTAGGCTTTACCTGGCATAATTTCAGGTTGCAAGAAACCTCTCCCCAAAATAATCACCACCTACCTTTTGGACCCGGAAATTCTGTTGAAAGAGTTCCATTGCATTTCTTTAAAGTGTTTATCCTGCTAGAACACAAGATTTAGAATAGTAAGACATTTTCTTTATTTAAACATTAAATTCAGTACATCTTCAGCTTCCCTTTTGAAAATACATAAAGATACCAGGTATCTGAAGAGAGAAAGTAAAAGGTTCACCAAAAATCTGAAAAGAAGTTTTAAGTTCCTGAAACAAAACTCTAAAACTTCATAGAATTGAAAAGAGGAGGTTATTATAACTTGCCTATGAATTCAGAGAAAACAATAGCATTCCCACTGCCTAAAAAAATCGTGTGTTGTGTTTACGCTAGAAACTTTATCCTCTATAGAAATAAATTTTGTTCTATTTTGACAGTCTAGAAATATCTGTGAATTAAAAACACAATTTTGAAAAAATATGATGTGAAAATATGTTTTATAATCTCACTCTGTGCATAATTTTAGCTAAAGAAAATATTCCTTTATATTTTAAACTGACAAAAATATTGCATTTTTCACAGTTCTATTTAGCTTTTTTCCTGATCAAATCGGTGATCATGCTTTTATATGTAAATCTGTAGTTTATTTTTCAAATGTTTAATTTGCTCCTTACCTGTATTTTTTTCTTGTTAAAGATTATTTGAAAGCATCATAAAATTTATTTTATTTATTCATAGACCACTCTAATATTTTCAGAAATTACAGGTTGCGATAAAACCACCAAATTATACAACACATGTAAGGGAAAGACAGAAATTAAAAACAACAACAACAACTTTGATTTGGAAATAGTTTCACATTTAAAGAAAAATTACTAAAATAAGAATAGTACATAGGACACCTGATTACCCAGATTAATCTACTTTTAGCATTATTTTCCTTTTTCTCTCTTATTTGCTTTTTTCTCTCTCTTTTTACTTTTGCCCTCTCTATTTTTATGTATGTTTTATGCATATTTTAATTTTTTCTTGATATTTTTGTCCTGTACTATTTCAGAGTAAATTGCATTCATCATGGCCCTAAAACTTCAGTGTGTATTTTTGAAGAATAAGGATATCTCTTTAGAACAGTTAATGTTGCTACAGTGATCCTGTCCAACTACCATCAGCGTTCCATTTTTGTCAACTGACCCCATAAAGTCCTTCCCAGCCTTTTTTCTTCCTCCAGTACATGATCCAGTCTAGGAAGAGATTGTCATGCGTTTTTCTAGCCTCCTGGAACATTTCAGAAGCCTATTTTTGCCTTTTATGACGTGGACACTTTGAAGAATACAGTCCGTTTCAGAAAGAGAGACGGTTTCTCATTTTGAATTTGTCCAACGGGTCTGCCTGGTTTGTGTTTGTCCGACGGCTCTGCATGGTTTGTGTTTGTCCGACGGGTCTGCGTGGTTTGTGTTTGTCCGACGGCTCTGCCTGGTTTGTGTTTGTCCGACGGCTCTGCGTGGTTTGTGTTTGTCCGACGGGTCTGCGTGGTTTGTGTTTGTCCGACGGCTCTGCGTGGTTAGATTCAGGCTCCTCATTCTGGGCCAGAAGTGATGTGTGTTTTTCTCTAGGGGCACGGGATGTCCATCTGTTCTTCAATGTTGATGGTAACTTGAATCACTTTAATCTCTGGGAGACCATGCAAATCACACGAAAATCTCCCCCTAGATTTGGCCTCTGTTGGTTACTGAACTGAAGTTTACCGTGGTGGCTGCGAAGTGACAGTTGCTTCTTCACGTTTCCCAGTTGACGCTTAGCGTTCTACTATTAGTGAGATCCTTCTTTTCCCTGCACTGATTTGTTTACCTATTGATTATTGGCATGGACTCATTAACAAGATCTTGTAAATGGTCTGTAATTTGTTACTGTCCTTAATTATTTTGGTGTTCAAATTATCCCCTATTGGGCCTGCAGGAGCACCTTTCAGCTGCCTCCTGAGTCTGCATGACGTGCCCCTGCTTTGGAATCTACCTCAGGCTGAAAAGCCAGGGGCTAGAGAGGTGGAAATGAGTTTTCTAAATTTCTTTCACTTTATTAGCATATCTGTGACCAGCCTGGATCACAGAGGGGTATTGTGAGTCATAGGATGGAGGGAACCAGAGTCCGATCTTAGGGAAGTCCTTTCCCTGCTGCAGAGGAGGTGGAGAACCCTTACATCATGGCCAGGCATTGCAGCAGGTAAGGGAGAGAGAGACAGGTAGACACAGACAAGCATCGCAGCCGGGTAAGGGAGAGAAAGGCAGGTAGACACAGCCAGGCATCGCAGCAGGTAAGGGAGAGAGAAGCAGGTAGATGCAGCAGGTAAGGGAGAGAGAGGCAGGTAGACACAGCCAGGCATCGCAGCAGGTAAGGGAGAGAGAGGCAGGTAGACACAGCCAGGCATCGCAGCATGGTAAGGGAGAGAGAGGCAGGTAGATGCAGCAGGTAAGGTAGAGAGAGGCAGGTAGACAGCGGATGAGCATCGTGGCTCCCACTCCCGGCTGAAATCTCACAGAGGAGGCGAGGCTGAGGGACAGCGCGTGGCAGGAGGCCTGTTCTCCTGTGCACTGTTTTGAACGTTGGTGGGATGGGGCCGTGATCACAGAGGGAATGTGCTATGGCAGGGCAGAGGGAGCCTGGTTAGCCTGCTGGGGCCCTGAGGGCACAGGGGAGGTCCCCGGTCACCAGCTCTGCTGGGAGCTGAGGCCTTTCTTGCAGGGGCCACCGTGGTAAATGGGTGTGACCCTGCTGCAAAGGTCACACCACAAACAGCCCTCCAGGAGACAGACATGGCCACAGAAGAGATCTGGGGTGAGGTGGTGGGGAAAGGGCCCACAGCCGCACAAGGCACTGTCCCAGAAAATAAAGTAAAGACAACCTCACCAGGCATGCCTTAGCAGAATCTTCCAGGTCCCAGGAAACGTGGCCAGCTGGTGGCTCTGCAGCAGAAATTAGTGAAGACTCAAAGGACCCATGCAGACTCAAAGCCTCTTCCTCACATCACATATGCCTGTTGCCTGGGCCATTGCTGTGGATACCTGAAAGTCAGAATGTTTACCCCAAGAGACACAGCCAGTTGCTACGAGACTTTTTGAAGTGTAAGAGAATGAGACACCATTAAATGGAAAGTTGAAAGGGTTTCACTCCAACTCCCTCTGGTAGCCAGCCCCGTGAGGCTGGGTGAGAGGGTCAATTAGTCATAGAAAACGAGATGCCACTTTTTCTTTGCCTGAGTAAAAGTGTGTATGACTTTTGATTCCATTAAATACTCTTTGGCCGAGAGATCACTCCAGAATTCTGGCAGGCAGTCTCTCTCACTGGACAGTCTCCTACTCTGGGGCTCTGATGGCTGCGCCCGCTAGTTTTGCAAACCCGAAAGTCATACAGTTATGCCCATCGCCCACGCTGTGTTACGAGGCTCCGTGGAGAGTCCCATGTATGCATTTTTAAGTTTTCCCAGGTACGTTGTCTGGAGTATTCAGTTTTGTGTGAAATAGACTTGGTCCCAAACTATGTGAACCCGGGAGAATTAACTGTAATTGGTTCAGGGAGATAAAACATGTCTGCCCAGGGGTTGATGATTTTGAAAGGGTATTTCTTATCCTGGGCCAGACAGACATGAATCATCAAATAGGTATACAGCGTGGTGTCCTTATTTCTGACCATCGAATCCAGATGTCGGCTCTGACCAGTGGTTCCAGGTTTCTGCTCAGTCTCACTGGGTTAATAATAATTACTAACATTTGGATGGAGCGTTAAAGTTTCACGGCACCTTCTTGTGCATTGATCACATTAGATGGTGGTGCTGGGCATGAATGATATGTGCCTTCACCTGCCGACCCAAACACCCTGCCAATAGGGTTTTGTCTCTTTCTAAGAATTTCTTCAAATTCTTTGAGTAGCTGATTCAGCTACTCAAAGCTATTTTAGAATAAGACAGAAAATGAATAAATAGAGAGACGTTTGGTCTTTCTTGTCTAGAAGATTCAATTCCCTGTTTATGGTCATAGAAGATAAACTGTAGCTGGTATTGGGAGGTGCTGTTCCTCTAACCTGACTATCTAAGACTGTTCTTTTCTTTGCTATGAAAATGAAGGAAAATATTATTGTCCCAATTAAAGATATAAATATACACAAGCAAAGAAGAGGCTAAATGACATATCTGAAGTCTCACTTTGAAGAATGAGCAATTAAAACTCTGGGTCCAGCTCACTTTTCCAGAGTAAAAATTTTTTTGAAAGCCTTATAATTCATAGACACGTCTGAAAAAGCTGAATCTTCCGTGCTGGTCTGCATTCCAATAGGTGGCTAAAACTGGTCAGAATTTGAAGGAGTCCCATTCATCAAATCTATTTTTAGAAGTGCATTAGCATGTGGCTTTGCAAACTCACCTTCATTCTTATGAAAAGCAGTCAGTGCTGCCATGAAAATACTGTCACGATTTACTGCCTCCTCATGAGACCCAGGGCTAAGCCAAAGGGATACCATGCACCCTAAACCTCCTCATAGCTGCTGCCTCTGAAACTCGACTCTGTAATTTGGTAAGTATTTTAAAAAATACAACTAAATGGCTACCACATGGTGGAAAATTAGCAATCTGGGACTAGAACTTCTATGTGGTATTAAATCCACATATGGAAAAAATTAAATATTATCCTCAATGCCCTCCATGTGTTCAGTTGTATTAAATGAAATGCTTATAAAGCGTGACATTATTTAACTTTTATAAGGTTTGTCACATCTAGTAAAACTTATGACTGTTCTTTTGAAAAACTTTATGCAGGTGCCTTCTGAGCCCACATCAGTCTGGATGTCTTATAACATACATGTGATTTGTTACTGGATATAGCACTAGACAATCAACAGTAGAATTCCAACCAGGATAACTTAATATATCACAAAATGCAGTCACTGGTAGTAGGCAATGCTGTGGTAGGTTGGTCCACAATAATCTCCCTTTCTATAGAAAGGGTTTTATGAAACATGCAGGGTGTGAGATGTACCATAAATTGTTTTGACAAAACTGACTCTAATATAAATGGCTCCAAGTCTCTTGTATTTCTGAAATTTAAATGACACAGCCACGTGATCTTTGCAATCTGCCTTTGGGAATGTAACAGGGCTGCTGAACAAATACCCTATTCCTATTGATGCTGCTGACAATAACAAGAACTTTGGGGGGAAATTTGCCACCTTAACTTGGTTTACTTTGACCCAGGGAGGTATTTCCTGAGCCCAAAGTCTAGTTTCTCAATTTGCTGGGGGCTGACTCTGGTGCTAGATGCTTTAGAACTGAGATGGTCCTTCAGAGTTCAAAGTCATCGTCTCTCTCTGGTTCAACAGTGTGGTTTACACCCCGTTGGTGTCCAAACCGCCTGGAAGATTCTTTAACACAGGAGATCTGGTCTCCATCCTAGACCTACTGCAGCTGTATGTATACGAAACTCTGCAGGTGATTTGTAGTCAGTCTAAAGTGAAGACTCTCTGACAGTCTGAAGTCCATTGGCTAGACAGAAAAAAAACCAAGCCTGAGAAGGTGATCACGTGTCCCCACTATATACAGCTAGACCGTGCAGAACATAAGGCTGCATTATTATCCAGTGATCACGGGGGGTTTTAGCTGTACAAATGTGACCCACATAGAATTCAGTCCCTTG
This sequence comes from Homo sapiens, assembly GCF_000001405.40. Classification (NCBI taxonomy): domain Eukaryota; kingdom Metazoa; phylum Chordata; class Mammalia; order Primates; family Hominidae; genus Homo; species Homo sapiens. The sequence goes on along the minus strand of NC_000004.12, from coordinate 189,825,635 downwards.
TTCCTGGGATAAAATAAGTTGCTAAGCTGGATTGAATAACCTACCATAATGGGAGGTCCATGCTAGAATGTGTCATCTCAACATGTTCATTCTTTTTTTTTTTTTTTTTTTTTTTTTGAGACAGAGTTTCACTCTTGTTGCCCAGGCTTGAGTGCAATGGCACAATCTTGGTTCACTGCAACCTCCACCTCCCGGTTTCAAGTGATTCTCCTGACTCAGCCTCCCGGGTAGCTGGGATTACAGGTGCTGCCCCCACCACACTCAGTGAATTTTTGTATTTTTAGTAGAGATGGGGTTTCACCATGTTGACCAGGCTGGTCTGGAACTCCTGACCTCAGGTGATCTACCCATCTCAGCCTCCCAGAGTGCTGGGATTACAGGCATGAGCCACCGTGCCCAGCCAACATGTTCATTCTTGAATCTCCACCTGGGAGGCAATGAGAAGGACACCTGACTTTGCTGAGACTTGATACCTAGAGGTCTCAACTCACCACAGAATTTATGCCATGTCCTTTTAAATTCCAGTCTTGGAGAGCTTGTTTAACCATGGGTCAAAAGAGTTTGTCCTGTTATATTTGTAATAGATCAAACTCTTAGGCAGTTTAAAAGGTATACTTGGTTTCATACAGAACATAGCAAATTTGCCAAGCCCAGTTCTTCCATGTAAATAACATGACTGAAGTCCATTTTATTGTCACATACTGTGAGGCAATGTGTGATGGAAAAATGTTTCAGGTTCTGGTGAAACAATCTTACTTCACAGGAAATACCTGGGATGAAGTCTCACCTTGAGACAAGCTAGAAAGAGTCAGTGACTATGTCTAAAGAAAAAGAAGGCATTTCCAAGGAGATCTTGAGTTTCTCAGGCAGGCCGACTCCTCTCATTGCATGTTGCTGCGTTCTCAGTGATAATGTCATTCTGGCTCATGTTACAATATCTTTGGTTCTCTGGGTCTAGATTTTTCCATACGGCAGCAAACTGCTTTAGGCAGCTCATAGATGATCAAAGGAACAACAAGCTGCTAAATGTAATGTAACTACCTGTAAATGTCAATGTTTTCTCAAATAAGTGTTTTTTTCCTTTAGTTCCAAATTTTGCACTGTACACTAATGTTACTTGGGAGGTGGCATAATAGTGTCTGATGAGAGAATTCCTGCAGCTACTTATTCTATATTTTCACAACAATTCTCCACAAAGCAGTGGTAAAAGTCCATGGACAGTGTAGTTTCACCCCACAAGAGCATTTCTTTTTGCTGTTGTCTGTAGAATTTCTTCCTTGTGTGTCCTCTTATGAAGAGTGACCATTAACTCTTCATGTTTCACTGTCTTAGACGTTCCTATAGGATCACTAGATCTGGGATCCTACAGATCACTAGAACTGGGAGACAATCTTTTTCTTTCCCTAACAACATCTCAGGCTGAGTTTTTTACTATTAAAATATTGTCATTTTTTGGCCACTACTGACAAAATATGAGTCCTTACCCACCATCAGCCAAGAGTCAGTAGTTTTCAAAAAGATTAATAAAATGCATGATCCTTTTGTTTATTTATATTTCTCATTGAGAGTACAGATGGGTAGCTCTTGGATTTTGGAATCAACTATATTTTCTATTAAAATATGCTGTTCCAGTTGACAGGATTGTCGACCGTCTGGTTTTGAATGTTACAGTTGGCCCTTGATTTGCTTTAGTCAGTGAAGGAGAGATGGGTGCTTGGTCCAGTTGGATTAGTCTGTGGCTTCCTTCTCTGCATCATGAATGTTGGCAGGATTGGGCTTTGGCATGACTTCCTGGGGCAGTATGAGTGTTGGGCACAGGGGAGCTGTTGTATTAAACAAAGCTGTGCCTCAGAGCAGGGTGCCTTCTGCCTGGCTTAGAGCCCTACCAACAATCTTTCTGCCATCTGGCTCCAGTGAGGGCTGAAAACCTCAGTTCACAGCCCAAGTGAAATCTGCATGGGCCAATGACAGAGACACTTGAAAGAAAGAAAGTCAGAAACGACAGACTTGCTTCTTCACTAGTAATTGGAGAATACTAATTAGGAAAATAATGAAATAGTGCAAAAGTTATCTTGATTGACAAGATTAGGATTATTTGTTGATTAATCAACAGTCACTTGATACGTAAAATGTAGGTGCTAGTGTGTGTATGTATATATATATAAATATAGGCATACATATTTATGCATGTAAATACCTATTATACACATCCATTATTTGAACTTTAAAAGTGTACACATATATTGGTTTGCCAATCTTTTAAATTAATATGTAACATTTGTACGTATTTATGGGGCACCTGGGACATTTTGCTACATGCATGGAATGTGCAATGGTCAAGTCTGGGTATTTAGAGCATCCACCACCTTGAATATTTATCATTTCTATGTGTTAGGAACATCTCAAGTCGTCTCTTCCAGCTCATTAGAAACATACAATAGATTGTTGCTAACTTTTCACATGGAGCCAAGGCCTTTTCTGTCATGGTGGGATGGCTGATTGTAATCCTAATTGTCTTCCTTCCAGAAAGCACAACTCTAATGCATTATCCATTTCTTTCAAATGGAGTGAGAATTTAAAGATACTTGCAGAGTGTCCTGAAGGCAAAACCCTTATGGAGTTTTACGTAATTTTGTAACTATTTTTAATAGGAACTCACCCTTCTGAGCTATTTCAAAATAATCACTTCGGTTTTTTAATGAATAGGAAACAATAAATTTCTTTGTGCACTCTTACTCGAGTTTCAGTAATAGTTCTTTAGATAATTACGATGGCAACTGTCCTAAATGGGCTTGGTACTGACTCATGGTACCCAAACAGCACCTGGGAGGGGAGAGGGGAGCACGTATCCTGGGGTGCTTGGGACCCAGAAGCAGCATTATTCAGCATGCTTTGCAGAGGAAGTGGGAGCTTGGCTAACTGGGGGAGCTGGCCTCAGAGAAAGTCAGCTAAAAGAGTTTCTACTGTTCTCAAGAGGAGGAAACTGATGTCTACCAACTATTTTTGTGGTAGGGACCCACAGCCTAGAAAAGTAGTGAGCTAAGGAGGGTCAGTATGAATCTATATGCTGGGATTTGTGGCTCTTCCGTGACTCATACCCATTAAGGGCCTCTCTTAGGGATACGTAAAAATGACTCTAGTTATAATTAACTTACTCCAAACAGTAGGCTCTGAATGTGCACAAGCTGCTGCAACTTCTGTGACACACATGAGCCTGGCCAGGTGGGAGAGGCTAGGATATGGAATGGGTCAGGGCCAGCATTCTTGGACCTTGCTCATCCCTGCCAGTCTTACTCGGAGAGTAAGCTCCAGTTTCCCTTTGCCTTTCTATATATATTGCTACACATACACACACACAAATTGAGACTTGACAGCCACATTAAAAAAAGATATTAGTTGAGGAACAGAGCTGGAGTCCAACATCTGGTTTTGGTAAAGTCTGGCCTTTGTGCCCAATTTTACAGCTAAGCTGACTGAAGTACCACGAACTCATGAGTTGTGTAGGGTCAGCGTGTCAGGCAATAGCTCAGCTGCCATATGATCCCCCAACCCTCGTAACTTTCAGCCCCATATTTTAACTATTAAGCCACATGGCCTGCTATAGAATATGCCACAAAACACCCCAGATGTGTGTTGAGAGAGATCCTTCCATGACCCAGGTAACATCACGTCCCTGTAGGACTTTCTGATGATTGGATGTTCCTGGTGACCTCTCCTGCAGTGTAAGCGCATTAACCCAAATGTTATGAGGATTTCCCCACAGGACAGTCTTATAAGATTTTCTTATGAGGTCACTTCCTAGGAAGGCAGGGATTTAAAAGCTGCCACAACAGGCAATGAAGCAAGCAACATGTGGCTTTGCTTTCAGTCTGTCATTTTAAGCAATGAAGAATTTATACGGATAAGTTTTCTGATAATGGAAAAAGTTTCTGATATAGCTGATGGAGTGTTTTTTTTTGTTTGTTTATAGGCTTTGGATTCACCTTGAAAACATCCCCTCTGAACATCAGAAGTCCACTTGGTCCCCGAACAGTGTATTAACTTCTAACATTTCTGACTTCCAGTCATGGAGATTTCAAAACCAATTGCATATAGCAATGAAGCTTTTCACTTTTAATGGAACATTTAGGAGAAGGGCGGCTTTTCCTATTTTCTGTGTTATCTTCAGCCTGTTAACTGTTGTCAGCCCTGGAGAGAAACCATCCCTTCTCCTTAAAAACATGAACCACATACTAAGTTGCTTCTTGCCTCTTAAAGATTCAGGTCACTCAGGTACATCAGACTGAGACAGGACGCTCAGGTACATCATACTGAGACAGGACACTCAGGTACATGATACTGAGACAAACACTCAGGTACATCATACTGAGACAGGACGCTCAGGTACATCACACCGAGACAGGACATGTTGATTGTTGGTGTGTATTTCTCCCAAGCCACCACTCAAACCAGTGTTTGATTTCCATGGAGGTTGGCTGATGGCTTTTAGCTTGAGCCCCAACAGTGTGACTTCATACAAGGCAATTTCTTCAGAAATATCATGGAACTTCAGGGACATTATATTATTAAATTAAAAAAACCTAATATGTTAATTTTTTCATTAAAGTTTATGAGTTTACTGAGTTTTTCTTTTCCAAAATAGTTAATGAGCTTTTGAGTCATGTTTTTTATGAAAGGATTGACTTTCTCATGGCGTCCAACTCTGTAGATAATCATCCGAAACAGATTTGACTGTATTTGTTTAACAAAAGTCTGCCTAAACCAAACTCTGCCCTGAATTTTTTGTTTTCCACACGTATGTGCTAAATCTGTGTAATTTGGTAGTTTGTCTCTCCAGAACCACTGTTGGTCTTGTGTCACTAATCAGCAGAGGCAGCAGTCTGACGGGTCCACAGAGACAAGGGAGGCAGCGGGAGGAATGCAGTGGCCAGGCAGGTGAGGGACCTCAGGACCAGCAGCTCAGCCGCATCCTTGCATGCAGTGGCCAGGCAGGTGAGGGACCTCAGGACCAGCAGCTCAGCCGCATCCTTGCATGCAGTGGCCAGGCAGGTGAGGGACCTCAGGACCAGCAGCTCAGCCGCATCCTTGCATGCAGTGGCCAGGCAGGTGAGGGACCTCAGGACCAGCAGCTCAGCCGCATCCTTGCATGCAGTGGCCAGGCAGGTGAGGGACCTCAGGACCAGCAGCTCAGCCGCATCCTTGCATGCAGTGGCCAGGCAGGTGAGGGACCTCAGGACCAGCAGCTCAGCCGCATCCTTGCATGCAGTGGCCAGGCAGGTGAGGGACCTCAGGACCAGCAGCTCAGCCGCATCCTTGCATGCAGTGGCCAGGCAGTTGAGGCACCTCAGGACCAGCAGCTCAGCTGCATCCTTCTCTTTTCCCAAGGTCGCACTGAGCAAGTCAGGATGGTGAAGAAAGTCTCCATCTCCAAACTGAACACAGGATTTGTTGAGGTGGCCTCCTGGAGCCTAAGTGTGTTTGGGGTGATATCTACAAACTTCCATCACTGCTTCACTGGTGGCCTTTGGAGAATCACCATTTTTTTTCGGTCTTGTTCTGTGGGATATATTCTGAAAAAATAGGACAAATGCTAAAATAGCGATGTCAAATTTAAGTTTTTCATAGAAATAGCATAGTAGGGAACTATACTCATTTTTATAAGGAATACATTTAATCGTTACTCTTTCCCTTCCTTTTTTCTTTCCTTAAGAAATATTGAACGTTGATTATGTACAAAGAATAGAATATGATGGGAAACAATACAAGTACCTTATTACATATCGCATAGTATAAATCTTTAAATTGTGACTATAAATTAAACAGAGCCCCTTGATGTCATGGCTCATGCCTGTAATCCCAGCACTTTGGGAGGCCAAGGCAGGTGGATCACTTGAGCCCAGGAATTCAGGACTAGCCTGGGCAACATGGCAAAACCCTGTCTCTACAAAATGTACAAAAATTAGCCAGGCATGATGGCTCACGGCTTCAGTCCCAGCTACGTGGGAGGCTGAGGAAGGAGGATCACTTGAGCCCTGGAGATTGAGGCTGCAGTGAGCCATGACTGTGCCACTGCACTCCAGCCTGGGCAACAGAGTGAGACCTGTCTCAATCAATCAATCAATCAATCAATCAATAAAACAGAGCAACTCAGCAATAATTATATATTTAATTATTCTAAGTATTATATTATGTTTAATAATATAATTATATTTAAATATTATATATTATGTAACACATCAAAGTGTATCATATGAAGTTTTTTGTCTCCATCAGTCTCTCTTATTTTGATAGTAATGATAAAACACTGGCCCAACTTAATCCTCAGAATGTGTTTATTGAATTAAATGGTAGCCATGGAATTCAGAAGAACTTATTTGAAGAGCTTTAAAAGAGAAATAACACTTATGATTTTCCCTATTACAAAAGTATTTGTTCATAGTAGAAAATTGGAAAATTCTGGGAAACATAAGGAATAAAAGAACAATCATGCCTAATTCTATCATTCAGAGATAGCAATTACTACTAATATTTTGGCATATTTTCTCTAGCCTGTGTGTGTGTGTGTGTGTGTGTGTGTGTGTGTGTATCTGTGTGTATGTGTGTGTGTACACAAAGAAAAAGCCAGAGGAAATGCCATTTTTTTATACAAATATAAAACAAAAATGAGATCTCACAATATACATTGCTTTTAGACATATTCTTAAAATTTATATCATGAGCATTTCTTTTTGTTAATAAAGTTTTATAAAACATGATTTTTAATGGGCTGCAGATTATTTCATTATATAAATGTGCATAATTTAACTAATCCCTTATTTTTGGTCATTAAGGTTATTTTAAAATTTTAGGCTGGGTGCAGTGGCTCCTGCCTGTAATCCCAGAATTTTAGGAGGCCGAGGTGGGTGGATCACCTGAGGTCAGGAGTTTGAGACCAGCCTGACCAACATGGTGAAACCCCATCTCTACTAAAAATTCAAAAATTAGCCAGGTGTGGTGGTGGGTGCCTGTAATCCCAGCTACTTGGGAGGCTGAGGCGGGAGAATAGCTTGAACCCAGGAGGCAGAGGCAGAGGTTGCAGTGAATCAAGATCGTGCCATTGCACTCCAGTCTGGGCAACAAGAGTGAAACTCCATCTCAAAACAAAACAAAACATTTTAACCAGTATATATAACTCCCAATTGAGTATCTTTATATATAAACTTTGTGTATGTTTTGACCATTTTTAGAATAAGTTCCTAGAAGAATTACCAGAGGTACCGAGCCAAAAAGGAATGAGCATTTTTCAAGCCTCCTAATTTCCCTCCAATATTAAGAGTGCATGAGAATAATTGCTACATCTTTTTAAACTTTGGATATCAAACTTTAGAATTATTGTTTTTGGGGAAGATTTAGGCAGATACTGTCTTTAGATTACAGAAATGTCAACAGAAGTGGTCTAAGAGAAGTTATACAGTATAAAATTTGACATCTGAATCTTGGAAAAATTTTCAGTTAAATTTATATGTGTTATTTACTTCATTAGTTGCAGTGTCCAGTTACACAAACTGATCAAACACGCAACGTCACTGAGTCACAGAGACTGACTCGAAACCCTCAAAGGTGGCCCAACCTCCTACCAAAAGATTAAGCCCCTCCTGTAACATTTCTTACCAAGGGTTATTTAGTTTCTGTTTAAACACTCCCAAGCCCTAGGCCTTCCTCACTTCACCAGGTGCTCCTTGAAGTTAGTTTTCACTTATGCAGAATAGGCTTGTGTAGGCTTACCCACCTCTGAGTCCTTGAAAGTGATCCAGACCGACTTCACAGCAAATGTACCATGTTGTGGGTTTACATTTCCCATAAGTTGTGTACGGTACATATTATCTTCATTCCATATTCTCAAATTTGCAATCAACTACGGACAATCCTAAAAGAACCTAGGAAATATTGGCACTGGACATAGGTCAGTTTCAAGCAATCTAATTATGGTGTTACACATGACTATGTTGGCTTCTAACAGTGGCTTTACCTCTGACCATGATGAATTTGCTACTGAAGAGAATGTCTTCTTGGATCGTATGCATTCCCTGGTGTATGATCCTGCAGCATGGATACTGAAATCATGCCACGTTCCCAGGTATCTAGAATTATTGGAAGGTACAGTGCTTTTGTAGGGTCAACAAACGTGATGGCTTCTTGTTTATGAGTTAGTGCTGCCATAATAATAGTACTCTGTGGTCATAAATTATTGCACAAATCTTATCTTCTTTGAATTTCTAAATAATCTTGTGAAGTAAATATAGTGATTATGTTGTTCTCGATATTATTAGGTATAAATACATATTCTCAGTTTTAAGGATGAAGAGGCCAAATTTCTGAAAAAGTCACACATCTAATTAATTTTAACTGATGGACAGTGCTTGAAAATCAAGAACAGATCTTCGAATTCCACATTCTGTGCTGTTTTTACCACTTAATTTAATATAATACCTTACCTCGCCCATCGTTTCTGACTTAATGCTTACTGATTTCAAATGATACTATGAAGTAAACACCTAAGAGTCCTGTATGAGTTTTATGATTTCTCTAATCCAAGGACTAGGTTAAAACAATCCTGTGGACTTTGACCAGATACAGTCCTTCAAAAAAAAAAAAAAAAAAAAGAAGTCTGCATTTTTGTGTTGTGTCCACACAGCCAAAATATTTCTTTTAATATTTGTGGAAATTTCATCAGCAGGAGAAAATAAGGGCCAAAACCTTTCTTATCGGATTCGATTGCTTGTCCCCCCTTATTAAAGAGGACACCAAAACCAGAGAAGCCAGTGACTGACAAATGGGAAGTGTATGCTGAAACGGGGCACCTTTGCTGTTGATGAAAAAAGAATAGGCCAAGTTGGAGAGGCCAAATATGACCCCATTTGTATCTAATTTGTATGTTTTTGATATCCATCTGCTGCACAATTACAAACGTTGGCATCTAGACTGTGGAAGAAAGAGACAATATAGAATGCCTGAGCCCAGCAAGACCTTTTAGCTCTTTGAGTGAGAGCTCCAGAGTGAAGATAAAGGTCATCTTGGAAGTGAAGTATCAAGACTTTCATTAGTCCATGAATCAGAATTTTATCTCAGCCTCACTCTTCATGCTGACACCCTAGGGTGTAGTAAAACAGAGTTCTAATCAAAACAGCATAATGAAATATAATCTACAAAGGAAAAGGTTTATAGGTTAGCTTTCAAAACAGGTGTTTTGGCATTTTTAAGAATAAAACTCTCTGACAAGTTTCTTTTGTAGTTGAATATGATCTGTAAGATGTATTTTTTTCACAGAACTTCAGCAGTCCCACAGTAAGACACTTAAAGTTCTCATAAACAGAATGAAAATGGAGCTCAGAACATTTTCCATGTTAGAAGCCGTGTAGGGCAGAGGGGATAGTAACACTCTTTTCTGTGTGGTTGAACTAATTCTACTCAATCAATTGCTTTATTCAAATAGTCAGTATGAATAAACAAATATTTATTTAGCAGCTATTTAGTTGGCCCTCAGCAAATATTTATTGAGGGCCGACTCTATGCCAACATTATTAGATCTAATAATTAGATCTAATAACAACATTATTAGAAAACCCTACCTAGTCTTCCACTGGCACACACAGAAGAGAATAATTAGGAAGTGAAAGAGAAGTCGTAAACTGAAGAATGAAGCCATCTGATGATGACATCATGCTATTTGCACAGTGCCATGTTTTCCCAGGCTCATTGCCTTGAGAAAATGCTTCAGCTACCCTTTCCTTATGGAGATTTAAGTCCTAATTCAAGACATTAAGGAATTAGGAATTCAAATCCCATATTTCTCCATCCTTGTTCATGTTATCGTTAGCTTTTGAAAAGGAAGAATGATTGGCCATTTTAGTCATTGTGTCAGTGAAAACTCTATGGAATTGGTGTTTTTTTAAAAAATATATGACACCCTCATTTTTAAGATATACAGCTTTTATGCATTAAAAATGCATGAAATGTAGACAAATTTTAATGCTGACCATAGCATTTGTTTACTTATGCCAATTTATGCTATGTTCTGAAGTTTGAGTCTAAACCTTTGTCATGTCCTACGTCTAAGGTTTTTCCTGAATCATTTTCTAGTATCTGCCATGATGGCAATATTGCAATGACTTCTGCATCTTACAACCCATGTTCCTGCTCAGGCCTCCTCAGCACTAGGACAGTGACTGGCTTCTATGCTTTCCATGCACATCGAAAAAGCTGTGTCTGCACTTGTTGTTTCATGCCTTCCTTGTTTGACTCATGGATCTCTGAGAGGTCAACTGCTTGATGCTGTTGATAGATAGTATTTTTGAGCCTGTCTTATGGTTCTTCATGGGTTTACCTCCCCTTGCTCTAAAAATTTTGTCACCTATTCCAACATATTTAGCTATGCTCATACATGTACGGGCAATCATATTTCTTTGAACATAGATTTTAAAATTACTCTTTATTTCAGAAATGTTAAAATATGAAGACATAAAATCTCAGAATCAAGGAAAAGAGGGCAACTGAAACCCAAGTAGTCATGTTGCTTCCCAGGAAGATGATGGGCTGGACAAAGGAGCTGGGAGGTCAGGTTTGTACCTGCATGGCGTAGGGTCATCACTTAGCTCCATGTGCCTCTTCTGAGGGCACAGGTGTATGTGTTTGTGGTTGACTGCTTTGATATATTCCATTTCGGTTTTAAAACACCCTGAGGCAACAGGGACCAAACTACTTTTATCCATTCACAAACATCCGAAAACCAAATGTGGATCTAGGAAAAGAGATTGTTAAAGAAATTAATTTTTGCTATTACTACTAGTATTTTTTTAAAAAAAGCACTGAAACCAAACCAAAACGCAATTATTTTTCTTAGCATAAAAATTCTATACTCATACTCAGAAGTTTAAAAAAATACAATATTTATGAAGTAAACATATATTTGATTTTTTACAATTAAAAACATGCACCAAATATGCCAAGAGAAAAAGAAAGAAAATCAAAAGGTCTTATTGCTAATACTTAGTAAAAGTAGTTTACACAGAGAATCAGTATAGTTGGTTCTCCAGAAAAGACTAATTATCAGTTACTAGAAATAATTTATACATTAACACAATTTTTATAGTTTTTATTCTAAAAGTTATAAGCACAATGAAAATAATGATTTTTCGTCATCCTTTTGAGAACAAATTACTGATCTAATACGCCATCGTTCTATTCTGTGCTGTGTTTCCTATAAGCAAGAATATTCCTACATGTACTCAATATAATCATCAACATTAGATAATTAATATTGATATGTTTCTACTATTTAATTTGCAGAGTCAATTCAAATTTGCTAATTGTCCTAACAATATTATTCTTCATAGCAAACGTATCAAGTTCAGAATCCCCTGTTGCACTTAAATGTTGGTGTGGTCTGGCTCTGTGTCCCCACCCGAATCTCATCTCAAATTGTAATCCCCACATGTCAAGGGAGTACCGCAGCCTTCTCATTTCCTTCACTCTGGAAAAGTGCCTCATTTTCTCCTTGACCTTCATTATCTTGACAACTTTGAAAAGGACAGGCCAATGCCTGTGGAATGCCCATTAATTTGGATTTGTTTGATGTTTCCTCATGATTATATACAAGATACGCATCGCTGGTAGAAATGCCACTAAAAACATGGTGGAAACACCGTGAAAAAGAGACACTTTGCTTTCTTCTCTCACTGCATCATAAGAGGAGGTGCCCAACTTTGATATGTCCCATTACTGATAATGTGTAGTTGGATCACTTGATTAAAATAATATCTACCAGTGTACTCCACAGGCAGATGGAGTATTTAGTGCTGCCATAATAATAGTACTTTGTGTTCATAAACTATTGCACAAACATTGTCTAGTATGTAATATACTAAAGTTAAAGTTATTCATTAAAGTTATTTATTTTCCTTTGCAATTAGCACATACTTGGTGGGAAGTATGTTGAGACTATAAAAACATGAGGTTCCTCATCAAACTCCAATTGATTCATATATTTATTTACATCATGACGATTTGTGGTTTTCTATTTTATTCAATAAATTTTATCCTGTTACCATTACTTATTTAATGGTGATTTTGTTTTCTGGCTTTTGCTATGGGAGCCTCTTTCAGGTGGCTTGGTATCTTTTGACATAGTTCTGTGTGGGTGCCCTTCTTACCCTGCTTGGGCTCTGACACCGGCATCTTTCCTGCCTGGCCCCCTCTTGGTTGCCCTCCTTTCCCACCCAGGCTCTGCCACTGTGCTGGGGGTCACCTCATTCTGTCCCCATCTGCTCATAGGTGGCATAGTTGTCTTTCCTGCCCAAACCCACTCAATGGCCTTTGGAATGAATTGTTCAGGAAGGGAAGAGAAAGAAGAATTTTTGTTTCCATTGTTTTCTTTCAATGGCTTTTCCAGTCCTTCATTAATTTAGTCACAAATGTTGTTTTGAGCATGGATATTTTACTGAGGTCTATCTTGGTCTAGTAGATATAAAGGTAAGATACAGATGCCCATTTGGGAGCAGAAAACTTAGCAGGGAAGAGGAAACATGAGCACAGCCATCTAAAATTAGGTGTTGCTAATGTTCTACTGAAGGGATGAAGAAGGAATGTACCAGGGCTGTTCTCCACAGGCAGGAAGATGGCCTCAGAGGTCAGTTTCAAACAGGGCACCTTCTAGGACAAGGAAACAGTATTGGTCAAGCTGTTCTAGCCCGTAGCCCCCAGGCCACATGGGGCCTAGGATGGCTTTGAATGCAGTCCAATACAAATTGGTAAAGTTTCTTAAAACATTATGAGATTTCTTTGTGTGTGATTTCTTTTTCTTTTAGCTTATCTGCTATCACTAGTGTTGGTATATTTTATGTGTGGCCCAAGATAATTATTTTTCTTCCAATGTGGCCTAAGAAGGCTAAAAGGCTGGGCATCCCATGGATAGGTAAAGGCTGAGCATCCCATGGATAGGTAAAGACTGGGCATCCCATGGGTAGGTAAAGGCTGGGCATCCCATGGGTAGGTAAAGGCATGGAGGCCTGAAAGTGCAGGTAATCTTTGGGGAATAGCAAGTGATCACTGGGATCAAGAAGAGAATGTATAAATATGTGTTAAGATAAAAGCAGTAAAAAGAAAGGTTAGGGCCAGATTAGAAGGACTGTGAATATCATGTTAAAGTTTAAACTGTGCATATTAGAGTATGTGTTTTATAAAGAAAACTTTGGCAACAGTGTGGAGAAGAAATTGGAATTACATGGGAGACCATTTAAGGAGAATATTATCCACCTTTCTTTCCAACTAAGCAAAAGGCCCAGGATTCTGGTCTACACCAAGGGGTCCAGAGATAGTGAGGGTGGGGGAATTCTATGCCTCTAGGTCTGAGGCAGAGTGGTAGCTGGGTAAAAAAGTTCTAATGTACATCTGTTGCATTTCTGAGGTGTAAATACTCCCTCCATGGCCAGTTTTAAGCTATCAGCATCTCATTACTGAGCAGAGTTTAGAAGGCATTAGTATAGTCAACTTCCCTAGCCAGTGCAAGCCAGCTCTAGCTTACTCCTGACAGGTGAGGACGTGTCCTGTAACGGGAAGGGAAATGAGTGTAGGATCACAGAGAATGACTTTATGCAAAGCGGTGGACTTTATGGAACAGGTCAAAGACCTGCTCTGCACCAGAACTAGCTGAGGCTGTCTAAGGCTGAGTCAAGCACCTGGTGGCCTAGGGGGCCTGATCCAAGGGAGAGCAGGACAGGGCCCTGGTTCTGGTTGCCTGGGGAAGAGATAGCATGAATAACAAGCTGTGCTTTTGAGGGAAGACCCCTGAGAGCAGGCTGAGGAAACCCAGGGCCTATGAGGTATTTAGCAAGAGTTCCCTTCCTGGTCAAGGACAGGGCTGTGGCAGGAGGCGGCTTCTGGGAGGGTTCAGAGCCACTGGCAAGCTATGTTCTCAGAGCCTTCCACTGGTGTGCATGATCCCCTTACCTCAGAGTGACTTTCCTAAACACTTCCGCTTTCTCCTCTGTCATACACTTTCTCCAAGACAAGAAAGTGCTATCAGTTTGAATCAGGGCTAAGAAGAGAATAATAATAGCAAATCATAATGAGTCGCACTGAGGTCTGTGATGTCACTTTTCTAAATGCTTTCTATGTCTTAAGTCTTTAATGCTCACTGATATGATTTTCATTTTATAGATGAGGAAATTCAAGCAGGAAGAGATTAAGTAACATTCAGGTGAAATAGCTGGAGAGGGTATAGTGGTAGAACATGCCATAGCGGGCTGACTCCATAGCCCATGCCCCACTCTGCTACACTGGGGAGAAGAAAAAATCCAGGGAGGACAAAGTATTAGTATCTCAAGATACCATGCACTGCATAAATGAGGTAGGTGAGTCCATGACCTGGCATCTAACAGATGTGCAAGTAATCTGTTTTGAATAGATAAATGGAAAGCCTCTATTACATCAGTTAATCTTTATACGGTGAGAGTTTTATAGCCTTCACTATCTTGCGTTTTGATTTTGGGTATTTCAGAATTAAGATGATCTTTGAGCAGCGCGTTATAGTTTCCCAAACAAGAATGTGAGAAACACCGGAAGAATACGCCCAGCCTCAGCCCGAAACACCGCGGGAATACGCCCGGCCTCAGCCTGGGACACCGGAAGAATAAGCCCGGCCTCAGCCTGGAACACCGGAAGAACACGCCCGGCCTCAGCCCGGAACACCGGAAGAACACGCCCGGCCTCAGCCCGGGACACCGCGGGAACACGCCCGGCCTCAGCCCGGGACACCGCGGGAACACGCCCGGCCTCAGCCCGGAACACCGGAAGAACACGCCCGGCCTCAGCCCGGGACACCGCGGGAACACGCCCGGCCTCAGCCCGGGACACCGCGGGAACACGCCCGGCCTCAGCCCGGAACACCTGAAGAACACGCCCGGCCTCAGCCCGGGACACCGCGGGAACACGCCCGGCCTCAGCCCGGGACACCGCGGGAACACGCCCGGCCTCAGCCCGGGACACCGCGGGAACACGCCCGGCCTCAGCTCGGAACACCGGAAGAACACCGGAAGAACACGCCCGGCCTCAGCCCGGGACACCGCGGGAACACGCCCAGCCTCAGCCTGGAACACTGCGGGAATACGCCCAGCCTCAGTTTTGAAATATTGCATCAGTTCTTCTGCTCCTACATCATGGAGCTCTTCCTCATCAATAGATTTAATTAATTTAAATATTTATTTACAATAGCCTCTTTTATCTTGACCTGTTCTGCACAAGGCAGTCCTGGATACTGTGCTGAGGGTTTCACTCCGCGATAGCCGGTGCCCTACCCGAGTCTCTGCACAGCGGCTACATCCCCGTCTCAAACCAGTGCTCTGGCGTCTGTGTTTACCCTCCCTGAGCTTACTGTATAAAAAAGACTGCTTTTGAGAGACATCAAGAATGCACGGTTCCACCTTTATGATGAGAGACAGATCCCATTAAAAGAAAAGTTCTGCATTCTGAAAAACTGAGTAGGTTGGCACTTAAAAGGGAATTCCAGCTGGTTAATTTAGGGTGCTGAAAAAAAGATCCGGCACAGGAATGCTTTCTGGCTGTGGGCCCACTGCATTTTCAACTGATTGCGAACTGGAGACGTTTTCATCACACGAGGGACTCCGCTTTTCAGTATCATGTTGTTCTGAGACAGGAAAACAAGTGAGCACACACGGTTTGGCCCTGGTATCCTAGCTATATTCACGAACATGATCAATGCCAGTTGCATGGAAACCAAAGATAGCCTTATGCTTGCCGATATATTAAAAGTAAAAAAAAAATCTGAATGAAAATTTTAAAAATATTTTCCGTCTTGAAGTTTTTTTTTATTCTTGCCTCCTAATTTTCTTTTCTGTTGTGTCTAAGAAAATATTCTGAAGATATGAAAAGAGCTTTAGGTAAAAGAACAGTTTTGAAAATTGTTAATTTCCTGTGGTATTTTTTTTCTTCAGTGGCTTAATGTGAAAAAAATGTATAGGAATCCTCTGTGGGTCCAGGCAGCTCTCCAGGGCAGCTGTCCTCCATGCAATGATCCAGCAATTCATACAGCTTTAGCCTGTTGCTCTACCAACTCCACACCAGACCTGGTTCTTTGACAAAGAGAATGAGAAGCTCAGATGCTGTGGAGAGACTTTTCGCGGCTTTGGCCTGAAAGTGACACATATTGCTTCTGCTCCCGTTTCCTGGGCCAGAAGTTGTTATATGGCTCTGCCTAACTGCAAGCGTCTGGGAAGCATAGTCTCCCATCTGCCCAGAAAGAAGAAGAGAGCTGGATATTGCTGAACACTGGTAATGGCATGTTGTCCAATCATGCTTCCCAGAAACCGGCATAGTCCAAATGGTCTGTGCTCCAAGTGAACAGAAAAAAACCCTAAGTCTGCTGCCACCTATACAAACTAACAAAGCAAAACACCTCCCATTGTGATTTCTCATTTCTATAGAGTGTTGAAGTTTCCCTAAATAAATTGTCCCTTTCATAGAATTTTCTTTTCCATTTTTCCAATTTTCTCTTATTCCATTCATTTCAGCCAAAGGAATGTTGCTCACCTCTCTAGGTAGAGTCTGGATAACTTTTGCAGTAGCAGTAGCCCCAAGAATTGATGCCCTCAGAAACATGTCTGCATTTGAATTACTTCAACTCTGAATATTCTTTGTGCTATTTATTGTCAAGGCATTTAAAACTGTATGATGCAGTTGGCCTCAATACTATTAATGCACTGTCTTGGTTCCTCATCCTGGTGGTAGGACTGTTCCTCTCTTCTCAATACCACTTGGGGGGCTGGCTATCAAGTGACCAAATTTAGGGATGGTTGGGACAGGTATTGATGACCTAGAGATCCAATATTCATTTATTCTGTTTCTAACACTGTTCATTGCTTTGTATAAATCCAAGTTGCTGTCTGGTGTCATATGTCTTCCTCCCAGAGAACTCCCTTTAACATTTCTTACATGTAGGTCTGTTGGCAATGATTTCTCTCCGTTTTTATTTGTCTGAGAAAGTCTTTATTTCTCCTTCATTTTCTCACAGGGAATAAAACACTGAGTTGATATTTTTTTTTCTTTCAGCGCTTTCAAGATGTCACCCCATTGCATTCTGTATTGCGTGATTTCTGATGTGAGATCTACTGTAATTTTTCTGTGCTCCTTGTTATACAATTTGTAAGAGCTATAAAGCGTCTGAACTTTTATTCTACTTTTAAGCTAAAAATTTAGCCTGCTGTAGTTTCATAGAAGCTGGTAGAAGACAGGAGACAACAAACAAATGACAACGAGCAATCAGTGACACACTTTGTAAGATGTTCGGGAACAGGAGAGAGCTGTGGAAAGCTGGCTCCCAACAGAAATGTGTGTTTCATTGGCTGACTTCAGGATTACCTGTTTGTGTTTTGTTTTCAGTTTGAATACAAAATATATAGGCGTTCATGCATGCGCATGCGCTTGTGTGTGTGTGTGTATGTATGTGTGTATGTGTGTTTGTCTCTGTGTGTCTTGTGAGTATGCATGTGTCTCTGTGTGTGTCTGTGTGTGTGTGTATGTATGTGTGTGTGTGTGTGTGTGTGTGTGTGTGTGTGTGTTGGTACTTACTCCTGTATGGTATTGTGAGCTATTTGGCTCAGAGATTTGTTGTCTGTCATTGTTGTCTGTTTGTGACACTCTTGGCTATTATTTCTTTTGTCCTATTCTCCTCCTCTCTCTCTTTAGAGATTCCACGTATACGTGTGTTAGATCATTTGATAGTCTCTCACGGTGCTTGGGTGCATTATTCCGTGTCTGCTGCTGTACAGTCTTTTTTATTTGTGTCTTAGCCTAGGTACTTTCTATGGACCTGTCTTTAAGTTTACTGATTATTTTCTCGGTTAAGTCTTCCAATGGGGCTGTAGAAGATGCTTTCATCTCTATTACTGTCTGTTATTTCTGGGATTTGAACTACATTATTTGTTACAGTTTCCATCTCTATGCTGAAATAATCTGTCTGATCTTAAACATCATCCACCTCTTTATTGAAGGCTTTAACTTATTAATCATAATTATTTTAAGCTCTTTATCAGATAGCTCCAACATCTGTGTCGCACCTGAGTCTAGTTATGCAGATTCCCTTTTATTTTTTTTTTCGAGATGGAGTTTCGCCCTGTCTCCCAGGCTGGAGTGCAATGGTGCTGAGAGGTGACAACGTGCTAGCAGCCCTTGCTCGCTCTGGGCGCCTCCTCGGCCTCAGTGTCCTCTCTGGCCGCGCTCCAGGAGCCCTTCAGCCGGCCGCTGCGCTGTGGGGACCCCTCTCTGGGGCTGGCTGAGGCTGGAGCCGGCTCCCTCTGTTCGCGGGGAGGTGTGGAGGGAGAGGCGCAGGCCGAGCCCGGGCTGCACGCATTGCTGGCGGGCCGGCGCGGGGCGCGGGTTCCAGGTGGGCGCGGCTCTGCAGGCCCCGCACTCCGCGAGGCCGGCCGGCACCTGCTGGGCTTGACCGGGCTTGATACGGGGACGAGCTCCCTCTGGGCTGCCAGAGTGCCCGGGCTGGGTGCCGAAAAGTCCCATGGCCAGTGCCATTGAGAGGTGAAGCCAGCTGGGCTTCCGGGTAGGGTGGGAACTCGGAGAAATTTTCTGTTTAGCTAAAGGATTGTAAACACACCAATCAGCACTCTGTGTCCAGCTAGAGCTTTGTAAATGCACCAATCAACACTCTGTGTCTAGCTAGAGGTTTATAAACACACCAGTCAGCACTCTGTCTAGCTAGAGGTTTGTAAACACACTGATCAGCACTCTGTGTCTAGCTCATCTGGTGGGGACTTGGAGAACTTTTACGTCTAGCTAAAGTTTTGTAAAAGCACCAATCAGCGCTTTGTCAAAATGGGCCAATCAGCTCTCTGTAAAATGGACCAATCAGCTCTCTATAAAATGGACCAATCAGCTCTCTGTAAAATGGACCAATCAGTAGGATGTGGGTGGGGCCACCAGTGGCAACCCGCTCTGGTCCCTTTCCAGGCTGTGGAAGTTTTGTTCTTCCGCTGTTCGCAGTAAATCTTGGTGCTGCTCACTCTTTGGGTCCATGCTGCCTTTTTGAGCTGTAACAGTCACCGCAAAGGTCTGCAGCTTCACTCCTGAAGTCAGCCAGACCATGAACCCACCAGCAGGAAGAAACTCTGGACCCATCTGAACATCTGAAGGAACAAACTCCGGACACACCATCTTCAGGAACTGTAACACTCACCGCGAGGGTCCACCGCCAGGGTCCACGGGTCCGCAGCTTCATTCTTGAAGTCAGCGAGACCAAGAACCCACCAATTCCGGGCACAGTGCAACTTCCGCCTCCTGGGTTCAAGCGATTCTCCTGCCTCAGCCTCCCAAGTTGCTGGGATTACAGGCATGCACCACCACGCCTAGCTAATTTTGTTGTATTTTTAGTAGAGACGGGGTTTCACCATGTTGGCCAGGGTGTTCCCAAACTCCTGACCTCAGGTGATCCACCCGCCTCAGCCTCCCAAAGTGCTGGGATTACAGGCATGAGCCATGGCACCTGGCTGCAGATTTCTTTGTCTCTTGGCAGCGCATTGTTTTTTTTCTGTCTTTTCACATGCCTTGTAATTTTTTGTTGGAAAGTCAGACATCTTGTTCAGGACAGTAGAGACAAAGCTAGATAGTTTTTGTGTGTGGAAGTGGGTGATCTGCGAGGCCTTTAGTGTGGGCATTTGTGTTCATCTAGTGAGGAGTTGGGAAGGGTTTGAGATTTGTAGTTCCTATAATTATCCTCCATGATCCACAGTCTTCAGATTCCTCTAGCAATCCTGTGTATTTGATGTGGGGACAGTTCCCCAAAGTGTTTCTCAAAGTCTGCTCCACTCTCAGCTTTGGGCCTTCCCTCTGTGCTGTGCGGTGGAGAGCGCCGGTCTCTTATAGCTCGCTCCTCAGTGCCCGCGGCACCTTGCTCCCAGCAGTGTTGCACCTTGCTCCCCGCAGTGCTCCGTGGCACCTTGCTGCTCACGCTGGAAGCTTGTTAGTGCAGGGAACCGTGCTGGACACATCCTCTGCTGTTCTGACCCAGCCTCGGTCTCCACCTCCGTCCTTGGTTCACAGAGGCGTGACCTTCATGAGTGTTTCTCCTCCTCAGCTCTAGTTGATCCCGGAGCAATGCATTTTCTAGATCTCAACATCACAGATCGGAAGTCGGAACGGTTAGTTTGTTTTTATCTCTTAATTTATGGTCTTCAATTTGCCCATTTAATGGAAGGAAAATAGTGCGACTATTGTAACTGAACTGTCCCAGATGTAAAAGTCAATCATTTAGGCATCTAGGAAGAACCGCTAAGATACTTTGTGGGAAACAGAAGTCATGTTGGACATTATGCCTACTTCCCAAGAGCTTGTGGTCTAAATGGCAAATAGTTTCTAGTAAACCCATAGTTAAAATCTAAAATGTGTGACCTGCCAAGAACAGTTGAATGATTTCCAGGAAGGGAGTGACGACTGAGGTCAACTGCCAGGAGGAGGTGAGGCTTGGAGTCTGCATTGCTGAATGCAAAGGGCGGGGGCTTTGCTGTCAGACTGGGCAGATGCCAGCTCCCAGCTTTGCCTCTTGCCTGGTGTAGCATGTCAGTTAAATGGCTTCACACCTCTGTGTCCTAGTGGATAAAGTGCCGATGATGTTCGACCTTCAGGCTTGCCAACGGAACTAAAGGAAATAATATATGAAGACCTTCATATAGTTCTCAGCTTATAGAAGGGATATGAGCCATTAGAATTTAATTTTTGTTTTTTCTTCTGAAACCCCAATTATAAAAAATGGTAGCTTTTGCATAGGCAGAGAGAAGACAGGAAAGAACTCTAGAAGAGGAAAAAGTAGAAGTGAAGTGCCTGGATTTAGCAGTGATTATGATAGTTTTGTGGCACATGGAGACCAGCCTAGCTAGAGCAGCGACTGAAAGCGACAGGAATTAGTATAACTCCAGCGGCAAAACACAGGCAACAAATGCACACTTTTGATGGTTTGGTGCCTAAACCCTCACCTGGGCTTTTAGGCCAATATCAGACCTGCCTCATCAGGGCCATACATAGACTTGCTGGTGCCCTTCCTTGCAGAGGTGCACTAGTGCCTTTATTCCAGATAAGACAGAAGGAACAATTTCTTGGGATGGGTCAGGGTATACCTAGTTCACCATGGCAGGATGTGGCTCAGACTTTTGGAGGCTTTATTAACCAGGTCTTTCTTTCCGATGCTTTGATATCTGCGATCTTGCCTGCCGCTCCCAGAGTTAGCCAATTCCTAGAGATAGTAAAGGGTTCACCTTCAAGTGTGTCTTTCAAATGCAAACCAACCAACCCAGAGCCATACCCCCAACCCACTTCTTTAGGAGCTCTCAGACTCAGGGCCACTGTTCTGCTGCCCTGATTGCTCAAGGCCAGGTCCTGGACAACTAGGAACAGCCCCAGGGGCCATCAAGGTTATTCAAACTAGCCAATCCTAAACCTGCTTATCCTGCCTCATGTACCTTCCTGTGGGAACTGTAATGAAGACTCTTGCCTGTGTCTTTCTCTCACTCCCTCTGCCTCCTGAGTGACCCCAGTGCTTTTCCATGTGGGCCTCTGGTGTGCAGAGCCCACTTGTCCTGCGACCTGTGAGTAACAAACCATCTTTTCAGTCGTATTGTCTTCTGACCTGCTGGCCTCACCACATCTGAATAATCATAAAGCCTACATTTTAAAACAGACAAATCCCCTTACAAGAACAGGGCAGATACTCGTTATATGTTCACATCCAGAGTCTGTTAAAACAGAGACAAATCCGGTTACAAGGACGGGGCAGATACTGGTTCTATGTTCACATCCAGAGTCTGTTAAAACAGAGACAAATCCCCTTACAAGGACGGGGCAGATACTGGTTCTATGTTCACATCCAGAGTCTGTTAAAACAGAGACAAATCCCCTTACAAGGACGGGGCAGATACTGGTTACATGTTCATATCGAGAGTCTGGGCTGACAGGAGGAACTCAGTGTCTGGAAGACAAGGAGCAAGAACAGTGAGTTAGGTGGGAGGTGGCTGAGGGGAAGGTGTTTTGCCAGAGTAATGGAGGTGACGTGGAGGAGGATTGAAGCCCAGCAAGGGCTCTGTTGAGAAATACGTCCAGGCCGGGGGCTTGCAGCGCTTCTCAGGGTTTTGGCACCCAGGGTGGTCAGGGGTTGGTACCCAAGCTCTGAGAGACAGGACCTCAGGCTAAAGGAGAGAGACATGTTTCCGAATGAGAGACTCAAGGTTTTGGCACCCAGGGAAGTCAGGGGCTGGTACCCAAGTTCTGAGAGACAGGACCTCAGCCTAGAGGAGAGAGACATGTTTCCAAATGAGAGACTTGGATTCTGGGTAACACAAGTGATGTGAAAGCTTAATAATAAATCTTGGGAATGAAGCATAAGCCCAGATGTGAAACCTACGGTGCCATATCTGTGCTGGACAATAGGAGGCAGTGCTGCCCAACCCAAGGATATTGGCCAAAGCCGCCTTCAGTACTTTCTATCTAAGGTCAGCATTAAGTCTAGGAAAGACCAGACTGGGGATGAGCCTGTGGGGAGGTCAGGTTGCCACAACTGTGCGGGGAAACCAGACCAGCTCTGGCAGAAGGTGTGGTCAGGAGTCTCGTTCTTGCGTCATCCACTCAGGGTTCTAGTACAAGTTCCTTTCTCACAAGTCTTGCTGTTCCTGTTACAGTCAGCCCACTCCCCAGTCCACACAGTTTCTTGGCCCCAGGGGCCCATTTTGCTCTCATCATCCTATGGAAGGTGCCTCTTGAAATTTATAGCCCCTAAAATCCTGCAAATGCGTTGATAACAGATGTCTACTTGGCTACATCTGAGAGGGCTTCTCTGTCATGACCACCAGCCTGCAGAGTGCTGTTCCCAGCTGCTGCTTCAAGGGGGGGTGCTGACTGATGGAATTTCTGCAGGGATCTCTTCATTCTTCCTCGTTTTTCTTCCTGAGGAGAAAATTTTGCTTTATCATTAAGTCTTCTGGGTCTGATTCTGCTCAGCTGAGTCTGACACTTTCCTAAATCTTACTTTCACAGCCTCTCATGAGGTGGTCTGAGTATTACAGAATTTGACTCTCCATTGCAAGGGAACAGGGGCCAAACCCCCTCCAAAATGGCTGCAGAATAGGGGCTAGCTCGGTGTTAGGCACCCTTGAATCTAGGTTCCTTAGCTCTGACTGTCCCTGTTCCCAAATCTGTGGAGAGTAGCCCACAGTGAACTCATCCGCCCTAGATCCAGGGTGATTCTTTTGCATCACTGCTCCTAGGAGAAGAATAGTCACAAAATCTTCAAGGTATACACACACACGTACATGTATATAGACATATGTCGGAAATACATATACGTATCTGTGTACACTCGAAAGATAGAACTTGGCCCCAAAATCATGCAATCATTTTAAACAATTTCTTTCATGGTACCAGAGACACCACACCATATGAAAGTTGCTTTGGGACCTGTTCAAGTTGAATTGTGCTCTCCAATAATTCACATCTTGAAATCTTAACCTCCAGTAGCTCAGAATGTGACTGCATTTGGAGACAGAGAAATAAGGAAAAAATGTAGATGCAGGCGGATACAGAGCAAGGGTGATGTAAACACACAGGGAGAAGACAGACACCAGTGAGCTGAGGAGAGAGGCCTGAAACAGGTCTTTTCTTTACAGCACTTGGAAGGCACCAACCCTGTCGACACCTCGATTTTGGACTTCTGGCCTCAGACCTGTGAGACAGTATATTCGTGTTGTGTAAGCTGCCCAGTTGTAGTACTTTTCCACAGTAGCCCCAGCAAATCAATACAGGGCCTACAGGCATGGATTTCTGTTCCAGTTACTTTGCTTTGCAATAAATGTCCCTAAAACTTCAAGGTGTAGAACAATCATTTTGTTATCTTCATTGATTCCGTAAGTGTAGCATTCAGAAGGGACACAGGGATGATGGCTTATCTCTAATCCATGATATCTGGGTCATTAGCTGGAAAGACCTGATAGTTGGATAGAATGGTCTCACTTACTCCCAGGTCTGGGCTGGAATGATGCAAAGACTAGGTCTGCTGCCAGGAGGGCCTACATGTGGCCTTTCCATGTGGCTTGGTTTCCTCACAGCTTGGTGTCTTTGGAGCAATTGTCTTTCCTGTATGGCGGCTTATGACACCAAGCATGAATGTTCCAGGGTACAAGCAAAAGTCAGATCCTCTTTTATGACCCAGCTTGGGAGTCACCCAGGCCACATCTGCCACATGCATGGGTCTAAGCAGTCACAATCCTTTCCAGAGTCAAGTTTCGCAGGATGGTCGTGGTGGCGGAACAGACCCCACCTCCCGATGGAAAAAATGACAATACATGTTAGGGCAATGTGGGCAGTGTTGCAAAAACTTCTAAAAGTTATTATTTCCTTGAGAGGACAAGCATGTTTAATCCAAACCATGTTACCCCTTCATACAGGTCTTTGCAAGCTTTGGACCACATGGAGATAGAGAAATAAGGAAAGGACAGATTAAATAATGTCTCAAAGCCAAGTGAAGAAAGTTGGGTGTGATTGGATAAGAAAATAAGACTTGGTTTACATTTTCAGAGATAATGTGTGAAGTACAATGAACGGAACATTTTATCTCCTTTTTAAGAAGCCGAAGATCAAATACACCAGTCAAAGTGATCCTCTGAGAGTGTTAATGTGGGAGAGCTTTCAGACCAACATGCTAATAATGAAAGCCTCATGCCCTAATCTAGGTAAGAGTTTGTTTGATCCAGAAGCCACTTGACAGAATCAGAAATACTAAAGCTCAAATGTCGAAAACTATGATTACAACCTGCAGTTTGATATGAATCAGCACCAGACAGATGCTGTCTCTTTTCCCTGATGAGAACAAATACATGCTACACCCAGCAGGAGAAAGGACTCCTGACGCAGCTGTAACTCAGCTCGGCTCATGAAGGAGGCCATGCTAGGTGTTTCAGGAGGTCTTGAGATGCATTAGGCTGAGGATTCTGCTTTCAAGGAGATTATAATTTAGTTAGGAAAATTTTCCTAACAAGCTGATTTTTCATTAATATGTAAAAAAAATCCCAAAATACAGAAATGTTCAGTATCATGGGCAATAAAGGTTAGAGCTAGAGTCAGATCGTTCTGTTTATTCTAAAGCAAGAGCTCTTTCTATTCTCATCAATGTCTCTTTAATGAGAAATCAAATATTACCTTCTATTTTTCTTTAAAAACAAGAACATTTGATGAATGGCTTTCAATTCTAAAGCCAGGAAGTAGGTAGGAGGAGCAAGGTTCTTAGGGTACGTCTTCTCTCTAAAACTGGAGCCGGACTTTGAGTGAGTGCAGTGTGAGCATTTCTGACCTTCCGAAAAAGGATTCCAGATGTTTCAGAGACATTTAATGCTCTCTGAATACCCGTGTGCTCACCCACATGCCACAGCTTGTGTCTAGTCAGACAGGAGCCATTTGTAGGGGCTGAGGGGGAATGTGTGATTTGTGGGAGCTCTGGGGTAAAGCATAGAACAGTGGCTGGAAGTTCTGCACTGTTTTTTTTTTTTTTTTTTTTTGACGGAGTCTCACTGTCGCCCAGGCTGGAGTTCAGCCGCGCGATCTCGGCTCACTGCAAGCTCCGCCTCCCGGGTTCACGGCATTCTCCCGCCTCAGCCTCCCCAGTAGCTGGAAGTACAGGCTTCGCCACCAAGCACAGCTAATTTTTTTGTATTTTCAGTAGAGACGGGGTTTCACCGTGTTAGCCAGGATGGTCTCGATCTCCTGACCTCGTGATCCGCCCGCCTCGGCCTCCCAAAGTGCTGCGATTCCAGGCGTGAGCCCCCGCGCCCGGCGAAGTTCTGCACTTCTGCTGTTCCCCCGCCTTGGCAATGGGGCCGCTTGCTGAGAGGTCAGTGTCCATCACTTGGGATCCTGAATAACCAGGTGGAGCCGAACCCCTACTGACCCGACCGATTGAGGGAGAAATCCATCTTTATTGTCTTAAGCCATGAAAAGCCATGTTTTCTTGTGAGAGCAAATTAACTCCCCATGATATTTGGGGATGTGAGCCACTGTGCCTGGCCCATCCAATCTATTTTTAAATGTGACAAAATTCATACTCTTCAGGTAAGTATGTTGAAATGATTCATCAGTTCTGCTTCTTATAATTTATTTTCCAGACTGTTATCATATTTCTTTTTTTTCTCTGACACCTTTTATTTCTTTAAGTAAAAGAAGACAAATATACTAAAAGTTTAGTATTAATAGTTTTGAATTATAGATGGCGGAAACCTTTGATAACATTAATATTTGAATTTTGAATTTTATTTATTTATTTTTTTTAATTTTATTATTATTATACTTTAAGTTTTAGGGTACATGTGCACAACGTGCAGGTTTGTTACATATGTATACATGTGCCATGTTGGTGTGCTGCACTCACTAACTCGTCGTTTAGCATTAGGTGTATCTCCTAATGCTATCCCTCTCCCCTCCCCCCCACCCCACAACAGTCCCCAGTGTGTGATGTTCCCCTTCCTGTGTCCATGTGTTCTCATTGTTCAATTCCCACCTATGAGTGAGAACATGCAGTGTTTGGTTTTTTGTCCTTGTGATAGTTTGCTGAGAATTATGGTTTCCAGCTTCATCCATGTCCCTACAAAGGACATGAACTCATCATTTTTATGGCTGCATAGTATTCCATGGTGTATATGTGCCACATTTTCTTAATCCAGTCTATCATTGTTGGACATTTGGGTTGGTTCCAAGTCTTTGCTATTGTGAATAGTACCGCAATAAACATACGTGTGCATGTGTCTTTATAGCAGCATGATTTATAATCCTTTGGGTATATACCCAGTAATGGGATGGCTGGGTCAAATGGTATTTCTAGTTCTAGATCCCTGAGGAATCACCACACTGACTTCCACAATGGTTGAACTAGTTTACAGTCCCACCAACAGTGTAAAAGTGTTCCTCTTTCTCCACATCCTCTCCAGCACCTGTTGTTTCCTGACTTTTTAATGATCACCATTCTAACTGGTGTGAGATGGTATCTCATTGTGGTTTTGATTTGCATTTCTCTGATGGCCAGTGATGATGAGCATTTTTTCATGTGTTTTTTGGCTGCATAAATGTCTTCTTTTGAGAAGTGTCTGTTCATATCCTTTGCCCACTTTTTGATGGGGTTGTTTGTTTTTTTCTTGTAAATTTGTTTGAGTTCATTGTAGATTCTGGATATTAGCCCTTTGTCAGATGAGTAGGTTGCAAAAATTTTCTCCCATTCTGTAGGTTGCCTGTTCACTCTGATGGTGGTTTCTTTTGCTGTGCGGAAGCTCTTTAGTTTAATTAGATCCCATTTGTCAATTTTGGCTTTTGTTGCCATTGCTTTTGGTGTTTTAGACATGAAGTCCTTACCCATGCCTATGTCCTGAATGGTATTGCCTAGGTTTTCTTCTAGGGTTTTTATGGTTTTAGGTCTAACATGTAACGCAATCCAACATATAAACAGAACCAAAGACAAAAACCACATGATTATCTCAATAGATGCAGAAAAGGCCTTTGACAAAATTCAACAACCCTTCATGCTAAAAACTCTCAATAAATTAGGTATTGATGGGATGTATCTCAAAATAATAAGAGCTATCTATGACAAACCCACAGCCAATATCATACTGAATGGACAAAAACTGGAAGCATTCCCTTTGAAAACTGGCACAAGACAGGGATGCCCTCTCTCACCACTCCTATTCAACATAGTGTTGGAAGTTCTGGCCAGGGCAATCAGGCAGGAGAAGGAAATAAAGAGCATTCAATTAGGAAAAGAGGAAGCCAAATTGTCCCTGTTTGCAGATGACATGATTGTATATCTAGAAAACCCCATCATCTCAGCCCAAAATCTCCTTAAGCTGATAAGCAACTTCAGCAAAGTCTCAGGATACAAAATCAATGTGCAAAAATCACAAGCATTCTTATACACCGTAACAAACAGAGAGCCAAATCATGCATGAACTCCCATTCACAATTGCTTCAAAGAGAATAAAATACCTAGGAATCCAACTTACAAGGGATGTGAAGGACCTCTTCAAGGAGAACTACAAACCACTGCTCAATGAAATAAAAGAGGATACAAAGAAATGGAAGAACATTCCATGCTCATGGGTAGGAAGAATCAATATCGTGAAAATGGCCATACTGCCCAAGGTAATTTATAGATTCAATGCCATCCCCATCAAGCTACCAACGAGTTTCTTCACAGAATTGGAAAAAAATACTTTAAAGTTCATATGGAACCAAAAAAGAACCCGCATCACCAAGTCAATCCTAAGCCAAAAGAACAAAGCTGGAGGCATCATGCTACCTGACTTCAAACTATACTACAAGGCTACAGTAACCAAAACAGCATGGTACTGGTACCAAAACAGAGATATAGACCAATTGAACAGAACAGAGAACTCAGGAATAATGCCGCATATCTACAACCATCTGATCTTTGATAAACCTGACAAAAACAAGCAATGGGTAAAGGATTCCCTATTTAATAAATGGTGCTGGGAAAACTGGCTAGCCATATGTAGAAAGCTGAAACTGGATCCCTTCCTTACACCTTATACAAAAATTAATTCAAGATGGACTATTTCCATATTTCTACAACACATTGAGGTTTAATAGGCTTAAAAATAAGTGAAGGAGAAAAGCTAGCTTTCTTCCTACTGGAGGCTAGTCCAAAGACCATTTCCCAGGCTTTCCATCTTACCAAGAGAAGATACAGATGTAAATGTATTCCAATTTAGCAAGTTTGCTATGCTGTGAAATGTGAGGCTTGAGAGACCTTCCCTGGGAGCCCATCCAAAGGGCTGAGTGACTGTTTTATTAAAGGGGCCTCCTCTCTAAGGTGGTCTTTCGAATAGATTTTGAGACTAGCAAGGCACTATGAGCCTCTTTGTATAAAAGTCTTGGGTTGACACATCTATATTTTTCTGCTTCTAGGCATTAATGGAGACTTGAAAGTTAATCTTTGTCTAATGCAGATAAATACGCAAATGCATATGCCATTAAGCTATATGTCATGCAGGAAGGTTGCCTGTGTGTTTATGAACTTCTCCAGTAGAATTGACTTCTGGTTTTACAAATTAAGAGACGATATGCCTAGTATATATATGTTAAGTCAGGTAGATAAAAGGAAAGCTGAGATTTGTATTTATATATGATTCTCTGTGGTAGAATATTTCTTCTTAACATTTGTTTGGTTAGTATTTAAAATTCTGGATTTGTGCAGTGCTATATTGACAAGTCAATACTCCAAAAAGAGTCATGCGTTATATTAATATTTGTTCAGACAGCACATGAACGCAAGTGCTACAAAAATATTGTCAGAGATTTTTTAAAAGGCTATTTATCTTCATTCATAATTATATGTATGTGCATGCATGACACCAAAGACAAAATTGTAATAACTTCTGCTTGTGAATGCAAATGCCTGGTACTGCTGTGGGAGCATTGGCAAGTGAATACATCAGTGCTAGCACATCCACAATCATTCTTCAGGCAGGGATTCTGCAAAACTAATCACCCAAGGAAACAAACACACCACAAAGAAGTAATTAGGAAGCCTGTGAAATTAGACCTGGTGGGTGGGGGTCCCTGCTGGGAAGGGCCACAGAAGTGACACATAACAGGTCATCTGTTGTTAAACCTGGGAGACAGACCCAAGCTCCGGCCCAGTCTAATTACATCAAACAAGGTGCTATTTGTATTCATTTCTGAAAGACAAACTAAGTTGAGAGTGAAGTATCTTTGTGATATATTCCAGGAGACGGGATGCTGAGGATGCTGGATGTGGGCAAGGACCAAGCTGTGGTCACACCGCTTTCGAGGTCACAGGCAGGCCTGTTTAACACCATAATGAATTCAGGAAGGAATGAAATGAGGCAAAAGGCCTACGCTATGACTGGATGAGCACTGCCTCAAATGTCCCCCAAAGGTGGGGGTTGCAGAGCACAGGAAGCCAAGGGGTGGGGCATGTCTGTGGTTAAACATCTTCCAATTCCCAGCTCTGCCCAGGTAATTCCCTTTCCTTCAGACCTTCTGGTTTTATTTAGTTGGCTGGTTTTACATTACTGTGCTCAGCTGAAGCTTTTGCTAATCTATTCACATTCCCAACACAAGATAAATCCTGCATATTTTTAAAAATGTGTTTAAGACTATAGGCTTATTTCTACCCAGATTATTAAAAAGTCCCTCTCATGATGCTGGTTTGCAGGAGCTCTCTAATCAGGCGCGCTACCTGCTTTCCATCCTGCCTTTTGGGATTTGAGGTGAGGCTCACCCTACCAACCCCACATAGCTCAGAGGGTGCAGCCGTGTGTGCTCTAGAACATTCTGGTTAGGGGTAGGTTAAAGCAGCATTATCATGTCTTTTGGAGCCCACTGGGCTACATTCTAGTCTTGGTTTCTTCTTGGGTGAGCCCATTAGGTCAAAATTTATTTCTAAAGTAAGAGAACAGAACTGGGTACCTTTTAAGCTGCTTCTGGCTTCTGTAATCATGCGAGGATTACAGAAGTACTTAGAAAAACTTTGCATAGTAATACTTTAAGAAGTACAGGACTGGAAGGGCCCTGAGAATCATCTAGTTTCTTTCCCCAGATGGATTTAAATTCTCAAGTTACATAAAGAACTCATCACATTTGAAGGTAACTGGGGAGAGAAATGAATGAGCATTTGTTGAGCATTGGCCATGGGGCAGGCTACTGGGATTCGTAGAACAACACTGCAGGAGGCCGGTTACTCTTGTGGGTGATGGCAGGGAACTTGGGCTTGGAGTTTCACAGGTTGTGGAGCTGGTGAGTGGCAGTGCCTGGATTTGCACCCAGCCTTGTGGACTTCTAGAGTCAGAGCTCTTCACTCTGGTCTACACAACTGCTTTATTATAATTATTTTTGGAGACGGAGTCTCTCTCAGTCACCCAGGCTGGAGTGCAGTGACTCAATCTCAGCTCACTGCAGCCTCCGCCTCCCGGGTTTTAGTGATTCTCCTGCCTCAGCCTCCCAAGTAGCTGGGATTAGAGGGGCCTGCCACCACACCTGGCTAACTTGTATTTTTAGTAGAGATGGGGTTTCACCATGTTGGCCAGCCTGGTCTTGAACTCCTGACGTCAGGTGATTCACCTGCCTCAGCCTCCCAAAGTGCTGGGATTACAGGTGTGAGCCACTGCACCTGGCTCACGCAACCACTTTAAAAAAAGACTAATTTAAATACTTCTCAGTACCAAGAACCCAAGGGTAAAAAAGAGTCATTTGACTGACGATGAAGTGAGGCAAGTTTGAGACTGAGTGTCCCCTTGTACAGATGTAGCTGCTGAGGCATGGAAGCATTAGGATGTGTCCCCGACCGTGGATATGTCAGTGCAGCATCAGGGCTAAGACTCTGGGTGTTCTCTCCTTGACTTACCTCTTTCCACCTAGCTTAGAAGGGTCTTGTCGAGAGAGTCTGATGTGCAGGTGAGATTATGTCTCCAAGTCTAAGACATGGTGGGCCATGTGTGACTGCCAGTTGCCTCTTCTGCACGTGCGTTCTGAGCGTGATCTCACCTGTAAAATGTCCGTAATCCTGGGTACCCCAAGGTGCAGTTGTGAGGCTGCATGGGCTGACGCGTAGGACAGAGAGGGGCTCATTAAATGTTGTTTTCCTCCCTTCCAAATGAGCTGGATTTGGAGGGAAGCAGACTTCCCGAGAATCAGCGGCTTGTCTGTAAGGTAAAGTTATTACGACTGGAAACTGGACACACTAATTTTTTCGTTTGTGTTTGAACTTGGATGGCCTTCACATGGCTGCATTCTGTGTGTCTAGGCTGCGGTCCCTGACTGGGCATTTGCCAAATACAAAGTGATTTTCAAACTAAGTCAACCCCATTGCAATGTGTACTTCAAGGCAACATTTGAAGAAGGTATTGGTTTCAAAAACAAAACAAATCTACACACAAGAGACATACATACGTGTCCTCACTGGACTGTGTAACGTCGCTGACCTGTGAGATAGGACAGCTCTTTCCTGTTCATACTGGCATCCCCATCTCTTTTGACATACCGCAGTGGTAATTGTTTACTGTTATGAATAAACGTTAATAGGCATTTTTCACATTGACAAAAGCGTTTTCTTCAATATATAACAGCTACTGAAAAAGAACAATTAAAATATTTCAATATCACTCCTTGCTTTGAGTCATCCTTGGTGAGATGTAGTTTATCTAAGCAGTCACAAGAGTCATGCAGGGTCCATGACCCAGATGAGGCCTTGCGCACTCAAGACCTCTTGTATTGAGTAAAGTGTCGCCAGCTGCACGCAGCTATGCCCAGAACTCCTCCCAGGTGCGGTAAAGACGGTGCAGGAATCGCCCTTCGCCTGTGTGTCCAGCAGAGGGCAGTAGCGTCCCAGTTTTCCTTTCTGACACGTTTGCTTTTGCATGCTGCGGTTGCATAGCGTTCTGAGGCTCTTGGGTGGCTGACACATAATTGCAGACATTAAGCGTTTCTTAGGAGAGGCATAAAATGTATTGTGAGGGCAGTGAAATCCTTTGTCAAAACTTCTCTGAAGATCTGACCCCATACCGTGACAGTGCAAGGCTTGAACGTATGCCTGTCACTCACCAGCTTGTAGTCTCTTGCGTCCTGTGAACCTCATTGGCCAAATGTTTTTGTGTTGCTTTATTTTGTTCAAGTAACGACAGCACTCTCTGTGATTGTGTTAGGATACAATTTTACCCAACTGTCAATAAATGAATTTTGTCATTTTCATATCAAGTACTTCTGAGATTCCATATTCCCTTGAGCAGCAGAGTATTGGGACTTGATAAGAAGGAAGGAGGTATATGTCCTCTCTTTCCGCCTCTCCAATCATCCTCCTCTCTCTAGATTTTTCCTGGGAGCTGTCTGGCCGTTTGGCTTAAGTGGAAACCACGGATAATTTTCTTTCTTTTAAGAGAAATTAGTTCTCGAAAGGCAGAAAGAAAAATAGAGAATTTTGGTGAAAGCCTTTGGTGAATTCTCTTTGTGTTCTAGGTCAGCCCTGGATCTGGGTGGATGGAAATGCTGTATGTCACTTATCAAAGAGGTTGCTGCTTTATACGGGCCACAAAAACTCTTTATATGGGCAAACTGTAATAAAATGCTATGGGCATAGTAGTTCAGAACCACTAATGCTTATATCTCTTTGGGAAAAGTCATGAAAAATATTGGGAGATGAAAGCAGGGTGTGGTGGACCCCATTTAGTTTGTGCTCTAAGCCCCCTGCTGTTTGTGGTCCGTGCTGGAGCTGACCAGTGGGCAGTCACATTGCAGACCACATCAAATTTTTTTTTAAGTAAAGGGAGAAAAAAATACAATGGACAAAATATATATCCATAGCTTGGAAATGCTTGGAATAACCTGCTGTGCATGGTGGCCCCAACTTAGTGATGCAGTGGCTCTGGGACATCAGAAAGCCCTTGGAGGTCAAGGTTCAGAATTGTGTTCCTCTTGGAGAGTTCTCAGAACAGAAGCTCCTCAGAGTTGGCCATTTTGTTGTCCTTGTAGAGAAAGTGCCAGCACTTAGATCATAGTGAGTCTTCAGTATACGATTGTTGAGAGCATGAATGAATGAATGAATGAAGCACATAGTCATGTTTTAAAAATTAGGACCGTATCAACTGAAGATTATTTTTATTAGATACATATAATCCATATTTTCCCATTAAAAACTGAAATTTTTATTAAAAAATGTATTTTATTCTATTTATTATTTGTACTACTCTTTAAGAAATTATGTGGGTATGGTGACTCATGTCTGTAATCCCAACATTTTGGGAGGCAGAGGTGGAAGAATCACTTGAGGCAAGATATTCGAGACCAGCCTGGGAAACAGTGAGAAAGCCTCTCTAGAAAAAACTTTACAAATTTTCCAGGCATGGTGGCACATGCCTGGAGTCTCACCTACAGGGGAGGCTGAGGCAGGAGGATGGCTTGAGCACAGGAGGACGAGGCTGCAGTGAGTCATGGTTGCAGGACTGCTCTGTATCTTGGGCAACAGAGTGAGACCCTGTCTCCAGAAAAAGAAGACAGAGAGAAAACTGAACTCAAATCTTTATAAAATGGGTGTATTATACTACAAGTTTAGATACAATATACATGTCTAATCATTTCCTAGCATGCTAGGTATAGCGAGGTAAACAAAGAAACTGGGAGACAGAGTCCTTGCCCTTGAATTGTGCAATGTAATGGGGAGATGATGCCAGCCCACGTGAAAGTCCTAAGAAGGGGTAAGATGGCGTATTACTCAGGCTAGAGTTCTCCTTGGACGCTGAAGTAGAGCTTGCCTATGCCTGTTGGAACACCTGTCATACTCTGGAAATTATTTACCTGGGTATCCTGTCTTGCCTGTTAGAGGAATAAGCTATTGAGAAGCAGGGAGCCTGTCTTACATATGTGAACAGCCTTCACCGGGCCTGGGCAATAGTCGCAAGGCAGTAAATACTGGCTGAGTAAAGGAGCAGAGGCCAAGTGCTGGAGATGAGCCTGGCATTTGCCTGTAGGTGTAGGGTGGAGAGGAGATGTGGCTTGGTAAGAAATCCTGCTGACTGGAGAAGGGAGTTGGTGTGGAGAGTAGCAGAAGTGAGTGTGTGGCAGCTGATGGGTGTTGCCATCAAGGTAATCAGGGAGGAGCCTGGATGAGATGTGGCAGCAACAGGGAGCCGTGTGAGGAGGAGCACGGCACAAAGGCAGTGTTCCAGGTGATGAGCTTGGCTGTGATGCAGTGTGAGTTGCCGGGGGTGACGGAAACTGAACAGAACTGCAAAGCAATAGAATTTGACAATACAAATGCTTCTAAATCAGCTATTTTTTAACCTAAAATGATGGATATACATGAATAATTTATTGGTCCACATGGTTTCATAGAGATGGTTCTTTTTCAATAGAAGAGAAAAAAATTATTCCTAAAAGAGCACAATAAAATCCGCAAAGACGCTTTGAAACAATGAGGAGCTTATTCCTTTTGCATGTTCCAAGCAGATTTTTATTACTTAATGAATCATAATTTCAGTAATAAACAAGGGGGTAATAAATGACAACCATTAACAAGTAATGAATAGACCTATATGGAATATGGGAGAACCTCAGTTTGAAGCAAGAGATGGTTATTCCAACAGGATGATGGTGAATGTTCAGGGGAGCATCCCTTCGATGTACAAATGGTCTCACTAGGTTTGCAGAAGGCACCTTCACCCGGGAAGGTTGTGCACAGCAAGCCTCAGATGGTGTGACTTCACCGAGTCAGCTGGCTTGTGACCATCCACGTGGTGTTGCCCCAAAGAAGCAAAGCACCAGTGACCGTGGGTTACGTCCCGAAATAAGCTTCCAGTGGGGCTGCTCTTGAAGCCAGCAGTTGGGGACTTTATGGAAAGACATGTGTTGGTTGGCAGGGGTTTTTGGTTTAGCCTTTTCACCTCATTTGTAAATGTGAAAAAAATAATTATCATCCAGGTTATATGCGAGGCCCGTTCATTCTTTAAGTTCAATTCAAATAATCCATCCCAGCTCAGTTTTCTCTCTGCTCCCTGGACTCCACTCCGCTGTAGTGTTGAGGATTTTGTTTATTTATAATGACGCTATTTTATTTTCAGCACATCACAAGTTAGTAGCTACTTATATGTCCTTCCCTGTCCACTAGACTCTGATTTTCTTGAAGGAGAGGGACACATTTCATCATCATTATATTCGCATCTTCAGGACAATGGCTCTGGGGAGAGATGAGTTAACTCTTGACTGAAGACAGCTCGGTGTGGTGGCTGGAACCTCAGCTTTAGGCTGTGACGGATCTGCATTTGAGTCCGGTCTAGACAAGCTGTGAGAATTGAAGCACACTACTTAAGCTTTCTGAGCCTTTTCTCCTCTTAATAACGAGGATAAAGATACATACCACCCAGCATTGAAAAAGAATCAGAAGAGACAATGTAGGCCATTGTGAAGACTGGAGCCACTATTATGATCTCCGACTGCACCTGAGCCCTCCAGGCTGCACAGAAATCCTGTTTCCTTGATAGCATCTCTTTCCATTCACAACAGCAGCCTTATATGCTCACTTACCCGTTGGTTGTTTACAATCAGTTGACACCTATGTATTTAAAACTCATCTGTCCAAAGTTGAACTCATCCTCAGCACGTACCATTTCTTGTGTGCCCTGAAAGTTAGTAAATGAAATCACCATCCACCCGGCAGGCCAATCCACACACTTGGAGTTTGTCCTTGACTTCCTCCTCCGCTGTGCCCTCCACACCTCTTTAACCACGAAATTCCATCAGTACAGCACCAACTCCTCACCTTTTCTGCCCCAGCCCGGGCCACCAACATTCTCGCCTTGTTTCTTATGATAATCTGTTCATGGTCATCCTGCCTCCACAACCTCATTCCCCTCTGATCCACTCATAGTTGTAGCACACAAATGTGGTGAGGTCCCTGACCACCATCCCTGGCCGGGTGTATCTGTGTAACTGCGTTTTTATCACGGCACCTGCCACGGTGCATCAGGAGGTGTTGGAATCCTTCCTACTCTGTAAACTCCCTGGGTGGGGGGGCGCGTCATGTTGGCCTTGACCCCACTGTCAAGAAGCTAAGTGGAAGGCAGGCATGACACAAATATTTGGGAAAGAAGAAGAAACGAAGCAGCCAGCACTGCTAGTGGGGCGTAGCATCTTCTTTCCTGCTCCTCCTTATTCTTCCTTCTTTTCTCCCTTCTCTTTTCTGTCCCCTTTTCTCTTTTCTCTCCTAGTTATTACAGTTTTGGGTTGTCATCGCCATCATTGTATCATCCTCATCATCACCGAGGATCACCTATGATGACCTCTATTGTGAAAAGAAAAGAAAATCTCAGGACCCTAAACTCACTATGCTGAAGGGAAAAGTTGAACTTGGAAACTGAGTCATGTAAAAAAAAACCCCGCCTTTCCTTTTGTTCCTAAACAGACAGCTAGAGAAAGAAGGCCACGTGTCTCCCCAGGGGGCCTCCCTCACCTTGACAAAGTAAACTAACAGCTTATCTTCATGGTACTGGACAAGAGGAGACGAGGCACAGTCCCTCCGCCCACCTGAGATGAATGCATATTTGTCTTCTTCCTCTACTCCGTGTTTATTTTATCTCACATAAAGTGCAGATTTACTCAGCACGAGGTGAATACATAATCGATTGTTCCTCTACCTCCTCCTTGTCACGTGTGACATGTAGGTTCACTGACTGCTAATCGAAGCCTCAAAAAATGTGACTATACCTTCCCTCTCTTTTTTTCCCTTCTTTGCCGCCTGCCTACTTTATCCCTTTAAATACTGAAGCCCTCAAAATCCTCTTTGAAAAAAAGTGCTGGCCACAGACCAGTTGTGACTTGTGTCTCTTTTCCCCAGGCACGTCCTCAACCTTGGCAAAGTAAGCCTCTAAATGGATTCACACCCGTCTCAGACATTGTTTTTGTTTTGTTTTGTTTTGTTTTTTGAGTTCACCATCATAGCAGGGGATTGCTAGCAACAGTTAGGACCTGGAGGGGAGACCAGAAGAAGAGGCCGCTGGGCACGGGTGAAAGCAGTTCAGAAGACTTGGGGGAGAGGAAGACACCCAGGACCTCGTCAGCCTCCTGCCTCCCCCTTTTTTTGGGCGGCTTCTTTTGGAGGAGAGTAGCGAGTGTTCTCCTCAGAATGATCTGCCCGGGCATCAGCCTGCCGTTCCTAATGGAAACAGAAACGTTAACTCTTACTCTAGTGGTGGAGCCCCTTGGACTCCATCTGCAGTTCTCTCGAGGCCAGGATTCTGAATGAGCGAGATGAACTTTAATCTTCACTTCTTGTACTTTGGTTCTTATTTTCTGCCTCAGTGTCTTCTTCTCTTTGTTCATGGAGTCCCAGTACTCTCATGTCTGGAAACCTATCACCCTGATTACATAGAGATGAGATGATGAAATTGTCAGCAACTTGCTGAAAGTCACATGCCTGTGTCCTCAGAACAGGCACTGAGCTGTGGGTTCTCTGGATGACAGAATAGTCTTTTCCACATTAACTTAACCGGTGAGGACCCACTGGCTGGAAAACGTTAAGTTTGGAAACAGGCAAAGTGAGATTGTGCGTGTGTGTGTGTGCACGTGCGAGCATGTGTGTGTTTGCAAGTGTGTGTAATTGTGTGTGCGTGTAAGTGTGTGCAAGCAAGTGTGCATGTGAGTGTGTGAGTGTATGCGTGAGCGTGTGTGGGTGTGTGTGTGTGGAGTGTGTGAGAGTGTGAGTGTGTGAGTCTGTGGGAGTGTGTGAGTGCGTGTGAGTGTGTGAGTGTGTGTGAGTGTGTGAGTGTGGGAGTGTGTGAGTGTGTGTGTGTTGGGGATCGGTGGTGAGCAAGTGTCTTTTGTTGTCCATTCCTTTCTCACTGCCTCCTGCCTTACTCTCCTTACTCTCCTTACACATCCTTACTCTCTGCTTCCATTCCCTCTTCTCACTATTCAAGTTCTTCCGTTCTCTCCCTGTATTATGTTCTCCCCATAATTGCCGTCTTCACTCTTCCCCAAATCTCTATCCCCTTAATTTGTCCTTTCTTAGTTCTCCCTCCCCAGATTTATTCTGAAGGTTCAATGGACCCCTAAAAAATATGAAATACTGCATTTTAAGGGACATTAAAGGTATGTAATTTTGATTAATTTACACTGTAGCCAGTTATGTGAGAACTATTTGATGTCCAATGAGCCTTTGAAAAGTCTTAAAGTTTTTTCTGAAATTTTAACATTACATTTGTTGAGGAAAACTAACTCAAACACTTTAAGATCAATTTCTTCTTGGGAACTGTATTTCTTTGCTCACTAAAGGGTCTGCACGCCTATCTTTGCAGTTATAGAAGCTGCAAGAATTGAACACTGAGAATTGAGAGGGGAGAGAAATTCTGTTGTACGTTCCCACATCCTGTTCTTGAGGGGCTGTGGCAGGTTTGGAAGGGCAACAGTGTGAACACAGATTGAATTAAATACACTGGTGTCAGGGTGGGGTCGGGCAAAGGCAGGATCTAGTCAGCATGAGTCTGGATAGGCAGGATTTCTGGACGGAGGTCTATGGGACCAGAGTTTTTGCGGAGCAATGGGTAGAGGTTGAGCCTGGTGGAGCTTGGAGTCAAGCTCTGGGTGTGGAGGTCTGAGGCTCCCTTGTGGGAACAGGAGCTCCTGCTGCCCTGTTACTGTGGGGAGCTCACGTCTTCCTCCACCCCTCTATTTCTGAGATGGGACTTTTGAAAGGGCCAGGCATAGAAAAAGGCACAACTCTAGATCTTGTGGGAGTGTCCAAGTCTTTATTTATGGTGCATTATTCATTGTCTGTGGGGATGACCACACCGCTTGTGAAACTGCGGCTCCTCGGGAGCTGATCCTGCAGTTGCCTCTCTCTTTAGCATTCCACCTTCTGCGGTCTAATGCTTTCTGGGAACAAGGAGAGAGGACAGTGGCAGCAAGCCCTTTTCCTCTTTCCATCTAGGTCCCCCCAGGCAGGAGATTAAGATATGGGCTCAGTGAGATATCAGATCATTGAAGTTAGATGGCACAGGGCCATTGGTAAAAGCCCGAGGCCTGCCTCCTACATCTCTCAGGCTAGATAGTCTGGACTGTAAATTTTTATATGGTTTTCGTTTATATAGTTTAGAGAGTAAGATCAGAAATTACGGAGCCAGTTTTCTCCAACCACTTGTGACTGTGCCCTTGGGCATGCTATTTTACCTCTCTGTTCCTCAGCTTCTTAAACTTTAAAGTGGGCACACAGTAGTGTAAAAGCAAACACACAGTAGTTTCAGCTATTGTATTTATTGCACCAACAGCTGTGGGTGCAGTTCCATGTCTCAGCTGACAGAGGTGAGGAAGTCTTCCCGAAATATGACTACAGGTAGAGGCTGTTGGGAAAGCCGTGCTTTGAGGCCTGTGTGGTAAATCAGGTGCATTAGATTAATTACCTAATCTGTGGTAGATGAAGGCTGAGCACCTGTTTCCTCCTTTGGTTGCATCTTCCTGGACTGTAGCGGCTGCAGAGCCGAAAACTACGTTTCCCAGATACCCTTCTGCCTGAGTTTCTGGATGCAAATTGGCCTCACCAATCAGATTCTCTTAGGTACGGACTGCAAGTCAGAACAGAGAAGGAGGTGTCCTCCTGCTGGCAGGCTCTGCGGTGGGGAAGGAGGGTCTTTCTGTAGCCCTGTGCAGTGTCTGGCCACCAGCTTGGGTGGGTATAGAAGGCAGTTGTCTCTGGATTCCTGCCTTCCTGACTGGGCCATCCCTCTGGATGGCTCTGCAGGGTTGCTGGGGGTCCTTCCTGGAGACTCAGCCCAGAGGTCACTCCTCCTTTCAGTGTCATTAGCACCCAATCTTTACACTCCCTTCTGCAGGGTAGGCAGTAATTTCTGCTTTTTACAACATAACCTTGATAACCTTGATATTTAAGTCTATGGAAAGCTAAAGGACTTTTCTGAGGCAATCTTTTCTGATTTTCCAAGGCAGGTAGGTCACACTCCTTAGCTGTACAGTCTCATTGGATTCCCCACTTGCTAGAACTTTCCTAGGCTTCCTCATTTATCAGCTCATGCTATGAGGACTCTTAGTCCTTGTAAGGTGTGTCTAGGGATTTTCCTGTGTCTCACTTAATAGATTTTTCTCAGGTTGACTACAGGAGGGAGATTTGACTATCAATAGTGGTATTGGTGAGCCCAGTAACTATGTGATGGGACCTGGATATGATGCAATCAGTCAGTCTGACAATGGGGAGATTAAGGTCCAATTGTTCTGCAGATACCACACCTGGCATCCTGTCTAATGTAGACTCTCTCTGTTAGGTGCACAAGTGAACTTATAGCATGGCAAATGAGAAATTATTTCAGTTGGGCCCATAGTTTTGTCTGCATATGTTAATAAGATATTTGATTCAATGTCAACTTAGATCTTGAGAGGTAGAAAAGAGATTCTGCCAGAAGGTCAAATGAGCTGATATCTATGATTGCAAATCCAGCTGAGGATGAAAATACTGGATGAAATGTGAAAGGTAACTCCCATTGTGGGGATCTTGTATAACAGAACAAGGTGGGCACAGCTGTGTGGGTTCGTTGCTGGCTTGGATAAGCTGATGCTCAATGCCGAGAGGATGGTTCTTTCTCCACAGTGCATGTCAGTGGTAAGTTCAGTAGTTCAATTGCACAAGCTAAGCAATTAGCACATATTTTTTAGAAGTTATTTTTGTTTATTTTCATTTTTAAACGTCTATTTCTGAATATGCAAAATCTAAGCTCAGTGGAAGTAACTTGCATAAAACAGACACCCCCATAAGTGTTAAAAAACCAACCACGGGTCCTAGAGGAGGGAAGGTTGAAGGTGGAGAACTGTGGTATGAAATTCAGGGAGAATCTCCACAAAGTTCCAGGTGCTGTGTGCTCCTTGTTGGAGAACAGATGAGTGTTTTCAGGAGACAGGGAGGATTTAGTGCCCAAGAATTGCAGTCGGGCACAGTGGGGTGTGGTGGGGAGTTGCCAGGACCAGGCTTAGCTGAGGGCAGGAGAGACTGCTGGAAACCATAGCTATGAGCATATCCCGTTGAACAGCAAGTTTTGGTGCATGTGGCCAGCCAGCAGGAGAGAGGGCCAGGGAGCAGTGAGGCGGACTCTGGAAGCTGCAGGGAGGCGGGCTCTGGAAGCTGCAGCGAGGCGGGCTCTGGAAGCTGAGGTGGCTCCACATTCTGCTGTCTGTGCCCTACCATTTTTATTTGAGCCAGTTTAATTTTTTTTCAACTAAGTCTCCCTCCCTATCTTCTTCCTCCTTCTCTCCCTTTCTTCTCTTCCTTACCCTTTTTCTTCTGACCTCCATTTAGTTTTAATTCTTTTTTTTTTTAAAGTTGCATATGTATAGTGTGAAGAATTAAATAATTCCATAGGGTCTGTTGTGCAGAATAGTAATCTGCTATCCTCCTCTTCCATTACATCTTTTCCAGAGGAAATATAATAGCTTTAAACTTTACTGCCTTTTTTTTCTTTTTTTTGGTGTTTGCCTCTATATTTTAAAAT
The DNA here is from genome assembly GCF_000001405.40 of Homo sapiens. Lineage (NCBI taxonomy): Eukaryota > Metazoa > Chordata > Mammalia > Primates > Hominidae > Homo > Homo sapiens. The sequence goes on along the minus strand of NC_000004.12, from coordinate 189,783,543 downwards.
AGCGTGCTTTTATTGCTACTTTTCAAGAAATTTTCAATTTCAGGCATTATTTATGGAAGCGAGGGCTTTCCTTTCTTTCCTCCTCCCTCTGCCACAAGCATCCTCCCCATTGGTTACACTTTTGGTTAGATCAATATTCATTGTTTTCATTTATTTTGACTTTTGTAACTGTCACTCAGTGCTGAGCCTGTGGCAAATTATGATTGCTTTTCCTTTCCTATATGACTTTTTGTCTTTTCTGGACTAATAGCTGTTTTTTTCATTGTTTATGTCTGTATGTTTTGATTACTAATTTAACTCCAAACTCCCTGCTAGTTGTCCAAATCTCCTTTCTCAAATTTCCCAGACATTAGGTGTTCTGAGACTTCTGTCTTCTTGAGTAAACCTTTTCCAGAAACTTTGGGCCTGATTCAATGCAGGGTTCTTGCTTTCAGGCCCCACGCTCAGCTGTATGTTCCTGGACTTTCCCTCCACCATCACTGTAGGGATTCCCTTCTCACTTTGCTCCTCTGTTTCCTTGCTTGAGCCTTCCTCTGATTTCGAATACCTCCTTGTTTTGGGGATGCACCTCCTCCAGGAGCTTGCTGGTACAGAATGCATGGGACTCTATCTGTCAGGATTCAGAGGGCAAGCTCTAGTAAGAAACTTCAAGAAGCATTTAATAAAGGGATGGTTTACAAAGATGTGGAAGGCTGAAGAAACTTGGGGCCAGTACGAGCAAAAGTCTTTTTCCATACCTAGGTTTGGGGTCATGGGAAGGAAGCAGTTACTGGGATCTGCAGACAAAAATATATTTGAAGGTAGCAATCAACCCACATTGGTCTTGCGGGAATTTTCTCATTTTGCTCATTTTGGAACTCCTACCAGACAATGATCATCCTGCACTGATGGCCTTTTCTTCTTTATTTTATATAATTTAGAAATTTTGCCCTATTTCCTGTGAGGTTTATTCAGTTCTTTTTTCTAAACTTCTATAGTTTCTTGTGGGGAGGCAACATTTTACTATCGTATTTTACATTTCCAAGAGCTTGCTTCAGTCCTCTCAATGTTCATTTTTAATAACATCTTGTTCTTGTTTCATGATTGCACTATTTCCTCTTACTTTTCTGAGCATAGTAATAATCTTTTTGAGGGAAACATTGTATTCTCTCTAAATAGTTTTTCTATAGTATCCTCCAAAATGTGTTTAGCATGCTTTTGTGTTTATTTTTTCTTTCCTTCAGGTCAGTGATGTTTTTTTCAGATGGTTAGATTTCCTTGTATCTCTGGTCGTATTTAAAAGTAGAAGATGAAGAAGCTGATTGGAAGCCCTGAGCACATTTGTGGGTTGCTATATGGGCTCTGATGTAGGATGATCTGGTTGAGCCATTGTACTGGGGAATCCTTGATGGTTATACTGGTTATACTGGTTGTACTGGGGAATCCTTGATGTTAGTGACTTTTGTCTCTTCTCTTGGGCGGAACAGAGTCCTCAGAGAAAACCTTACAATCTTCTGCAGAGGGTGAACGTCTAGCAATGATCTGGGAACTAAAGGGAAGAAGATTGCTGGGGTCGAAGGAGGGCCTCAGCATCCAGGATCCAGTTTCACTTCATCTTCCCTTTTCAACATAACCATCTCTGACGACATCTTGAACATTTACATTTATCTTCTCAAATGACTAGCCTTCCATTTTCTTGCTAGAGTGTGGATCTGGAAGTCTATCTGTTTTTAAAGTGGCTACCAAGCCGTCCTTCACCTTCATTCTACTTCCAGCACCTCAGGGTTCCCTGCTGAACCTCTGGGAATCTCATGGCTCAAATCCAACTGGCCACTGGCTTCCTTACTGCTGGTTGAGTGAGGAGTCATCTTTCTTTGGTCCACCAAGTCAGTTACCACCTGCCTTTCTGCCTTCTAATTATGGTTTCTTTGATCTTTCTCCATATCCTTACAGGTCTAGGACCTAAAAAAATTACTTTTATGGTGTGTTAGTGGAGTTCTGTGAGGGTGTGTAGAGCTAAATGTTGAAATTTTAGTCTCTTTCCTAAGGCAATTCCCCATTCCTAGAAGAAGACAGCTACATGGTCCCTCACCAGAAAGGCTGCTTTCTCCTGTATGAATTGGGCTCCAGCTGGAGATTGGCTGGTCTGTGGGCTGGTGAAAAATCAGGCTTTTATTCATGGCTGTGTTGTTCCTCTGAAGCTCATTTTGCCTTCTGGAGACCCAGCAACAGGGCCATGTTCTGAACAATGGTGCTGTCTTTTCCTTTTTGCAGTACACTATCCTCCATTTCTGTGACCGCATGCAACTCTAGCCAGTCCCTAGCTCAGATAACCTGAATGGAGGCCACACCTCCCTGAGGTCCCTGGGGCTCATTTTCTGAAGGGCATCACCGGGACTGGAACTCCCAGATCATCTCCTATGTCCCATCCTGTGCCCCAGTCTTTTAATGAACCTTCAGATGATATATTTAAGAGATTTAATCATGGATTACTGCATTATACCATAAAACCTTTTTGCTTCCATGCAGTAACTTTCTGATGCCTGTAGCTCTACGAGTAACAAAGATGGTATATTCAGGCAGTATTTTTGTCTGTGAGGTTTCCCGCAAGTATCTCTGTTTAGCCAACCCAGGGACAACATCCTGTGGCTTTGTTTTCCTTTGGGAGCTAAACTGGCTCATTTTATCAGGGGTGAAGCAAGATAAACCTTAGGAATAAATAGTTTTGTGTCAAAAGTTGCTGCCTTGAAAATTTGTTTCCACAGGGTGTCAATGTGCTGATATTCCAATCTTGCAGAAATCGACTGGATTTAGTGGAATTAAAGTCAACTGGAAGACGATCTGTGGGGATAATTCCATGATTCAAAGCCTTCAGGGAAAACGTGTTTGCTCAGCTGCAGTGATTGAAAAATTGAAGGCAATGAGAGTCATATGTTATGCTTGGTTATGTCCTGCTCTGATGCCAGTTTGGAGTAAAGGCTGAACTTTGCTGTTGAAAGCCACTGTGGAAAGTGGAAACATTGACTGTGCGTTGCTGAGGGGAGGAATGTATTTACTTACCCAGAAATAGACGCATCCTTGTCTCAGTGGGCTGGGAGATAGTATCAATCCTTTCTGTTGCAACAGATCCCACTGCCTTCTTTTTTCAAAAGAGTAAATATTTAAATAGGTAATACAGAAAAGTTATTGCCATTTTTCCTTCATCAGCCATGGCTGGGAGTCAAAAGAGAGAGTGAGGCAGAACTCACACATGGGGAAATAATATTGTGGACGTTATATATAATCCTTTTAAAGTAACGGCATTAGACTTCGTGATTTGCAATTGGCCAAATTGAGAAAACTTTTCTCAAAAAGCCATTTTAAGATAAAAAATTATGAATTTTCTTAAGCCCTGTGATTAGAGTGTAACACGTATTTATGGTCCCCCCAGGCACCACCCAATAAAAATGGTTAAAACCTTTAGTACTTTTAGTAGTTCACAGTTTTATGGCCAAAGTTATTTTGTAGATTTTATGCTTAAAGCAAGGTCAATGTATTGCACTGTATAAATTATTCTAAGTAATTGCTCAGTTATTTTATAGCTTAGTCACAGGATTTTTTCATTATTAAACGTAGCCTTTTCTTTAAAGTTAGGATGAGAAGGGCACGATAAATCACAGAGCAGCTTGCCATTGGGGTTTCAGCTTTACCTGTGATAAGGGTTTAATAACAATCTGGCCCAGACACCAGCTCCCTCTCAATTACCTTTCCACATGGGCATTAGTTCACACTGTTTATTAAAAACTCCCCTTGTAGTTCTTAAATGGAGTGTTTCAGATTAATGGCCCCCACGGAGTTTAACTTCATTGCACTTCATTAAAGCTAGATTGTACAAAAGGTTACTTCAATTAAATCCAGAATGCGACCTTAAATCTGTATAGATTTTTTTCAGAAAATGTGATAAAATTGCTCTGCCAATCCTTCAAGATTAACAAGACAAAATCCCTTTCAGTAACCAAAGTACAAAAATTTGTGTGCCTGTTCTGAGTTTTCCTCTGGCTGTACAACTGGATTTTATAGAATTAGAGGACAACTCGTGGAAAGAGCCTGGAGTTACAAATGGATCAAGTTACCGGAGAGCTGAGCCCCAGTGTGAGGCTGGAGAGTTTGGGAGACCTTTTGTTCCCCTTGAGTGGATGCTGTACATTTGGTGCTTTAGAAAAAAAAATATTTTGCTTCCCATATAATAAAAATATTTTTCTAAATAGATTGGTCTGTGTCTTTTCAAAAAAAAAAAGTGACGTAAAATCTTCTGAGGTTTTCTTCCTTAGCTACTCCAATCTGTGAGGCGCAGTTTGTGGCAGTTCTTAAACATTGTTTCCTCAGGAAACACGGGACAACTGGAGGCATTAATTACCCATCCTGCACCACGAGCATCTGGCCTCATTGTCTAGAGGCAACTGTGGAAAGTGATGCTCATTAACACCATGGCTCAGTAGCTCCATGTCATCTTTCTGTGAGTTTCAAGCGACTCAGTGAAGTCAACCCAGATCCATTTTCTGCTCTTTTTGGATGGACAAGATGCTCACAACCAATGCCCAGAATCTGCTTATAGTTTTAAAAGCTCTTCTATTGTAAATATTTTTTAAATGCCATTAATTTTATTTTTTGAGATGGGGGCTATGTTGTCCAGGCTGGTCTTGAACTCCTGAGCTCAAGTGATCTGCCTGCCTCGGCCTCCCAAAGTGCTGGGATTACAGGTGTGAGCCACTGTGCCCAGCCAAAAAATGCTATTAATTTTCGATTATTAAAAAAAGTTGGCCGGGCATGGTGGCTCATGCCTGTAATCCTAACACTCTGGGAGGCCGAGACAGGTGGATTCCCTGAGCTCAGGAGTTCGAGACCAGCCTGGGCAAGATGATGAAACCCCGTCTCCACTAAAACACAAAAAATCAGCTGGGCATGGTGGTGAGTGCCTGTAATCCAGCTACTCAGGAGGCTGAGGCACAAGAATTGCTTGAACCTGGAAGGCAGAGGTTGCAATGAGCCAAATTTGCGCCACTGCATCCCAGCGTGGACAACAAAGCAAAACTCTGTCTCAAAAAAAAAAGTTAAGCCTATATTGAGGTTTTAAGGAACTGAGGCTATCATTGTTACTCAGATGTCAGTGCATCTGAGTTTGTAGTATTGTTGCTGTTTGGTTTTTCTGCCAGTATTTTTTTTTTTTTGTCTAGGTTCTGTCTACTTTTCATGATCAAAACTGGCATTTACTAAGGAATCCAAAATAATCTAAGCATTTATTCAAATGTCTTATATATGCATTATACATGACGATATTCATTGCACACTTGTGCATAGGGTCAGGACTCTGCACAGAGAGAAGAGATGTCATCTGGGGAAAGTGACACGAAAGTCCTCTCACTGGGTACATTTACATATAAGTAATTTGTCTGGGTGGAGACACTGAAGATTTGTTTAAATACAATATTGTATGAAGAATGGAGGAGCCATTAAATGATTATCACCAATTAACAGCCAAGTTCATTAAACTAGCATGTTACTTATTTGGATCCTCAGGGGACCATCAGAAAATAGATATATTTTGACTTACAGAAATTAGCACACTGAGAACAAGTGACACTACGGACAGGTCGGCCCCACTCTGGTGTCATGGCGGGGAAAGGGTGGCACTACGGACAGGTCAGTCCCACACTGGTGTCACGGTGGGGAAAGGGTTTTGCACAACCGGAAGGGGGAATGAAGACCCTGGGCACTAGGCATTTTAAGAGCAAAAGAAAAGAATAGAAATAAGTGAGAAAATTGTATCCACTTAAGAATTTGGGATTGTGTTGTCTACACATATTGTAGGTTAACCAGTCTCCAAATGTGGTCTTATTCTCCAGATCACATTTGGAGACTAGCTACTACTAAAAATACAAAAATTAGCTGGGCGGATGCCTGTAATCCCAGCTACTCGGGAGGCTAAGGCAGGAGAATCGCTTGAACCCGGGAGGCGGAGGTTGAGGTGAGCTGAGATCGGGCCATTGCACTCCAGCCTGGGCAACAAGAGCAAAACTCCATCTGAAAAAAAAAAAAAAATAGATTTTAAATAAAAATGTTATTTAATTAACATGTAATAGGTTTATTATTACTATTTTAAAATAAATCACTAAATATTTTTAGATTGTTAGTTTGTGTTTTTTCTATGATAAATATTAATAAGTATAAATATAAATCAAATCAACAAAACTTTTTGAAGTCCAGGATACTTTTTGAGCCTAATGGGGTCCTGAGAGTCAAGTATTTGGCAGCCACTGATCTAGGTGGTGAATAGATTCCTTCCTCATTGTAATTTGTCAGGCATTCAAGAATTGCCTGTGGAGAATGCTGGCATTGAGAATATTGAAGTCCTGGGAATACCTCTATGCACGTACTTCTCCAAATGTAGTTGGAGAGAGAAGTTTTGCTAAAACAGCTTTCTCACATTTATTTATTTATTTATAATTCTTTTTAGAGACAGGATCTTGCTTTGTCGCCCAGGCAGGAATGCAGTGGTGTGATTGTAGCTCACTGCAGTCTCAAACTCCTGGGCTCAGGCGATCTCCTGGCCTCTGCCTCCCCAGTAGCTGAAAACAGCTTTCTATTATTACATAAAACAAACATTAAGGAAGATGGCTGTGACTGCAGGTGCAGCAGGGAATAAGTAAGAAATATGAAAATTAAAAGGAAGGAATTTGAAGGCATTAATAACAAGCTTATTCTAATTCATCACTTTCCTTTGGTATAGTAATTAGACTATTTTGCCACTGATGAGATTTTAGAATAGAATATTAATTTGTATCAGACTTAATTAAAATTCAAAAACAGGCCAGGCATGGTGGCTCATGCTTGTAATTCCAGCACTTTGGGAGGCTGAGACAGGTGGATCACGAGCTCAGGAGTTCGAGACCAGCCTGGCCAACATGGTGAAACCCCATCTCTACTAAAAATACAAAAATTAGCTAGGTGTGGTGGTGGGCGGCTGTAGTCCCAGCTACTCAGGAGGCTGAGGCAGGAGAATCACTTGAACCCGGGAAGCCGAGGCTGCAGTGAGTCGAGATCGCACCACTGCACTCCAGGCTGGGCAACAGAACAAGACTCCATCTGAAAAACAATAAAATTGAAAAACAATGTTTTGAACTAAAATGTCTCAAATGAGCATGGATAAAAAGTTGCAAGTTGTGACCTGCTAGTTGAGAATTGGAAATAATTGGGAGTCCTTGGATTGGGATGAGGAGAAGAGAAGGAAATTGTAGGATGATGTGCAGAACGAAGCAGCTAGTGGAGCAACAACAGCTCCTAAAGTAGGCGACTAGCATTTTGCAATAGTATTGGAATAAGTTTTCCATACAATTAAGCTGCACCATTCAAGTATGACTAGAAGGTGACTGGCTTCACTTTTAGACAGGAATCAATGGAAAAATCTCACTGGAGGACTTTGATGGCATTGGTGGAGATCATGAGTCTAATCTTTGACCAATGAGCAGAAGCTAGGGATGGGGTTGGAGATGCAGTTGGAGAGTGAGAAGAAGCAGTGTCCACATAAAGGAAAGCATTCTTCCCATAGGAAAAATGGGGCACTGGTCAGAAATAACAAACACGCCCAGTCAAATCCTAAGTAAGTTTGCAGCTGGATTTTTTCCAGTAATGTCTTCACTGGCCTTTTGTCCTTGAGTTATTCTCATCTCCTGCCCATCAGTGCCATATTAATAACCTCTCCAGACCCATTACATTACGATATTCTTTGCTTAAAACTTTCAGTCACTTTTATTACCTACTGAATTAACTTCAAACACCTTCTCTTGCTATTTAAGGTGTTCCAGAACTTGGTCTCACCCTGACTTTCTAGTTCCATCATTTTGACTCCTTTGCAAAAGCCAGAGTTGTCTGTTCTTTGAATCTTGTATGCATTGAGCAGATTCTTATCTCCATTTGCTTACCAATGACATAACTTTGCACTTATCATGTTCTCCTTTTATCCAAATATTAACTACTCTTAAAAGTCAAGCTCAGCTATTGTCCCAGCTACTCAGGAGGCTGAGATGGGATGATCACTTGAGCCTGGGAGATCAAGGCTGCAGTGAGCTGTGATTGCCCCACCCCAGTGACCTCCAGCCTGGATGACAGAGTGGGACCCTGTCTCAAAAGAAAAAAAAGTCAAGTTTAGGTTCAGTGTGCAAAAGAAAAGAGTTGTCACATAAGGAATTAGTTGGCCCTGAAATGTCAGACTTAGAGTGTTGGCTTCTTTTCCTAAGTCTTCCTTGCCTAAGTCTTCCTCTCCTAAGTCTTCCTCTCAATCTCGTAGGCTCAGAAATCTGATTTTGTTAAAAAATCATTCTCAGTATTGGGCTCAAAGAAGCTGAGCTTACAAGACTAATTTTAAATTACAGATTTTCCAGTGTGAACCCACAATGCTCACATTGGCAAAATTTCCATTTGAACATCACACTGTAGACAGAACTTTTTAGAAGTCTAAAAATTTCTAGGTGATTGCTTTGCAAAGATAAGGCTAAAAACATTACTAAGTTTTCATCTCTGTAATGCAGATGGCCTTACTAAGGTCACCATTCTATTGAAGCCATTCAGCTAAAGCTCTCTAGAATTCTTCCAATGTTTGCATTTCTGACTTTTTTATTTTTACTTTTTGACAATCCATTTTACTATTGGCACATCCAATTATTAGGTCTTTTCATGTGATTAATGAGATTATTGTTCATTTTTGCTGATCTGGGTGCAATTCATTCTGTTTTCTTAAGGAGACATTACCTAGCTTGGTTCTGAGTCTTTATGTCTTGATTTCACAATCTAATTATTCAAGAGTAATCTTAAGTTTCTTCCTTCCAAGTGCTTGGAAGAACATTTTATGATTTTACTGGCAACAATCATTATTTGATCTTTACAACAACCCTTAGGCAGACAGGGAAGATGAGTATCACGCTAATTTATAGATGAGGAAGCTGAGCCTTAAAGCATTAAGGGAGTTGTCTGAACTCACACATATTAACTGGATCAATTAGATCTCAAATTAAGACCTTTGTTCTACTACAGAACCGCCTGATGCAAGGACCACTTCTTCAGGCCAATTAGAGCACCTAGCAATGTGCTGGGATCACTGTACGTGCTTAATATATATTTATTTTAAAAAAGAATGAGGATACTACTATGACAAAAAAGTGAAACAAATTACCAGTTTCACAAAGTTAATTGTGAACTCCTAGGATGCATTCTTCATTGTCAACTGTCAACCCACTAAAGTAATTTTGGCTTTATGATTTGGAAAATGAGCATGATAATTCTTCCTGGTGTGAATTACTCAGGGTATGAGTGGACCATGAAGGTTTAAGATGAGTTATTGCAGTGGTCATGAGTCACAGTCGTGTGGATGAGGATTTAAGAAGATACGTGACAGGAGGTGGAGGAGCACAAGGCTTTCGAGACCATGAGTTGTAAGGAAGGTCAGGACCCTGGATAGGTCCCTGGTGCATAACAGCTGTAATTGTGAGAAAGCTTTCTTCCAGATTATTATCTTTTATTTAGATTTAAGCTTCCCTGGGTGACGTCTCCCCCGATGGAATTCTTTGGCTTGGTTATGGAAGATTTCAGAGTTTGGGGGAAGACTGTATCAGCGAGGTGCTCAGTTGCAAACAACAGAAATAAAGTCTGGCTAATTTAAGTAAGAAATTCAGAAGAAGCAATATTTATTAGAACTATATTTGGAAGAATCAATCACGCGTCTGGAGATCCATACTCAAAAAATGTGTGGAAACTAAGTGAAATTAGGCAGCTGAGAACGCATGGTTAGCACCACTGCTAGTGGACAATCGCTGGCCTGATCCTGCTGTGCTTTAACTCCACTGCTGCATGGACTTTACACAGTCGCTACTTTCCTCAGAGCTTGGCATTGCTTTCTCAAGATCCTAGAACTGGCTAGAGCTCTGATTGGCAAAGAGCCTAGAGCTGGCGAGAGCTCTGATTGGCCAAGATCCTAGAGCTGGCCAGAGCTCTGATTGGCCAAGATCCTAGAGCTGGCCAGAGCACTGATTGGCCAAGATCCTAGAGCTGGCCAGAGCTCTGATTGGCCAAGATCCTACAGCTGGCCAGAGCACTGATTGGCCAAGATCCTAGAGCTGGCCAGAGCTCTGATTGGCCAAGATCCTAGAGCTGGCCAGAGCTCTGATTGTCCAAGATCCTAGAGCTGGCCAGTGCTCTGATTGGCCAAGGTTCTACAGCTGGCCAGAGCTCTGATTGGTCAAGCCTCTGCCCTAGCTTCCTGGGAGCAGAGTTGAGATGTCTCCTTTCATTTGGCCTCTGGAATGTTCTAAATAGCAAATGTGGGTACCTTTTTTTTTGGATGGCTGGGCCTGGTGGCTCATGCCTGTAATGCCAGCTATTCAGGGGGCTAAGATCGAAGAATTGCTTGAGGCCAGGAGTTTGAGACCCCTTATCTAAATACATAAAAATAGGCAGTTGTGGTGTGTGCCCGTAGTCCCAGATACTCAGGAGGCTGAGGCAGTAGGATCGCTTGATCCCAGGAGTTTGAGGCTGCAGTAAGATGTGATCGCACCACTGCACTCCAGCCTGGGCAACAGGGTGACCCTGACTCTAAACTTTTTTTAAAAAAGAAAGAAAACAATGATTAATCTTTGCTCTGACCTCAGGCTTCCCACTTTTTGAAGAGCTGGGTGGGCTAATGGGCTGGCCTGAGCTTTTGTCTTTGTTTGTCACCACCCACCCATCAGACCACAAAAGTTGTTGCTGAAACTCCTCAAGTTCCCACATGCCCAATGATGACAAATAGGTTTAGTGCTCTGCTTACCTTTTCAGGTTTCTGGCTTGATTTAGATTCATAATTCTTAATATTTCTTACTTTCTTGCCAGAGTATCAATGCATTTTTGAAAGATTTAAAAACATGGTATTCCATGTCTACCTTTACTTTCAATCTGCCTATGTAGGTCATCATACATGCAGAAATAGGAGTTAGGACTGGTTCTTTGTAATTATCTTACCAAAAGAATAAGGTATGCACCTTGAGCTAGCGAACAACATGATGCCTGGGAAAACGGGGAGAAAATACATTCAAAAAACATGCCTGGATGATGCATCAGCGGGGCCAAAGTACTATGCTCAGCAGACAGAGCCAAATATACACATTATGGACAAATTTATTTGGATTATTTATTGTGAACCTGGTATTCCTTCAATTTAATAGTAGAATAATATCTTAAGCACACGCAGACTGGTAAAATAAAAGAACCAGATGGTCAAAATCTGAATTTAACAACTGTATCAAGCGACTGAGTCTACTGCCGTTTATAATGTCAGCTTCTGGCTGAATTCTGAGCATGTCTTGGTCTCTGCGGCTCAAGACATCTCACACAGGTGCATCTGTGTGGTAAGAGCCATGATGAAGGCAAGATGGAAGCTCTGAAGTTCAATTTCCTTCATGACAACTAAAAGATCAACGGGTAGACATGGCTTCTCTTCCTCGAAATGGTAGGATTAAATGTTGTCACTTCTCATGAACTTAACAAAAAGCTAGTCAGCAGAGTGTATTGATGAAGAAACACGTAGTTCAGCATGCAGTCAGACCGTTATGAGCCTGCCTTGTGGTTTTGGCACTGCGGTTTCTTTCATTGGATGTGTCAGTGTGGGCATGCTCCCTTATGCAAGCCTGAGCCAGCCATGCAAACTCCCAGCCTCTTTCTCTCATAATGTATTTTGGAACCCTGTTGTAAGACTATTAAAATATTTATAAAACTTTCAGGTATTGCGTATAATGCATTGATGCTAATTGATGCAATAAATGGATACTAATGCAGGATAGACTTTTCAAAATACTGCGATTTTTAAAAATATATGATCAGCTGGAATGGTATGTGAAATACAATATTAAATTGCAGTGTTGAAACTGCGAAAGGTCAAACAAATACCTTTTCCTCTGTAATATGTGCAATAATGTTTCATTTAACCAGCAATATTGGAGACCTAGGTATTTCATAAACATGACTTTTACAAGTAATTGAAGGTTACCTTTAGAGAACTTCAACATTTTAAAATTTTAACTTGCCAGGATGGAAAGCATTAAAGAGTTCATTGCCCACTTCCTGAATTTAGAAATAAGAACACGGAAAAATAGAGATTAATCAAACCCATGTTTCCACCACAGAGATTTTCCTTCTTTATAAATTGAGGATATTGAATACAATGTAATATTTTTAAAATAACTGTATGTTATTATTGTAAACATTATTATTACACCATGCTGTGTGATAAAATATACTCAGGGAGTTTTGTGGCATATGGGGATGGTTCAAAATTTTATTTACCTGGTTATAGAAAATATGGAAAGCATAGAAAAGAAAATAAAAATGACTATAAACACACTAGCCAGAGGTAATCATGGTTAACATTTTAGTGTTATTACTATTTCTGAATACGGTTACTATGTTACTCTATATACACTTTTTAATTCTTCTCTACCCAATTAATAAATTGGGAATGTTTTCTCATAGCCTTAAACATCCTTAATGACTTGCTTTCTAATGATTATGTGATTTTGCCTCCTATGGCAGTGGCATCATTATTTTGTTAACCAGTATCCCGTTGATGAACATTTAGATTTATCCAGTTTAGCCATTGTAAGTAATGCTATAGTGACCACTTTGGTAAGTAAATCCTAGTGGACATCTTTTATTTATTTAGAAAGGGGTTAGGAAGTACTTACATCTTTTATTTATTTAGGAAGCGGTTAGGAAACGCTTACAGTGGGGTTTAGGAAGCACTTACAGTGGGGTTAGGAAGCACTTACAGTGGGGTTAGGAAGCACTTACAGCGTGTTGTGCACTCTTCTATGTGCTTGGGATTCCATCTTTGTTCTTGCAGTATTTATATTCCAGTAGGTGAGACTTACAGTAAACATAGAGAAGCCCGTTAGATAGTATATTAGAACGTGGTAAATGACATGAACTGTGTTCTCTTAAGATAAATTCCTAGAAGAGTCCTGAAACATTCTTCTAAAATGCTTTTCAGAATGGTTGTACTGATTCAGTTTTCTGTCAAACATGTTTGCATATCTCTTTTCCTATCTTTGAAAACAGGTGTTGCTAAAAAAAAAACTGCCATTTGGTTAAAGACAATTTATTTTATTGCTTATACTTGCATTTTTTTATTCTAGTGATTTCTGAACACATTTTAGTATGTTCATTGATTATTTGTATATCTTCCTTTGAAAAATACCTGTTTATGTCTTTCGGATAATGTCAATAATTTGAGGAAAATTGCCTTTGGAGAAAGGAAATGCCGTTCATTTTTTTGTGCCCATTTAGTCACCCAGTGTAGTAGATCTATCTCATTTATCGCTCCTGGAAGCTCTTCTTTCTTTTCCTTCTGTTCCTGCCTTAATTTAGGAGGCCTTAATCTCTTCTCACCTGGATTTCAGCTAAAAGCTCCAACTGATCTTCTTGGCTGCAGCCTTATTGGCTTCATTCCATCAAAGACACAGCCTCGTAATCACCTTCCTAAAATATAAATCGAGACACATCATTCTCTTCGTTAAAATACTTCAGTCACTTTTTTTTCTTTCTAAGTGAAGCTGAAGCCCTAGTGAAGTTTGCAAATCTTCCCATGACCTGGCTCCTGCATACACAGCAAACCTCGCCTTTCTGGCACATAGCAAACCCTCAATAGGTTTTACGTAATGGATGACATTGATCACTGCTAAAGGAGGCCCGGATGGCCATGGCTTTCCTCACGCCGTGGAGATTTAGGCTGGATCCTACACTAGCTGCTTCCAGATGACATGTATTGAGCAGTGATTCACAAACTTTTCATTCTTAGGACCCCTTTACACAGTTCAAATTATTGAGGACACTTAACAGCTTTTATTCACATGGGTCATGTCTATCTATATTTACTTTATTGAATACCAAAATGGGAAATGTAAAAAAATATTTATCAACTCATTTAAAATAATATTAAGACCAACACATTTTAATGTAAATAACATTTTATGAAAAATAATTATATTTTCCAAACCCCTCAAAAATTGGTGAGAAAAGGGAAATTGTTTCACATTTTTGCAAATCGTTTAAATGTTTGACTAACAAATGACAGTTACAGATGTGTGAATGAGCCCAGTCCAGATCAGCTGAGTCTGGCCCAGAAGATCAGGCCTGCCCCAATGAAGCCAGCTCAAATTGCACAAATGAGCCCAGTCCAGATCAGCTGAGTCCGGCCCAGAAGATCAGGCCTGCCCCAGTGAAGACAGCTCAAACTGCGAGCCCGGAAATTGTAAGTGAAATAAAGGTTGTTGTATAAGCCATTATGGTCGTCGGGGTTCTCCGGAGAAAGAAGTAAGATACGATACATGAGAGGGAGAGATGTATTATAATGAATTGGCCCACACGATTGTGGGGACTGGCAGGCTGCAGGCTGGAGAGCCAGAGAAGAGATGAAGAAAAGAGAAGAGATGATGCTGAATCTGGAGCCCAGAGACCACCTGGAGGCAGGATTCCCTTTCCCTCCGGGACCTCTGTCTTTCTTTCTCTTAAGGCCTTCAACCATTTAGGTGAAGTCCACTCACATTATGGGGGTAACCCTCTTCACTAAATATCCACTGATTTCAATGTTAATCTCATCTAACAAATACCTTCACAGCAATATTTACACTGAGTGTTTGACCTAATATCTGGGTTCATGGCCTAGCCAAGTTGGCACAAAATCGCCCCTTGCAACGACCAAGTTTAAGATGGTGTGTTATGGGACAAAAGCCATCTGGCATACTTTGTAACCATCATCTCCGCTGGTCTTTCAACCCTGCAGACTCAGCTGTCTTAAGAATTTTTCGGCAAAATTTTGTAATTCCAAAATGTAGTAATTCCAAAAGGTAAAATTATTTTTCTCTGTGAAATTTTAAGCTTTTAAAATATAGTAATGTAGCAAATGGTTTAAAAATATTAACAATAGTTTTCTATAAACAGAATTCCTCTTTGTGACTACAGTTGGGTGGTACATATGTTCAGGACTGAATCCAGGCAAATAGGTGTCTTTCCTGGAAGATGGTTTTGGTTGTTGGGTAGAAAGTTTTCAGGTGTTTTTCTATCAATCATCTAGGAAATGTTAATTGACTTTCTTACCTGTTACATACTGGGCTGTGTGCTAGACACCGAGGTCTCAGCATTGATCTCTGTTCTGCAGGTATAAAACAAAACTAGATGATTCTTTTCCCTTAGGAGTGAATTTTTTTCCTTAAAGCAGTTTGCTCTTTTTCATATTCTGTCTCTATTCTGTGTATTTAAGTACTTTCACCAGAATAATATGCATTGGCTGCTCCCATGGAAGAAATTACCTGCTCCTTTCCACTCCCAGCTCCAAGAGCAGTGTGGAAATGAACGGAGCCAGCACAGTGCTCTGTGCCAGTTCTTTGTTGCTTTATTTTGTTCACAGATCTCTTGAGGCCAGGATTACCCATAGTGCGTTGTTTGTGTGTCTGCATTTTCGCGGCATAAAAGAGTTTTAAAGGCTCCAAATGGATATTTCCTATGATCTTGAATAAAAGAATCACTAGATGAAAGTGCTACTCACTTGAGATCTGCAAAACTTTCTAAACACAGCTAAACGTTGGCTTCTGAGTCTTGTTCAGTTCTGAAATAAGGCTGTCTGCCTTCCTCCTTATAAATTTCTCATGTGACTGCAAACATTCTAAATGCATCCTACTATTGTGGAGGATAAAATAGATGTTAGAAAGTTGATATAATCCTAGTAGGTACCATTTAAAGGAGCCTTAGTATGTTATGACACTAGCTAACCAACTTGTAAACATTCTCTAATTTAAGCCTTATGACAATCATGCAAGTTAGGGACTAGATTAAGAAAACTGAGGCAAAATGATATATTTAATAAAGTGCTTTGCCTAAGTATACTCAGCTAGTAAGTGGCAGGCTGAGCATGAAAACCTGAGTGTGTTTGACACCAGGCCTGTGGTCTAGATCACTCCACTATGTAGCCCTGACCACATCACCATTTGTGGGGTGAGAATGCAGTCCTAGCTCAGTGGGTAAGAGGATCCAGGTGAGATTACCTCTGATCAATCCTTTGCTTCTTTACTTATTCACTGTTATTCAATGGCTCGGTATCTCAGTTTATTCCTCTTTAAGATTAGAATAATAATGTAGCCTTCTTCCTAGGGTTGTTACAGGAATTAAGTTAATACGGGTATGGTGCTTGGAATACCACTGGCATATACTAAGTTCTCCTTAAATATTAGCTCTTCTTATAAAATTGAATGCAACTTTTCCATCAGGATGTCAAGTTTTTGGTTTTCTATGCAGCTAAGTCAATAATCTTAAATTTAGTTGCTAATGACTTTTAGATTAAGGTTGTGTCTATGTGATTCCAAAGGACAAATAAAGTCAATTTGGAAACAACTCAAGCCAATCGCCAATTCAATGAAAATGTTAGTTAGGCTCTTGTTTGGTGTCTCGAGGATAAATGTAGTAATTCTTTTTGTAAAAAACTTTTTAAAAGTCTTTCAGTTGGTTGCATGATTATGTTGAAGTAAGTCTTCAATTTATTAAGAAGCAAAACTGTTGGGACGTTAAGGCGTCTTCAGCGTGGCTTCACACTCCAAACTTCCACGCTCTCAAAGGGTCTGTAGAAGGTCTTGGAGGAATGTGTGGAGAGAGCAGAATAGTGGGAGTCAGGCCCAGCTTTCCCCAGGAATGTTCTAGGTTATTACATGAGCATCTCAGGCAGATCATCACTTGTTCTGTAATTCAGCTTTTCCTACTGTAATTAGTGAATTAAACTTTCTTACTTGGCTGCTGTCTGAGGGGCCTCAGAGCCCTTGCGACGCTCTGGGCACCTTGTGAGTGCTTCGAATGTACAACATAGAAACACAGGGCCAGCTGAGCCTACCATCTTTATCACAATGTACCACATAATTATAAATGTCCCATTTATAATTTTGTTTTTAAATGCATGTTCTTTCAAAAGGTTGTTACAATTTTAACAACAAATTTTGTTAATATTTTAGAAAACTGGGAAAATACAGAAAAGCATAAAGAATAAGACAGAAATCATGCAGAGTCTCATCATCATATAGCAGCACATTTATGTCTAGAAAATGGTTGCTTTAAAGTGTTTGCATGGACTAGGGATGTATGAAATTGTAGGACAAAATGAAAATCTGATTATTCATGTCAGCCCTAAGAATGGTGTTAGTACTTGATACAACTTACATTATTTTAGCTTTAAAAAAGAATGTTCATCTGAACTGCAATAAAGCTAGAATTATATTACCTTGAAAGGATGTCTCTGGGAGTTGTAAGTCAAAACAAGGCTGTATTACAAAAAATTAAATAATAATAATAATGTGGAGATAAATCGACGTATGTATCGAGAGTTATGTCTGTGCTACTTCGGGGCAGAGAGTTTCCTGTTTGGGTTGAGATTTGCAGAGCTGGTGATTTTCCAGGACTACATGAGGCTCCCAGGCAGGTCACCGAGGCTCAGTGCCCCTAGAGCACCGTCTCACAGCTCTTGAGGCAATGCCTGGTTGACTGTGTGCTGTCACTCGACCTTTTCTATGAAAGATGAGACGCTCTTCCCACTAATGGATGCAAATGTAAGAACTGGCTGCCTGAAACAGCAGTGAGGTAAGAATTACTATCTGAGGCCACATCAGCCCTGGCATCTGACTTATGTTCAATGAGCTCCTCTCTTGGGCTACACAAATAAGCATCATTGTTTTTAAGGCCAAATTCCTGAAACAGAATTCACATCTTGTCCTTTTCCCGCAGGCTGCAACTCTCCTGTTACTCTGGGGGAAAGCTTAACAACTAAGATTCAGAGCAAAGGAAGACGATGCCGGCAGCAGGCTTTGGGTGCTTGTGGGGCAGCAGGTTGTACCAGGGGCAGGTGCAGACCCCTGCCTCCCTTGCCTTCACCACAGTCACAACAGGCCAGGCCAGCCCATCCATCATGTCTCTAGGATATCTCAGGGGTTCAAGGCCACCACACCATTTGCAGCACACTCCACTCGCTGATCTGTGATATGGGAGATGTGCTTATTGGCGAATAAATCACCATGTCAAGTTAACGGCCTGTGTCCAAGGCGAGTGACTTCGAGGTCAGCATAGCAGCATACCATTGGATGCAGCGGGTTCTGCTTCTGCGCACAGTGCCTCATCAGAACATAAATTTTCAAATACCAGATGTGATAAAAGACAACATCGAGCTTTCTGTTTTTTGAAGGAGAGGAGAAGGAGATCCTGGATACATTCTCTGAAAGGTGCCTCCACTTCATCACTGATCCCGACACGTGGGAGGAAGGAGAGGAGGACAGTGAAGACCATCAGCAAGGGAGAGCAGGTTCCCTGCCCTGGATCCCTGCCCTGGTCCCCTGCCCTGATTCCCTGCCCCATGTTGTAGGTCTTTGGGCTACATTTCTACCCATTGGCTGAACATAAAAACTGTCCTATGAACTATTTGGCAGCAAGTTCACAGCAAAGAATATTAACTCTGTGAGGCACCTTAGACAATGCCTGGCTTAACCCCCACTTGACAAATAAAGACACATGTTCTGACTCACCCACCATCCCAGGAGCAACTGACCAGGCTGAGGAACTCTGTCCACTGCCTGCAGCCCACTTGGCCTTCCACTGTGACGTCCAGGCTGAGGAACTGTGTCTGCCACCTGCAGCCCACTTGGCCTTCCACTGTGATGTCCTTTCCAGGACTCTGAGCAGAGATGGGTTTATAACAAGCATAAATTGTTATTTTGTATCGATCTGCACATCAATTTATATATTTTGAAAATTAAAAGAAATCCAATGATAAGAATTTTTCTCACAAGTTAATTAAGGAAACTAGGTCAATGGAAATTTCTTAGGTTATGAAAATATTGATGTGAATATGTTATGTGAGAATCATTTCAAAATGAGTTAAAGGGGCTGGGCACAGTGGTTCACACCTGTAATCCCAGCACTTTGGGAGGCCAAGGTGGGTGGATCATGAGGTCAAGACATTGAGACCATCCTGGCCAACATGGTGAAACCCTGTCTCTACTAAAAATACAAAAATTAGCCAGGCATGGTGGCACATGCCTGTAGTCCCAGCTACTCAGGAGGCTGAGGCGGGAGAATAGCTTGAACCTGGGAGGTGGAGGTTGCTGTCACGCGACTGCACTCCAGCCTGGTGAGAGAGCAAGAGAGCAAGACTCCGTCTCAAAAAAAAAAAAAAAAAAAAAAACAAACCAGGAGTTACAGGAATCTAGGATATTTTGCTTTCTGTCCCTAAACTTTGGGGCTTAATTTGGCAGAAACTTGGGAGTGGGAGGGTGAAGTTTGTGGCGTCCTGCTTGCCTTGAATTTGTGGTGGCCACAGAATGCAGGCTTGACTTCATGCAGGTTCTCATACATCATTATGGAGAACATCTTTTTGTATTTACTTCAATATTTATTTTGTAGTGAAAATAAAAGCAATACCAGTTTTCTGAAGGGTTTCTTAAATCAATTCCTTTGTGTCCTATAGGGCAATACTTTGCTCCTAGAGAAGTCTGTGAACCATTGGTGTCTTTGATTTGTCTCATTAGAACGCCCACCCTCATACCATATGCTATCCCTCATGTATGCTGGAAGATAATAGTCTGCAGAGTAGCCTTTATGGTGAAGCCAGCTTCCGGTGCTCTGCTACTCTGCAAAAATCACATCTGGATAGAGAAGAAACCGGTGGCAAGATGTCTCTCTCTCAGTCCATGCAATGAACTGACTCCTACTGGTGGGGGTGAGGGGGATGGTGTCAGCAATGGTGAGATATATGTTTCAAATGTCAGCAACAAAAGAAGAGAGAGAAAGAGAGGAAACAAAAACAGCTGCTAACCCCTTGAGTTTGCTTTCTGGGACAAGTTAACAGCCACATTAGTTTCATGGTCTCTATCTGCATACTGAGGGTGGCTGCCATCCCTGCTGTCCACCCAGATTTGCACATCTGTGGTTCCATTGAGTTATGTGGTTTTGCCATTCACAGCAAACATGGAAAAGATCCCCACCAACCTGGTGAAATGGTTCTGGTTTTAGATTCATAAGCTATATAGACAATAATTTCTGAAAAGGATGTGTATTTAATGTGTTGACTGAGGAACTGAAAGGCAGGGTTGTTTACAAAAGACTCAAGTGCAGAATTTTGGAAGGTGCTGAGTGTTAGCTCAGCCGTGTCCTGGTAGGTGTTTTTCATTCATTCCTCTGAAACACATGGTGTTTTCATTTCTAATTTGTGGAAGAATTTAGTGCAAAACTTGGAGCACAATTATTAGGGCCAATGACAACCCACATATGTGGAATTTTGAGGACTTTTGCAGATTTTATGGATTTGGTGCAGTTCCACAGCAAACTATAAAATTATTATTGCAGACTAGAAGATTGTAAAAGTTAAAACACAAACTATCTGAATTACAGCGCCCAGCAAAACGTGCAAGAAACAGTTAAGTCATCACGCACATCCCTATAATTTGGTATTCTAATGCTTCGTTTGGCTAAATATTTTTATCAGCTTTTTGTCTTAATAATTTCTGGAAATAGGATGATAATTTTGTTTTCACAGTTGGTGATTGTATATGGACAGAAGGTATGAAAGAGGATGAGATTTCTAACTTTCAGATAAAAAGTTTGGCATATTCTATTAGTTCCACCACATTAATTTTATTACTTATTTTTTTCAGTTCTTATTTTGTTTCATTTTTGAATATGGTATCTGCTGTATGTTGATAATGGTGAGTTAAAAATTTATCAGCTGCAGCCATACGTCTGTCTGTTTTTTGTTTTATATATATATACTTTTGGGCTTTTTTATTTGGTATATTAAAGTTTATTCATGTCATATCTTTATTATTAGCTTACCAATTTAAAATAATACGATGCTCTTTTAACTCAATAAGAGACTTTAAATACTACATAGCCTGAAATGATATTACCAAATCTGCTTTTCTTTTGTATGTATTTAATTAGTTACAATGTACCCAATCCTTAATTTATGACCCTCTAATCCAGCTTTCGGTTGTTTCTAGGCAGCAACATCTTGTAACATTGTGTTGTTGGATTTTGTTTTGATTCAACTTAAGATACGGTAAACATAGATAGTGGAATTTAAGCCCTTAACACCCAATACCAATTTATTCTGAACTGTTTAAACTCACGATCCTCTATTTCTTTTCCTTGCTTATGGCTTTGTAGAGGCCGGTGTGCAGCACTAAGAGGGTAAGGAACGCAGTGGGAAATCTCTGAGCCCCATTAAGGGTTGTCGCAAATAGAAAGAGGCCAGGTCCTCTTGCTTGCTTTGTTGGTGGGGTTCCCTCGCACACTCATGCCTTCTTGAATGCTCACATTCATGCACTTTCACACTCACTTCCCCACGTTCACGCCTCACACAGTCGTGTATATAACATTTTCTGGTTTTACAGTGTTTAAAACTTAGCCTTTACGGGTGACTGATGCTTTTCTGGGTAAAATGCTGAGCACTATGAAGGGACTGCATGAGATCAAAAGATCTCCCACCCTGGGAGAAGTTCTGGCTGATTTGGGAGCTGATCCCTGGAGAATTTCTGGCTGATTTGGGAACTGATCCCTGGAGAAGGTCTGGTTGATTTGGGAGCTGATCCTTGGAGAAGTTCTGAATGATTTGGGAGCTGAACCTTGGAGAAGTTCTGGCTGATTTGGGGGCTGATCCTTGGAGAAGTTCTGGCTGACTTGGGAGCTGATCCTTGGAGAAGTTCTGGCTGATTTGCGAGCTGATCCTTGGAGAAGTTCTGGTTGATTTGGGAGCTGATCCTTGGAGAAGTTCTGGTTGATTTGGGAGCTGAAACTTGGAGAAGTTCTGGTTGATTTGGGGGCTGATCATTGGAGAAGTTCTGGGTGATTTGGGGGCTGAACCTTGGGGAAGTTCTGGCTGATTTGGGAGCTGAACCTTGGAGAAGTTCTGGTTGACTTGGGGGCTGATCCTTGGAGAAGTTCCGGGTGATTTGGGGGCTGATCCTTGGAGAAGTTCTGACTGATTTGGGAGCTGAAACTTGGAGAAGTTCTGGTTGATTTGGGGGCTGATCCTTGGAGAAGTTCCGGGTGACTTGGGGGCTGAACCTTGGAGAAGTTCTGACTGATGTGGGAGCTGAACCTTGGAGAAGTTCTGGTTGATTTGGGAGCTGAACCTTGGAGAAGTTCTGGTTGATTTGGGGGCTGATCATTGGAGAAGTTCTGGGTGAATTGGGGGCTGAACCTTGGGGAAGTTCTGGCTGATTTGGGAGCTGAACCTTGGAGAAGTTCTGGTTGATTTGGGGGCTGATCCTTGGAGAAGTTCCAGGTGATTTGGGGGCTGATCCTTGGAGAAGTTCTGACTGATTTGGGAGCTGAAACTTGGAGAAGTTCTGGTTGATTTGGGAGCTGATCCTTGGAGAAGTTCTGGTTGATTTGGGGGCTGATCCTTGGAGAAGTTCTGACTGATTTGGGAGCTGAAACTTGGAGAAGTTCTGGTTGATTTGGGGGCTGATCCTTGGAGAAGTTCTGACTGATTTGGGAGCTGAAACTTGGAGAAGTTCCGGGTGACTTGGGGGCTGAACCTTGGAGAAGTTCTGACTGATGTGGGAGCTGAACCTTGGAGAAGTTCTGGTTGATTTGGGGGCTCATCCTTGGAGAAGTTCTGACTGATTTGGGAGCTGATCCTTGGAGAAGTTCTGACTGATTTGGGAGCTGAATCTTGGAGAAGTTCTGGTTGATTTGGGAGCTGATTCTCGGAGAAGTTCTGACTGATTTGGGAGCTGAATCTTGGAGAAGTTCTGGTTGATTTGGGAGCTAATCCTTGGAGAAGTTCTGGTTGATTTGGGAGCTGATCCCTGGAGAAGTGCTGGCTGATTTGGGGGCTGATCCCTGGAGAAGTTCTGGTTGATTTGGGGGCTGATCCTTGGAGAAGTTCTGATTAATTTGGGAGCCGATGCATGGAGAAGTTCTGGTTGATTTGGGAGCTGATCCTTGGAGAAGTTCTGGTTGATTTGGGAGCTGATCCTTGGAGAAGTTCTGGCTGATTTGGGAGCTGATCCCTGGAGAAGTTCTGACTGATTTGGTAGCTGATCCTTGGAGAAGTTCTGGCTGATTTGGGGGCTGATCCCTGAAGAAGTTGTGGTTGATTTGGAAGCTGATCCTTGGAGAAGTTCTGACTAATTTGGGAGCTGATCCTTGGAGAAGTTCTGGGTGATTTGGGGGCTGATCCCTGGAGAAGTTCTGGCTGATTTGGGGGCTGATCCTTGGAGAAGTTCTGGTTGATTTGGAAGCTGAACCTTGGAGAAGTTCTGGTTGATTTGGGAGCTGATCCTTGGAGAAGTTCTGGTTGATTTGGAAGCTGATCCTTGGAGAAGTTCTGACTGATTTGGGGGCTGATCCCTGGAGAAGTTCTGGCTGATTTGGGGGCTGATCCTTGGAGAAGTTCTGGTTGATTTGGGAGCTGAACCTTGGAGAAGTTCTGGTTGATTTGGTGGCTGATCCTTGGAGAAGTTTTGGTTGATTCGGGAGCTGATCCTTGGAGAAATTTTGGTTGATTTGGGGCTGATCCTTGGAGAAGTTTTGGTTGATTTGGGGGCTGATCCCTGGAGAAGTTCTGGCTAATTTGGGAGCTGATCCTTGGAAAATTTCTGGTTGATTTGGGAGCTGATCCCTGGAGAAGTTCTGGTTGATTTGGGAGCTGAACCTTGGAGAAGTTCTGGTTGATTTGGGAGCTGATCCTTAGAGAAGTTCTGGTTGATTTGGGAGCTGAACCTTGGAGAAGTTTTGGTTGATTTGGGAGCTGATCCTTGGAGAAATTCTGACTGATCCTTGGTGAGCATCATGCACTCCCGTGTTTTATCCTCTGCGCATTAGAGAGGTCAGGCCATGAATGGTCTTAGATCAAGATGAGCACTGAACTTGGTTATTTTCTTCCTGACTTTCATAACCAGCAATCAGTGCATTATCGTTATCTTCTACTCCATGGATTTAAACCTCTTGTTTCTGTATAACAAACCAAACTGTGTACTTTTCACACTACATGTGATTTAAAAATAATGTTCCTAAGTTTTCAGGGGGTGTCTGTTCATCCTCCTGCTGTTCGTAATTATGCCAACAGTAGTAGCTACCACTGATTGCATTTCTTTACTGTTCTGACCGTCACTATGTACCCACAGCACGTTACCACAGCCCCTGCCTAAGGCAAGGGTGTTATTTCTAGTTGACAGATGCGGAACCCGAGGCTCCTGTAGCGAATGAACATCAGAGCACATATTTAACCCAGCTTTTGGCTCCAGAAGTCCTCGTTCTTCGTTGTTCAAGGAAGATGCCATCTGGGACACTGTCTTTCATGCACCAGGTTGGAGAATGGCATGAGTTAGGGAATCAGCCTTTTTAGGAAGGCAGAAGCTTACAGAACCCGGGAGGAGAAAAGCCCAGTGTCCCTCATCCTCTCATCTTTGCCATAGAGAAAACACGAGGACCAAGATATTTTTCTGACCAGTAGCATGGACTTGCATTCCACTGGGGCCACTCTGACTTTTACAAAGGGCAAGCCTGAAAGCAAACTTGTCGATGTTGAATGAGATTTCCTCAGTACCAAGCAGTCTGCATGTGGTGTAGCTGTTTATGAGAATTGCCTGGGAACACTAACTGCCCAGAACCTGGGTATCGTGGGACCTGTGGGGAAAAGGGGCTATGAGGATATCAGTGCTACAGGTCGCTTAGTGTCACATGGTCCCTATTTCCAGGGACCCAGTGTTGAGGATTCTCAGTGAGCATGTGTTTCAGGCAAGTCAGAGTGAGCGTCTGGAGCCACTTTGCGACAATCCGCTTATTGCTCCTTCTACAATCCAGCACTGTTTTCATGTTGTTTGGTAAATTTTGTTTTTTAATATCTCAGCAGGAGAATGTGTGTTTTGTGGAAGAAATGACCAACTAGTAGAATGCCTTCCATTTGTAATAAAATCCTTGCTGGGTTTGAGTTAATAGGCCTCCAAGGAAGAGCAAGTTAAAATAGAAATGGACAGGGTGCTAAATAAAATACTGTCCAGCATAATCTACTGCCCTCAAGGGAAAGAGCCAAATGACTCAATACGGGTTTTCCATCTTCAATTTCAATAGCCCGATGTCAGGATCAAGCAGCAGAACACACTGACTACCTCAGTATGCTCCCTGCATTCAAAGTTTCTTTTCCCATGGCCTCTTCTGCTCCTGTGATGCCATCCCCAAAACGCTTAAAGTGCACAGACATGAAAGTCCTTTTACTAGCATTGCAGATCGAGGGGTAGGTAGTGACGTTCTAAAGGAATGAAACAGAATGTGGACCACAGAGAGATCGGCAATTAACACTGCCACCTGTTTTAGTCATTTGTTTGTTTTAATTGGGATATTTATATATGGTTATAATCTGTCATTTGTATTAATGTAGCTATCTGTGGGGATGGGGAAAAGAAAGAATAGAATTAGTTATTCATTCATTTATTTATTTATGTATTTATTTATTAATGATTTTGAGACAGGCCTGGCTCTGTTGCCCAGGCTGGAGTGCAGTGGTGCGATCTCGGCTCACTGCAACTTCCACCTCCTAGGCTCAAGCCATCTTCCCACCTCAGCTTCTTGTGCAGCTGGGACTACAGGTGCACGCCACCACACCAAGCTAATTTTTGTATCTTTTATAGAGATGGGTTCTCACTATGTTGCATAGGCCGATCTCGAACTCCTGAGCTTAAGGGATCCACCCGCATTGGCCGAGTACTAGGATTACAGGCATGAGCCACTGCACCCAGCCTTGAAGTTTTTTAGTTCAATGATCTTGACGTTTTCAAGATTTGCTATGTAATGACGGCTCCATACCCCTTTCCTATCCATGGGAGTTCAGTTTCAAATGCACTGAGCATTCAAAGTAAGTCATCCTGGAAACAGCATGTCTGGTGATTTCCTAGTTGGGAAAATCTTCTGTTTAGCTGAGAGGGAAATTGCTATGGTTCGAGAAGAGACATTCTAAGGTGAAACTTAGGGGAGAAATATATTATCTTTACAGGAATCCTGGATACAAAACCAAACTGCTCTGGGCTCTACATGAAGAACTAATTTTATTGTGGGTTTTTTTTTTTTTTTTTTTTTTTTCAGAAAGTCTGAGGCTGATATGAATGGAATAGAGAAAGAGGGAAGGATGGTAGGAAAACACACCCTGTTTTCCAGCCAGTGGCCATAGCCAGCCTCATCCCCAAGAAGCCTAAACATTTTATACTTGTGTGAGTCTTCATATGAGCACATTCACTTCACTAGGGCTCCAGCGTCCTGGAGAGATGAATGGTTTCCATTCACAGATGACAACCCTGGTGGCCCATACTCAGTGACAGGAATGGTCCACAGCTGACAAACCTGGTGGCCCATACTCAGTGACAGGGATGGTCCACAGCTGACAAAACCTGGTGGCCCATACTCAGTGACAGGGATGGTCCACAGCTGACAACACTAGTGGCCTATACTCAGTGATGGGGATGGTCCACAGCTGACAGCCCTGGTGGTACATACTCAGTGACAGGGATGGAAGTCCTTCTCCATTTGCCCTTTATTAGAGAGATATATCAGGCTCACTGTGTGGAAGGAAACATTTTCCAACATACTCCACATGCACTCTGTGACGCTCATTGTCCTCTGACATGTAATTAAACAATGACACTTTTCTCCTAGCTTTCCTAAATGGCTAATGACAGAGGGGTGGTACCAGCTGCCCCAGGGTAAACTACTGAGCAAATCTAAAGGTGTGTCTTCTAGTTCCATCTTCTGTTAGAAAAACCAAATGCTCACAAAGTGCAATAACAGTTTAAACCACGACTGCTCTCTCACAATGTTTTTCATCAATCATTATAATAATATTGTTTTTAAAATAAACTTTGTTTTAGGAGATTTGCATATCTACAGAAATATTGTGAACTTAGAGTACACAGAGTTCACGTCCACCCTCGGCTGTGTTTATCATTAACGTCTTACAATATTATATATATTATATTAGTGCATTTATTATTATTCATGTACCAATATTGATATATTTTTATTACTTAAAGCCTATATTTTACTTACATTTATGTGGTTTTCACTGAGTGTCCTTTTCTGTTCTGGGATCTCATTCAAGATCCCAAGAAACATTTAGCTGTCAAGTCTCCTGAGGTTCCTCTGGCTGAGGCAGTTGCTGGGACATTTTCTGCTTTGTATGACCTTGCAGGTTTGGAAGAGCACTGATCAGGGGTACAGTAGGATGCCCCGTACTGAAATCTTTATGTTGTTATTCTCATGATTAGACTGGGGTCATGGCTTTTGGGGAGGAGAACCACAGAGGTAAGGTGCCATCATCATCACATCGTCTGAAGGGTACATACTGTCAACATGACTAATCACTATTTATGGTGACCTTGTTCACCTTGGCCAAGGTGGTGTTTGTTAGGTTTTCTCTTTCCATAGTGCACTCTTTAGAAGGAGGCCACTTTGTGCAGCCCACACTTAATGAGTGAGAAGTTTTGCTCCACCTCCTGAGGGTGGAGTATCCAGACAAATTATTTAGAATTCTTATGCATAATTTGTCTCATATCCCCCATTTAAATATTTATTCAATTATCTATTAGTAACAGTATGGACTCATGGATATTTATTTGGTACTTTGAGTTAAAATTATATATTATTCTATTTATTTTATTGCTCAAATTGTTCCAGTTCAAAAATTACAATAGTTATGTAGTGGTACTTTGTTGTCATTTTAAGTTGCAATTCTCTGTTGACAAACAATATTGAGCATTTTTTCATATCCTTATTTGGCATCTGTTTACCTTCTTTGGTGAGGGGTCTGTTCAGGTTTTTTTACATTATTTAACTGGGTTGCTTGTTTTCTTATTGTTGAATTTTAAGAGTTCTTTGTACATTTTAGATACACATTTTTTATCAGATATGCATTTTGAAAATATTTTCTACAAGTCTGTGGCTTGTCTATGATACTTTTAAAAATCTATTTTTACACTCTAATGAGACATATGAGAGGAGAGAAGTTAGTTAATTATAGGAGCCCAATCATGTCTCTACATGGGGGTGTGAAGCCTCCTCCCTGGAGGAATCTACTTTTCCTTGGTCTTCCAAATACATTGTTATTTCCAAAACCATATATGAGGAGTATAAAAAAATATGAGAATATATCAATACTCAAATAAAGAGAAAGTGTACTTAAAAAAAGAATTCTCACAATGACCAGTGAGGTAGATAAAACAGACATATATAAGCGTTCACGTTTATCAGATGCAGAAACTGAAGCCCAGGTAAGCCATATGACCTAGCTAGAGTCACTCAGTCAGCAAGAGATGGAGCCATGACTACACTCCTAGATTCTATCTCCTGGCCCCAAATTCACTTACCTACATCACACTAGAACCATATCATGTTAGCCAACAGACCATCAGTGTGTTTGTTTAAAGTGCTAACTTACTGATAATTCATGCATTTAACAGTGTATTTTTCAGATGCATTTGACCCTTGCTGTGTCAGATAAGTCACTTATTCAAAATGGAATAAGTTAAGATGTAACATGAGTCTAACTGCGTCTTTGCTTTCTTGGCACTGTATAGCTACAGTGGATCCTAAGTATTCTATCATCTGATTCTTCCAGGCAATTCTTTATTGTACTCAACATTTTAGTGGCAGTAGTCCTTGGAATTTGCTAATCATTTTCCTTAAGCGTTTTGGAGGAAAATATCTGTTACTTAGCCAGCTAGCCAATTAGAAAATTAAAAGTCCCTTTAGACCATAATTTACCAGTCTTGAGACTACTGGCTTTTGGGCTGGATAATTCTTTGGTGTGGTGGGCTCTGATATATTATAAGACGCTTAGCAGCATTTCAGGACTGTCCCTGCTAGATGCCAGTAGTATCCCTCCAGGATGCCACAACCATAAATGTCTCTAGAGATTGACAAGTGTCCCTTGGGGGCTCTATTGGTCCATTTTCACACTGCTGATAAAGATATACCTGAGATTGGGAAGAAAAATAGGTTTAATGGACTCCCAATTCCACGTGGCTTGGGAGGCCTCACAATCATGGCAGAAGGAAACAGGCACTTCTTACATGGCAGCAGCAAGAGAGAATGAGAACTGACTGAAAGGGGTTTCCCCTTATAAAACCATCATATCTTGTAAGACTTACTGTCACAAGAGCAGCACAGGAAATACGTGCCCCCATGATTCAGTTACCCCCCACTGGGTCCCTCCCACAACATGTTGGAATTGTGGGAGCTACAATTCAAGATGAGATTTGTGTGGGAACACAGCCAAACCATATCATTCTATCCCTGGCCCCTCGCAAATCTCATGTCCTCACATTTCAAAACCAATCATGCCTTCCCAGTAGAACCCCAAATTGTTAACCCATTTCAGCATTAATTCAAAAGCTTACAGTCCAATGTCTCATCTGAGACAAGGCAAGTCCCCTCTGCCTATGAGCCCATAAAATCAAAAGCAAGTTAATTACTTTCTAGATACAATGTAGGTACATGTATTGGGTAAATACAGCTGTTACAAATGGGAGAAATTGGCCAAAACCAAGGGGCTACAGGCCCCATGCAAGTCCAAAATGCAGCAGGGCAGTCAAATTTTAAAGCTCCGAAATGATGTCTTTTGATTCCATGTCTCACATCTGGGTCATGCTGATGCAAGAGATGGGTTCCCGTGATCTCAGGCAGCTCTGCCCCTGTGGCTTTGGAGGATACTGCCTCCCTCCCAGCTGCTTTCATGGGCTGGTATTGAGTGTCTGTGGCTTTTCCAGGTGCATTGTGCAAGCTGTCAGTGGATCTACCATTCTGGGGTCTGGAGGATGGTGGCTCTCTTCTTACAGCTTCACTAGGCAGCACACTAGTGGGGAGTCTGTGGGGGTCCCCACCCTACATTTCTCTTCTTCACTGCCCTGGCAGAGGTTCTCCATGAGGGCCCCACTGCTGCAACAAACTTCTGCCTGGACATCCAGATGTTTCCATAATATCTTCTGAAAACTAGGCAGAGGTTCCCAAACCTCAATTCTTGACTCCTTTGCACCTGCAGGCTCAACACCACATGGAAGCTGCCAAGGCTTGGAACTTGCACTTTCTGAAGCCATGGCCCAAGCTGTACCTTGACTCCTTTTAGTCATGGATGGAGCAACTGGAACACAGTCCTTAGACTGCACACAGCAGAGAGACTCTGGTCCCGGCCAATGAAACCATTTTTTCCTCCTAGGCCTCTGGGCCTGTGGTGGGAGGAGCTACCACAAAGGTCTCTGACATGCCCTGGAGACATTTCCCCCATTGTCTTGGTGATTAACATTCAGCTCCTCATTAATTATGAAAATTTATGCAGCCAACTTGAATTTCTCCTTAGAAAATGGGATTTTAATTTCTATCACATTGTCAGGCTGCAAATTTGTCAAACTTTTATGCTCTGTTTCCCTTTTAAAACTGAACACTTTTAACAGCACCCAAGTCACACCTTGAATGCTTTGCTGTTTAGAAATTTCTTCTGCCAAATACCCTAAATCATCTCTCTCAAGTTCAAAGTTCCACAAATCTCTAGGTCAGGGGCAAAATGCTGCCAGTATCTTTGCTAAAATATAGCAAGAGTCACCTTTGCTCCAGTTCCCAACAAATTCCTCCTCTCCATCTGAGACCACCTCAGCCCGGATTTCATTGCCCATATCATTATCAGCATTTTGCTCAAAGCCATTTAAAAGTCTTTACTAGGGAGTTCCAAATATTCCTATATTTTCTGTCTTCTTCTGAGCCCTCCAAACAGTTTCAACCTATGCCTGTTAGCCAGTTCCAAAGTTGCTTTCACATTTTTGGGTATCTTTTCAGCAATGCCCCAGTCCACTGGTACCAATTTACTGTATTAGTTCATTTTCACACTGCTGATAAAGACATACCTGAGACTGGAGAGAAAATAGGTTTAATAAACTCACAGTTCCATGTGGCTAGGGAGGCCTCACAATCATGGTGGAAGGCGAAAAGTACTTCTTACATGGCAGCAGCAAGAGAGAATGGGAACTAAGTGAAAAGGGTTCTCCCTTACAAAACCATTATGTCTCATGAGACTTATTAGTTATCATGAGAAGAGCATGGGAAAAGCCTTTCCCCGTGATTCAATTACCTCCTACTTGATCCCTCCCACAACATGTGGGAATTGTGGAAGCTACAATTCAAGATAAGATTTGCATGGGGGCACAGCCAATCCATATCGGGGCAAAGTCCCCTCTGTCAAGAACCACTACTCTAGTGTTTAAACTGTTTGATGACTAAAGATTTCAGCAGCAGTAGATTATAATATGTTAATTTCAAGAAGCTGTAGACTTTATAAGTAAGTATAATTTATTGTTTTGTATTTTTATTACTTTATTTATATCATAATTTGATCAAGCAAAACAAATTTAAATTTTCATTTCAAAATTGATAATAAAATGGAAGGAATAGGATTAAACTACAGGAAGGATAGAAAAGGCAAAATGGAGGTCAACTAGGGCTTAAATTTATTTTTGGCAAAATGAAACAATTTTCTGATTCAAAGAAATGTCCCTTATGGGAACATCTTTTGCCTTTTGTCTTTTCATTATAGAATCATAGAATCTTAGAGCCAGTTGGGCCCACAGAGATTACCAGGTGAGTGCTAGAGAAAGAAGGGTAAAGCATTGGTGATAGGTTCATGTTCCTTCTTACTGCAGCCTGTTAGTCTGAGTGCTGTAATACATATGACTTAATTATGGAAAATCTATAGTTAATTATAGCATTAATTATAGCATAGAGATAATCTGAAAATTGGCCGGGCGTGGTGGCTCATGCCTGTAATCCCAGCACTTTGGGAGGCCAAGACGGGCGGATCACAAGGTCAGGAGATGGAGACCATCCTGGCTAACACAGTGAAACCCCGTCTCTACTAAAAATACAAAAAAAAAAAAAAAAAAAAATTAGCCAGGCGTGGTGGCGGGTGCCTGTAGTCCCAGCTACTCAGGAGGCTGAGACAGGAGAATGGCATGAACCTAGTAGGCAGAGCTTGCAGTGAGCGGAGATCGTGCCACTGCACTCTGGCCTGGGCGAAAGAGCGAGACTCCATCTCAAAAAAAAAAAAAGAAAAGAAATAATCTGAAAATTATACATAGCAACACATGGAAGTTGATTTGAAAAGTTGTCCCTGTTGAACTAGGACTCCCTGGAGAACTGCCTGACTCAAGGGCTAGGGAAGGGAAAATGCATGATGAACCTGGAGGACCTTGTGTTGCCAGAAAGTAAGGGGTCAGGGAACAGGCCTGACAAAGCAACATGCAGCCAACCTGAAAGAGCTCCCAGTGGCCAAAGCTGGAAAACTTTGAACAACAAAATTAATAAAAATACTACTGAGTTATAACCCAAAGAAAAAAGTAAATATCAGTGAGTTTATACTGATAAAAATAAATGGTTACATACATAAATAATTGAAGGAGAAGTGAAAAAAATCTTCCTTGTGGAAGATTTCCAAATAGTAAACATAAAAGAAATGAGGGAAATGGAAGACACCACTTGATGTGGTTTGGCTGTGTCCCCACTCAAATCTTGTCTTGAATTGTAGCTCCCATAATCCCCACCTGACCTGGGAGGTACCCAGTGGGAGGTAATTGAATAATGGCTCTGATTTTTTCCCATGCTGTTCTGGTGATAGTGAATAAATCTCATGAGATCTGATGGTTTATAAAGGGCAGTTCCCCTCCACATGCTCTCTTGCTTACCACCATACAAGATGTGCCTTTGCTCTATCTTTGCCTTCCGCCATGATTGTGAGGCCTCCCCAGTCCTGTGGAACTGTGAGTCCATTAAACATCTTTTTCTTTATAAATTACCCAGTCTCCCATATGTCTTTATTAGCAGTGTAAGAATGGACTAATACACCACTAGAATACCACAGTAATAGTCGCCATAGGGAAGATTCATGGAAGACTGCTGAAATTAGTGTCTGAAACATAAGGAAGAAACAGGATATTTGCATAACCTCAAATATCTGTGCCCAAAGATTTATTAATTACTGTACTGAATTTAACATATATCCACAAATTCTTTCATACTTTTTCCTCCAGCAGGTGGAGTTTAATTTCCCTCCTTATGAAAGTAAGCTGGATTTAGTGCCTTGCTTGTAATAAATAGAGTTTTGGAAAAGTAAAAATAGTGACCCTACAGCGAAAAAATCTGAAAGATTTGGCCTTATCCAAGTGATGGAGGTGAGCATCACCAATGATAAGTAGTGTTGATGTCAAGCATCCCCGGAAATGATGCAACGAGAAGGACGTCACCACTGTGTTACCTTACCCCCAAATCCAGAATGCCAGTCCAATCATGAGAAAACATCAGCAACTGAGGAGCATTCTACAAAATACCTGACTAATACTCTTCAAAAGTGTCAAGTTCATGAGTAACAAGGGAAGACAGCGACGCTGTCACGGATTGGCAGAGACTAAGAAGACATAACAGATGAATGCAACGTGGTATTCTGGATTGGATCCTTGAATAGGAAAAGGGTATTATTGGAAAAACTGGCAAAAAGACAAATAAAGTCCATAGTTTAGTCAATAGTGTAGCAATGTTGATTTCTTAGTTTTGATAAATGTGTCATGGTTATATAACACGCTACAATTAGGGGAGACTGGGTGGAAGGCTTCCTGGAACACTTTATACTATCCTTACAACTTTTCTATAAATCTTAGTATTTCAAAGTTAACTAAAAGTGAAAAATTGTAAAGTCCCTTGTTTCTTAAAACAAATCTAGGATGCTTGTTATGTGTTAACAATTCTTGTAAATGCAAATCACTTTGAAGAGCAATAAATATTACCCAGAAAAACTGACCACTTTCAATCCCCATGACCTAACAATTTTATTGATTGTATGTTTTTAAAAATGTGCCTGTGCCCAATATCACTAATTAATAGGGATGCATATCAAAACTGCAACAATGTACCACTTTCTAGCCATTAGTTTGGCTACTACTAGAAAACAAAAACAAAAACAGATATTTGAACCCTTGACACTGCTGGTGGGAATGTAAAATGGTACAGTAGCAATGGAAAACAGTTTGGAGGTTCTTCAAGAAATTGAAAATAGATATATCTTGTCATTCAGCATTTTCACTTCTGGGGATATATCCAAAAGAATTGAAAGTAGGGACCTAAACAAATGTGTGTATACCCATGTCCATAGCAGCATTACTTGCAACAGCTAAAACGTGGAAGCAACCCAAAGATCCATCAGTGGAAGAATAGATAAGCAAAATGTGCTACATACATACAATGAAATATTAATCAGCATTAAGAGGCAATGAAATTCTGAGACATACTACAACATGGATAAACCTTGAAGATGTTATGCTAAGTGAAATAAGTCAGTCACAAAATGACAAATATTCTGTGATTCCCCTCATACAATATACTTAGTAAGATTCATGGGGACAGAAAGCAGAATGATGGTTGCCAGGGGCTGGGGGAAGGCAGAATGGAGAGTTATTGTTTGAAAGGTACAGAGGTTTTTTTTTTTAATTATTATTATTTCAATAGTTTTGAGAAAGCAGGTGGTGTTTCGTTACATGGATAAGTTCTTGAGTGGTGATTATGAGATTTTGGTGCACCCATCACCCAAGCAGTGTACACTGTACCCAATGTATAGCCTTTTGTCCCTTATCACCCACTTCTCCTCAAGTCCCAGAGTCCATTATGTCATTCTTACGCCTTTGCGTCCCCATAGCATAGCTTCCACTTATAAGTCAGAACATACGATGTTTGGTTTTCCATTCCTGATTTACATCAGTTAGAATAGTGATCTCCAACTCCATCAAGGTTGCTGCAAATACCATTATTTCATTCATTTTTATGGCTGAGTAATATTCCATGGTATATATATACACCACATTTTCTTTATCCACTATTGATTGATGGGCATTTGGGCTGGTTCCTTATTTTTGCAACTGTTAAACTGTGCTGCTATAAATGTGTGTGCAAGTGTCTTTTTCATAGAATGACTTCTTTTCGTCTGGGTAGATACTCACAAGTGGGATTGCTGGATCAAACGGAAGTTCTACTTTTAGTTCTTTAAGGAATTTCCATACTGTTTTTCATAGTAGTTATACTAGTTTACGTTTCTACAAGCAGTGTAAAAGTGTTCCCTTTTCACAACATCCATACCAACGTCTATAATTTTTTGATTTTTAAAATTATGGCCATTTTTGCAGGAGAAAGGTGGTATTGCATTGTGGTTTTGATTTGCATTTCCATGATAATTAGTGATGTTGTGCATTTCTTTATATGTTTGATGGCCATTAGTATATCTTCTTTTGAGAATTGTCTGTTCATGGCCTTAGCTCACTTTTTGATGTGTTTGTTTTTATCTTGTTGATTTGTTTGAGTTTCTTGTAGATTATGAATATTAGTCCTCTATTGGATACATAGTTTGTAGTTTGCGAATCTTTTCTCCCACTCTGTGCATTGACTGTTTACTATGATGATTATTTCTTTTGATTTGCAGAATGTTTTTACTTTAATTAA
This sequence comes from Homo sapiens, assembly GCF_000001405.40. NCBI lineage: Eukaryota > Metazoa > Chordata > Mammalia > Primates > Hominidae > Homo > Homo sapiens. The sequence continues at coordinate 189,747,966 of NC_000004.12, read as the reverse complement.
GTCTCATCGGTTTATCTTTGTTTTTATTGCATTTGCTTTTGAGTTCTTGATCATTAACTTTTTGCCTAGGCCAATGTCTAGAAGAGTTTTTCCAGTGTTATCTTCTAGAATTTTTATGGTTTCAGGTCTTAGATTTAAGTCTTTGATCCATTTTGAGTTGATTTTGTATAAGGTGAGAGATGAGGATTTAGTTTCATTCCTGTACATGTGGCTTGCCAATTATCCCAGCAGCATGTGTTAATAGGGGATCCTTTCTCCATTTTATGTTTTGTTTGCTTTGTGGAAGATCAGTTGATCATAAGTATTTGGCTTTATTTCTGAGTTCTCTATTCTGTTTTATTGGTCTATGTGCTTATTTTTTCATCAGTTCTATGCTGTTTTGGTAGCTATAGCCTTGTAGTATAGCTTGAAGTGAGAGAATGTGATGCCTCCAGATTCGTTCTTTTTGCTTATTTAATCTTGCTTTGGCCATATGGGCTCTTTTTTGGTTCCATATGAATTTTAGGATTGTTTTTTCTAGTTCTGTGAAAAATGATGATGGTATTTTGATGGGAATTGCATTGAATTTATAAATTGCTTTCAGCAGAATTATCCTTTTCACAATATTGATTCTACCCATCCATGAGCATAGGATGTGTTTCCATTTGTTTGTGTTGTCTGTGATTTCTTTCAGCAGTGTTTTGTAGTTTTCCTTGTAGAGATTTTTCACATTTTTGGTTGGGTATATTCTTAAGTATTTTACTTCTTTGTAGCTGTTGTAAAAGACATTGAATTCTTTATTTGATTCTAAGCTTGGTCATTGTTGGTGTATAGCAGTGCTACTGATTTGTGTACATTAATTTTGTACCTGAAACTTTACTGAATTCGTTTATTAGATCTATGAGCTTTTGGGATGAGTCTTTAGGGTTTTCTAAGTATACCGTCATGTCAGTGGCATTAGCAACAGTTTGACTTTCTCATTACTGATTTGGATGCCTTTTATTTACCTCTCTTGTCTAATTGCTCTGGCTAAGACTTTCAGTACTATGTTGAATACAAGTGGTGAAAGTGGGCATCCTTGTTTTGTTCCACTGATTAGAGAAAATTCTTTGAGCTTTTCCCATTCAGTATGATGTTGGCTGTGGATTTGTCATAAATGGCTTTTATTACCTTAAGGTATGTCCCTCTATGCTGTTTTGCTGAGGGTTTTAATCATAAAGGGATGCTGGATTTCATCAAATGCTTTTTCTGCATCTATTGAGGTGATCATATGACTTTTGATTTTACTTCTGTTTATGTGCTGTATCACATTTATTGACTTGCATATGTTAAACCATCCCTGTATCCCTGTTATCAAACACACTTGATCATGGTGGATTATCTTTTTGATATGCTGTTGAATTGAGTTAGATAGTATTTTGTGGAGGATTTTCACATCTATGTTCATCAGGGATATTGGTTTGTAGTTTTCTTTTTTTTGTTATATCTTTTCCTGGTTTTGGTATTAGGGTAATTCTGGCTTCATAGAATGATTTAGGGAGGATTCCCTCTTTCTCTATCTTTTGGAATAGTTTCAGTAGGATTGGTACCAATTCTTCTTTGAATGTCTGATAGAATCCAGCTGCTCCTGGACTTGTTGTTGCTGGCAGTTTTTTTATTGCTGTTTTAATCTTGCTACTTGTTATTGGTCTGTTCAGAGTTTCTATTTTTTTCTGGTTTAATCTAGGAGGATTATATATTTCCAATAATTTATCCAAATCTTTTAGGTTTTCTAGTTTGTGGACATAAAGGTGTTCATAGTAGCCTTGAATGATCTTTTGTATTTCTGTGGTATTAGTTTAACATCTCCCATTTCATTTCTAATTGAGTTTACTTGGATCTCCTCTCTTTTTCTCTTGATTAATCTTGCTAATAGTATCTCACTTTTGTTTATGCAAAAAGAACCAGCTTTTTGCTTCATTTATCTTTTGTATTGTTTTTGTTTGCTTGTTTCAATTTTATTTAGTTCTACTGTGATCCTGGTTATTTCTTTTTTTCTGCTGGATTTGGGTTTGGTCTGTTCTTGCTTCTCTAGTTCCTTGAGGTGTGACCTTGGGTTGTTTATTTGTGCTCTTTCAGACTCTTTGATGTAGGCATTCAATGCTATGAACTCTCCTCTTAGCACCGCTTTTGCTGTGTCCCAGAGATTTTGATTGGCTGTGTCACTATTTTTGTTCAGTTCAAATATATTTTTTAATTTCCATCTTTATTTTATTTAACCCAAGGATCATTCTGGAACAGATTATTTAGTTTCCATGTATTTGTATAGTTTTGATGGCTCCTTTGACAGTTAATTTGTAATTTTATTCCACTGTGGTCTGAGAGAGAGTATTTTACATAATTTCAATTTTCTTAAATTAATTGAGACATGGTTTTTTTTTTTTTTTTTTTAGATGGAGTCTCACTCTTGTTGCCCAGGCTGGAGTGCAGTGGCATGATCTCAGCTCACTGAAACTTCCTCCTCCCAGGTTCAAGTGATTCTTCTGCCTCACCTTCCCTAGTAGCTGGGACTACAGGTGCATGCCACTATGCCCAGCTAATTGTTTTTGTATTTTTAGTAGAGACAGGGTTTTGCCATGTTGGCCAGGCTGGTCTCAAACTCTTGACCTCAGGTGATATGTCTGCCTTGGCCTCCCAAAGTGCTGGGATTACAGGTGTGAGCCACCACACCCGGCCGAGACACATTTAGTGGCCTATCATATAGTCTATTTTGGAGAATGTTCCATGTGCTGAGGAGAAGAACGTATATTCAGCAGTTGTCGGATAGAATGTTCTATAAACATCTGTTAAGTCCATTTGTTCTAGGGTGTAGTTTTCCATTGTTTCTTTGTTGACCTGTATTTATGGCCTTTCTAGTGGTCAGTGGAGTACTGAAGTGCCCACTATTATAGTGTTGCTGTCTATCTAATTTCTTAGGTCTCATGATAATTGTTCTATAAATTTTGGAGCTCCAGTGTTAGGTGCATATGTATTTAGGACTGTGATTTTTCTCCTGTTGGACTAGTTTTTGATCACTATTTAACTGTTGCTGATTTAAAGTCTTTTCTGTCTGATACAAGAATGGATACTTCTACTCACTTTTGGTATCCATTTGTGTGGAATATCTTTTTCCACTTGGTTACCTTAGGTTCAGGTGAGGCCTTATGTGTTAGATGCACCTCTTAAAGACAGCAGATACTTGATTGGTGGATTTTTATTCATTCTGTCATTCTGTATCTTTTTTTTTTTTTTTGAGATGGAGTCTCGCTCGGTCACCAGGCTGGAGTGCAGTGGTCTGATCTTGGCTCACTGCAACCTCCACCTCCCGAGTTCAAGTGATTCTCCTGCCTCAGTGTCCCGAGTAGCTGGGACTAATGGCTTGTACCACCTCGCTTAGCTAATTTTTGTGTTTTTAGTAGAGACGGGGTTTCACAATGTTGGCCAGGATGGTCTAGATCTCTTGACCTCATGATCTGCCCACCTCTGCCTTCCAAAGTGCTGGGATTACAGGTGTAAGCCACCGTTCCCAGCCCTGTATCTCTTAAGTGAAGCATTTAATCCATTTATGTTCAACATTAATATTGAGATGTGAGGTACTGTTCTATTCATCATGCTAGTTGTAGTCTCAATATGTTGTTTTTTTAATTGTGTTATTGTTTTATAGATCCTGTGAGATTTATGCTTTAAAGAGGTTCTATTTTGGTGTATTTTAGGTTTCATTTCAAGATTTAAGACTCCTTTTAGCATTTTTTGTAGTGCTGGCTTGGTAGTAACAAATTCTCTCAACATTTGTTTGTTTGAAAAATACTTTATCTCTCCTTCATTTATGAAGCTTAGTTTCACTAGATATAAAATTCTTGACTGTTATTGTTTTGTTTAAGGAGGCTAAATATAGGACCCCATCCCTTCTGTCCTGTAGGGTTTCTGCTGAGGAATCTGTTGTCAATCTGATAGCTTTTTCTTTATAGGTTACCTGCTGCTTTTGCCTCACAGCTCTTAAGATTATTTCTTTCATCTTAACTTTAGATAACCTGATGACTATGTGCATAGGTGATGATCTTTTTGTGATGAATTTCCCAGGTGTTCTTTGAGCTTCTTGTATTTGGATGTCTAGATCTCTAGCAAGGCCAGGGAAGTTTTCCCTGAGTATTCCCTCAAATAAGTTTTCCAAACATTTAGATTTCTTTTCTTCCTCAGGAATGCCAATTATTCTTATGCTTGGTTATTTAACAAAACCCCAAATTTCTTGGAGTCTGTTAATTTTTTAAAATTCTTTTTTCTTTGTCTCTTTTTTTCAGTTAATTTGAAAGCCTTGTCATTGAGCTCTGAAGTTCTTTATTCTACTTGTTTTATTCTATTGTTGAAACTTTTCAGTGTATTTTATATTTTTCTAAGTGTGTCTTTCATTTCCAGAAATTGTGATTGTCTTTGCTTTATGATACCTGTTTCTCTGGAGACTTTTTCATCCATATACTGTATTGTTTTCAACATTTCTTGAAGTTGGTTTTCACCTTATTCTGGTGCCTCCTTGAATAGCTTAATAACCAACCTCCCAATTTTTTTTTTTTTTTTTTTTTTTTTTTTTTTTTTTTTTGGCAATTCAGAGATTTCTTCTTGGTTTGGATCCACAGCTGGAGAGCTAGTGTGATCTTTTGGCGGTACTATACAACTTGTTTTGTCATATTACCAGAATTACTTTTTTGGTTTCTTTTCATTTGGGTAGACTGTTTCAGTGGAAAGATCTGGAACTCAAGGGCTGCTATTCAGATTCTCTTGTCCCACGTGGTGGTGCTCTCTTGATGTGTGCCCTCCCCCTTCCTCTAGGGATAGGGCTTCTTGAGAGCCAGATTGCAGTGATTGCTAATGCCCTTCTGGGTCTAGACACCCAGTGGGGCTACTGGGCTCCAGGCCGGTGCTGCAGAATGTCTGCAAAAAGTCCTGTGCTGTGATTTGTCTTCAGGTCTCCCAATTCTGGATAACAGCCCCTGCTCTGGTGGAGGTGGCAGGGGAGTGAAGTGAACTCTGGGATTTTTTGGTTGTTGTAATGTGATGGTTTTCTCAAATGCTGGTTATGCTAGCAGTGAAATTTTCACATGGACAGACTCAGGACCTCTGGTTAGCCAGGATGTTGCAGACCGTGGAATTAGCTGTTGTTTTCTCCTTCTATGGAGCAGGGTTGTTCTCTTATGAGTTGCTGTAATGGCTTCAGTTGGTTGGCCTCCAGCCAGGAGGTGGCACTCTCAAGAGAGCACAAGCTACAGTTGTAGAAGGGGGCTACCATCTTGCCCTATGTTGGCCAGGATAAGTACTCGGGTTTCTCAGGTGATGGGCAGGGACATAGAGCTCCCAAGAGTTTATGTCTTTTGTCTTCAGCTACCAGGGCAGGTAGAGAAAAACCATCAGCTGAAGACAGGGCTAGGCATGTCTAAGCTCAGACTCTCCTTGGGCAGGGCTTGCTTCAGCCACTATGGGGGATTATGGGGTGGTTCTCAGGCCAATGGAGCCTTTGCTGCATCATTCTGGTTGCCAGGGAAGGTGGGGGAAAGCTGCCAGTGACAGGCCTCACCCAGCTCTCATGCAGCCAGTGGGGCCAGTCTCCTGTATGCCACCCAAACTGCACTGAGTTTATATCCTGGCAGCCAGTGAGCAGGGCTGAGATCTTGCCCCAGGCTACAAGCCATTCCACTGAGAAAGCAAGCAGGGCTCTCAGGCTTCACCTCTCTGCCTGCTCACACCTTTGGCTGCAAGCTTCTGTGCTCTATTGTGCTTCCCATTTGCCACCCACTCCCACAACCCACCATCTCCATTCTACTCAGGAAAGTTTGTGCTCAGTCAAAATTATTACAAAGTTCAGCTAGGAGCTTCTGTCACCCTGTGGCCCCTCTGCAATTTCACTGGCTCCCCTCCCTTCCCCAAGGACTGTGACATAAGGCCAGGAATGGCTTCCCTGGGCTTCGCTGGGGACTGGGAGTGCCTACAGGGCTCTTCCCACTGCTTCTTCTACTTTTATATTTTGCTCGGCTTCCTAAATCCATTTCAGCTCTAGGTAAGATTAAAGCCTTCTCCTGTGATCTGAATTTTCAGGTTCCCCAGTGGGGATGTGTGTTCAGAGGCAGACTTTTTCGCCTCTCACACTTTGGGAACTCACAGTTTTTCAGCTGTCTTGCAGCATTTGCAGTGGCAAGCCACTTCTTTCAAAGGGTCTGTGAATTCTTTCAGTCTCCCTAGTATGTCCCTACACTGGTTCTTGGAACAGAAGTTCACAATGTGAATCTCCAGACGCTGATCTGTTTGTCTAAATGGGAGCTGCACGTTAGTCCTGTCTCCTCTCTGGTGTTTTTTCTCTCCTACCTGAAAGGTACAGCGTTTCAGTGTGGGATGATGAAAAGTGCTGGAGTGGATATTGGTGATGGCTGCACAACAATGGGAATGAATTTAATGCCACTGAGTTGTACATTTGAAAATCATTAAAATGGCACATTTTAGTCATGTATATCTTACCACAATAAAACATCAGTTAAAAGAATTTTATTTATAGACCAAATATGTCTGTGCTCTATTTATAACTCCTAGTCTGTTAGGAATCACCCCAAGTACATGTTCCTAGGATTAATGCTTTCTAAAATAATCCTGTGGTCTGGTACATATTCTCAAGGAAGGGATTCCTGTTGAACTCAGCTTGAGGAATTCTTTCCTGTCTACTGCTCAGTGTCTGTTGACTGGAATGCTGGAGAAGATGCAGCACAAATTGGCCCCTGTGGTGCTCACATGATTTCCTTGTGCTTTCCTAGGGTGGGATGCAGCGTGGGAGTGCCGGGGTGTGGAGTGCAGCGTGGGGGTGCCGGGGTGTGGGATGCAGCGTGTGAGAGGCGGGGTGTGGAGTGCAGCGTGGGGGTGCCGGGGTGTGGAGTGCGGCGTGTGAGTGCCGGGGTGTGGAGTGCAGCGTGGGGGTGCCGGGGTGTGGGATGCAGCGTGGGGGTGCCGGGGTGTGGAGTGCAGCTGGTGTTTCACGTTGCTGAACTAAAGCCTTGGTTGCACTCAGCATTCAGATGCTGGGGACACTGTGGTGACCTGACACAAGGTAGCATAGAGATGGCATTGCCCTCAGCCTGCTAGCAACAGGAGGGTCGGGGTCCATCCTCAGCATGTGCAGGCTGCCCCTCGTCCGCAGCGGGAATCAAACTGACGCTGCATGTCTCTTAACAGTTTCAGGTTTTGCCTTGTCCCATGTTTGGATGTGATGATTTGGGTTGGCTCTGGCCACCTGCAATACCCTGAGTTATTAGAAAATGTAAGGAGCTATTCGTCATCCCTGTTTCCTGTGTCCTTAACCTTTCTCTGTTTTTAGTTTCTCAGCATTCAAGGGCTGAGCCAGTGCTCTTTAGTGAAGGACGTCTTTTTGTGGATATGAACAATTTCTCCCCACTTCTCTTTCCCATCTTGTCTCTAACGTGGAGGGAAGGGAGTGATGTTTGTCCACAGCACCTTCGGCAACTATCATGACATGTTTGCGATCGTCACCGTCTTGTGCTAGACGCATAGTCATGATGCATATTTGGCACATTTGGTGCTCAATAAATGACCTCACACAGACACACAGCAACATGTGAAAAGCCAGTAGGAGGAAGATCGACTGCCTCATAAAGGTCAGCAAACGTTTTCTGTAAAGGGACAGAGAGTAAATATTTTTGGCTCTGTGGCCATATGGTCTCTGTCACAAATACTCAACTCTGCCAGTTAGAAAGCAGCCATGGACAAGAGGCAGGTGAATGGGCATGGCTGTTTCAATCATCTTTATAAAAAAAAAAAAAATGTGGGCCAAACTGGCCTTCAACCTGTAGCTTTCCAGCCCAGTATAACCTTTTCTTTAGCTATTCACTTTTGTTTAGTCTTAGAGTTAATGACTATGTCGAAAAAGTCTTTGAGACCAGGAATAAAATTTAAGGAAAAATATGCTAATCACCTTATTTCCAAATTATAGGTAAAATAAGTACAAATAATAGCAGATTACAATGGGTCTAGTTTAGTGAAAGGCTAGAGGACATATAATAGAGGCACATGTAAAAATTATAGATAATAGTGTCAACTTTCATAACTTAAAGTGAAAAATTTCTTTTACTATGTTTACTTTGCAGACAGAAAAATAACATTAGTAAGGAATAATTGCTATTTCTTTTTGGTTATTTTTCTCTCATTCATATTAACTTTTCCTAAATTTCAAAACCGTTAGGCTCAATATCTCATAATCTGTGTGAGAAGAATATTTTTGTATCATCTGCTCTGAAAAACTAAACTGATTATATTCTCTACTAAACACCTGCTCATATCCTGTTGATGCCTCTAAGCAGAGGAAGAAATGGTTGCTCTAAACAGGTGGCAAAGCCCTGATTTTGCACACATAAAGATTTGCTTGCTTCCCACATGATGGGCATCTTTCCACTCATGGTAAGGCATCATTGTCTTCTTAGTTTATATTCACTGATTCAGTATTTCCTGAGTACCTGCTATGAGCCAAGCACTGCTCATAAGTTTTCTGTGCTTCAGCAAATCAGTGAACAAAAGAGACAAAGATCTCCATCCTCAAGGTGCTTGTTTTTCACAGGGAGGGGCAGGTAGTCAACAATAAACACAATAAAGTGGGCAGTACAGAGTGGTAAAAGTGAACAGAATTATGGAGAACAGTAGGACAGAGTGATGAGAGTGCAGAGTGCTGTGCTGTGTGTGTCTGGGTGAGGGAGGTTTCAGGGTTAAGCGGGGTGATCAGAGCAGTGGGTAGACCCCCTGAAAAGAAGAAGCTTGAGCCAAAATTTGAAAAAGATAAAGAAATAGATCATGGCTATCTGAGAGAAGAGACTTCCAAATGGAGAGCAGATAGAGCAAGGATCATGAGACAGGTGCTTGCCTCTTGCATCCATGGATGAGCATGGAGTCTGGCATGGCTGCAGCAGTGAGGGAGGGTGGAGCTTTCAGAGGGGAGGTTGGACTGGTATTGGGTCCAGACCACGGATGGCCTCAGAGCCCACCAGCTCAGAAGTGGAAAGCGATTGCAGGGTGCTGGGCAGAAGTGTGTCTAAAAGGAAGTCTCAAAAGAATGCTTCTGACTGCTGTGCTCAGAGTAGACTGCAGGGGTCAGGGGTAGAAACAGTGGAGTCTGTGAGAGGCTTGTGCAACCTCCCAGTGAAAGATGATGGTGACTCCAACCAGGTTGTAGCATTGGAGGTGGTGAGAAAAGCCAGATTTGGGTAGATCTTGAAAGTAGGACAATCACATTTTCTGAGGGATTGGAGGCAGGGCGTGAGAGAAAGAATGATGCTCAGGATGATGCTCAGGTTTTTGGCCTGTTATATGTTAATAGAAATCCTCTCTATACAGAGATTTAAAAAGAAAATGCTGTTAAAGTGTTATCCAATAACAACTACCCTTATATTTGTATTGTAACTTTATACTGTTAGATGAAAATGCCAACAGAATGTCTCTTCTGGTCTGAGAAGAATAGCCACATATAAAACCTGTCTGCAGCTTACTGTTCTCTAGCAGAGGTTGTGCTTTTATGGATAGCTCACTGGCCTGCTTCCTAGCAGAGGCTCCTAGCTGGAGGGAGGACTCTAACTCTCATGGCATGTGCTGCTTAGTCTTGAGACTAAGAATAAGGGTTTGGAGTATAATAATTAGTTCTTGGTTCTGTTCTGCTTGGAAAAAAACCTCAGAAAGCCTCTTGGTGCCCACAATGATGAAAATAGTCATTACTAATTGTATTCGTGGGCACCCAAGGCATAAACATGTACAAGGCACTTAATAATAACACCATCATCACATCGACTTTTATGATTCTTGGGCTTACCCTGGGCCACACACTTTGTTGGGAGCTCCACACATTGTCTTTCAACCCCTCGCGGCACCTTGAAAGCTATAATCCTTTTGTAACAGATGAAGTGTCTGAAATGCAGAAAGGTTACTGGACTTGTTTAAGTCCAAATAGATACTGCAGAGTGGGGCTGGGGCTCCCTTGACTCCAGACTTGCCCATCTCCAATGCCAGCATCCTTCTGATTTTCCTGCCTCCAAAACTCAGGGATTTAGATGAATGATGTATTCATAACATGCTAACTCAACAAACACATTGATTTAGTGTTTTCTACATGTTAGAAACTGACTTAGCTTGACATTGGAGGATAAAAGATTGATTGATTGGTTGATCAAATGGTTTTTGAATGCTTATTATATGCCAGAGGTGTGCAATACTATAGAAAGATAAAGATGAATGGTCCTTTGTCTTAAGAAGGAACCACCGTTTCTTGGATGTCCTGGATGGTGGTGTTTAAATACTATAGGACAAGAAGCAGCAGAAACCTAAATGGGAAGCCTTCTGTTTGAAAACCCTTCCTTATTTAGGCATTTTAAAAATGTATTAATCTAAGAAATTTGGTACTTTTTGAATTGGAAAGTGGACAATCATATTTCAAGAATGGTTTGAGGCAGGCTTAGCTTAGGTACAAGTTATTATAATTATTATAATTTGTACGTAAGCTAAGTGTATTAGTCTGTTCTCGTGCTGCTAATAAAGACATACCTGGGACTGGGTAATTTACAAAGGAAGGAGGTTTAATTGGCTCACAGTTCCACATGGCTGGGGAGGCCTCACAATCATGGCAGAAAGTGAAGAGGAAGAAGGACACATCTTACATGGCAGCAGGCAACAGAGAGCTTGTGCAGGGAAATTCCCCTCTATAAAACCAACAGATCTCATGAGACTTATTCACTACCACGGGAACAGTATGGGAGGAAACGGCCTCCATGATTCAATTATCTCCACCTGGCCCCGCCAGGTGGCTAATGTGCAGGGATTATTACAATTCAAGGTGAGAATTGGGTGGGAACACAGCCAAACCATATCACTAAGCCTACCTCAAACCATTTGTAAAATATTCTTGAAATATAATTAGTTTTCTAATGTACTCTCATTCAAGTTCTTGTTTGCCTCTGAAACTCACCAGTAGATATGTAAGAAATAGTATTCAAATCACGTGAGGCTCTGACCATATCATTTCAAAACATGCTCATCTCTACTTGAGAACATGACTCCAGCGCCATCTCTTCTGAGATCCTCCTTGCTGATTTTACTTAAATTAGACGCCTTCGCATACCTGCCACATCACTTTACACTGTTAGATTTTTACATAGCTTTGTCATTGCCAGAAATTATCACCTACCTGTCTGTTCATTTATTGCTTTGTTTTGACAAAGTGTTTGATTTATGCAATATAACATTTAAGTGAAAAGAGACTCAATGTTCATCAATAGAGTTTAAAATTTCCAATCTATATGACATTATCAATAGCTTTTTTATATTAAAATACATTTTATATTAAACATACTTGTATTCACGGATGACCCAAATTGTTGGAACTAAAATTTACATTTATATAAACCCATCATTGATCTAAATACAATATGGATATGAATTTATATGTACTTTAATGTCATCAATATTAATGTGAATTCCAAATAAAAATCCATAAAATTGTTAAACATGGAGGAGACAGATATAAAGGTCTAGGGGAACAGCATTTCAGATGGAGGAACAGGCAAGGAGAGGAGCTTGGAGTGTGGTGAGGAACAGGCTTGGAGAGGAGCTTGGAGTGTGGTGAGGAACAGGCAGGAGAGAAGCTTGGAGTGTGGTGAGGAACAGGCAAGGAGAGGAGCTTGGAGTGTGGTGAGGAACAGGCTTGGAGAGAAGCTTGGAGTGTGGTGAGGAACAGGCTTGGAGAGAAGCTTGGAGTGTGGTGAGGAACAGGCTTGGAGAGAAGCTTGGAGTGTGGTGAGGAACAGGCTTGGAGAGAAGCTTGGAGTGTGGTGAGGAACAGGCTTGGAGAGAAGCTTGGAGTGTGGTGAGGAACAGGCTTGGAGAGAAGCTTGGAGTGTGGTGAGGAACAGGCAAGGAGGGAAGCTTGGAGTGTGGTGAGGAACAGGCAAGGAGGGAAGCTTGGAGTGTGGTGAGGAACAGGCAAGGAGAGGAGCTTGGAGTGTGGTGAGGAACAGGCAAGGAGAGGAGCTTGGAGTGTGGTGAGGAACAGGCAGGAGAGAAGCTTGGAGTGTGGTGAGGAACAGGCTTGGAGAGAAGCTTGGAGTGTGGTGAGGAACAGGCAAGGAGAGGAGCTTGGAGTGTGGTGAGGAACAGGCAAGGAGAGGAGCTTGGAGTGTGGTGAGGAACAGGCTTGGAGAGAAGCTTGGAGTGTGGTGAGGAACAGGCAGGAGAGAAGCTTGGAGTGTGGTGAGGAACAGGCAGGAGAGAAACTTGGAGTGTGGTGAGGAACAGGGAGGAGAGAAGCTTGGAGTGTGGTGAGGAACAGGCTTGGAGAGGAGCTTGGAGTGTGGTGAGGAACAGGCAGGAGAGAAGCTTGGAGTGTGGTGAGGAACAGGCAGGAGAGAAGCTTGGAGTGTGGTGAGGAACAGGCAGGAGAGAAGCTTGGAGTGTGGTGAGGAACAGGCAGGAGAGAAGCTTGGAGTGTGGTGAGGAACAGGCAGGAGAGAAGCTTGGAGTGTGGTGAGGAACAGGCAAGGAGAGAAGCTTGGAGTGTGGTGAGGAACAGGCAAGGAGAGGAGCTTGGAGTGTGGCGAGGAACAGGCAAGGAGAGAAGCTTGGAGTGTGGTGAGGAACAGGCAAGGAGAGGAGCTTGGAGTGTGGTGAGGAACAGGCAAGGAGAGAAGCTTGGAGTGTGGTGAGGAACAGGCTTGGAGAGAAGCTTGGAGTGTGGTGAGGAACAGGCAAAGAGAAGAGCTTGGAGTGTGGTGAGGAATAAAGAGCATTTGAAATACTCACAGAAGGTCAATGTGACGCAGATGCGGTAAGCCAGGCAGAGTGTGGCAGGAGATAAAAATAGAAAGATAAACAAGAGCCAGATAATACAGGGCTCTGTGGAACATAGTAAGGAGTTTGAATTTTATCCAAGAGGAATGGGAAGCTACTGGAAGGCTTAACCAAAGAATGACATGCTTTTATTTATACCTAAAATAGATTATTGTGTTTCCTCTGTGGAAAAGGGATTATAAGTGGGCAAGAACAGAAACAGTTAAGAAGTCATTACAGTACTTGAGGAAATGGTTCATGAGTTGGACTGGGTGGTGCAATGGTGTGAGAGAGAAGAGGGCAGATTCAGCTGGTGAGCTGATTGTGGGAAGTGAGGGGGAAAGAATGGGACTTCTAGACTTTTGGCTGAAGCAACTGGGTGGATAGTTCTATTTTCTTGGATTGAATGTTTTGGATGTGTTAAGTTTCAGAGGCTTATTAGGAATCTATGGCTAGTCAGGACTAGAAAATATAAATTTGGAAGTCATACACTTAGGGATGATAGTATTTGAAAGCGTGACCCAACTTAGCTTAAGTGGAGATAGGGAGGATAGATAGAGAAGGGAGAAGGCCCAGGACAAACATCAGGGTTTAGAAGTCTGGCAGAGAAGCCAAAGCCCTCAGAGAAGACCGAGGAGTAGCCAGAGAAGCAAGGGGATTGACTGGAGAAGGTGGCAGGGAAGCTGATAGAAGGAAATGCCTCAACAAGCATTCTCAGGTCTGCCGGATGCTGCTGAAAGAAAACGAATCACCATATTTGGCAGAAAGAAAGAAAATGAATCACCATATTCGGAAACATGAAGGCCACTGGTGGCGATGATAAAAGGAGCTTTATGGGAGTGGTGGGGAAGGACACTGACAAGAATGGAAGGAAGAGAATGAAATTCAAGGGAGTGGAAATGAGGAAAAGAGCTAGAAAGACACTGGCTCAGGGCAGGGTTTCAGAGGGAAGGATATCTTGGAGTTGGTTAGTGTGTTGGTGAGAATTCTCTTGTGTGGATGACATTATGATGGTGCAGAGGAGAGAGCGGAAAACAGCTGAAGCAAAGCCTGTGCACCTTGAGAGCTGGTGAGGTCCCGAGTGCTGGGGGAGGTGTTGCCTTGAGACAGGAATGGGAACACCTTGACGTTGCTTCCATCCTCCTGGAAGGTTGGAGTTGGTGGAGGGGAGATGGAGTTCCTCTATCTCTTCTCGATAGAGAAGGAAGAAGAAGAAATATTGGAGGCTTCAGGAGCATAAAGAAAGTGTGAAATACTTGGATGTCTTGAATACTGGAGTTTTGTTTACAAGGGAAGTGTAGCACAACCTCTGGACGGTGATAAGTATGTGTTTCAGATTTGTGACCTTGAGTTTAGAGTGTGGACAGTCACTATGGCTTTGTGATTTTCTTCAGCTGCTGGCTGATGGTGCAGTGAAATAGAATTGTAAATGGGACCTCAAGCTCTCCGGAGGAAATCGGCTCTCGGTGACTAATGGAGACACCCAAATTTAGATAACAGATTCAAGTGGCCATAAGGGGCAGTGAGAGGAGAACCATCTCTTCACAAACATCGTACTTCATGTGCTTTCTGTGACCAGAGCCAAGAAAAACAGTGGCTAGACTCCTCATCTCCACCCCATTGGCCATTTTAAAAGAAAACACCTGACAAAGACACTTTTAATGTTGGGATGGGAAGCCACCCAGTCAAGGCTTGGCTATCTCAACCAATAAGAACTGAACACACGTGAATCCTACATTTGCATAAACAGACGTGACAGAGAACCTGGGAGAAAACTTTTCCTATTTGAGCCATAAACCCTTCCTTTGTTCTTCGGTGCACACACTTTCATTTGTGCTTCTGAAGAAATGTCTGCGGGAGTTGTTTTTTTTTTTTTTTTTTTTTTTTAACTGTTTTATAGACAACAAAGCTCTTCCTTTTTCCTCTGCAGATTTCATGATCTTTTATTAACAGCGCTGAGTAGGTGAATAGTTGGTCTGAATAGGTTATTGCTTTGCTGTGTGAATTCAATGGAAACAAAGTTTGTGGTTATAGTTTATCAAATTGAATAACGTGATTATAATGATGGGCCCTGGACCCCAAAGTGGGAAAGTTCAAAGTAAGACCAGGAGGGGATGATAGATAATAAAAACATTTTAAGGTCAATGGATTTGTGGTTTACAATGTTGAAAATGGTTGGAGTAGGCAGCACAGAGTAAGTGAGCTGGAAAGATAAGGCTTAGTAGGAGAATGAGATGTTAACATCAGTCTTTTTAATATTATTATTATTATTTTGAGACAGAGTCTCACTCTGTCATCCAGGCTGGAGTGCAGGGACACAATCTCAGCTCACTGCAACCTCTGCTTCCCAGGCTCAAGCAATTCTCCTACCTCAGCCTCCCGAGTAGCTGGGACCACAGGCACCTGCCACCACGCCTGGGTAATTTTTTGTATTTCGGGTACAGATGGGGTTTTGCCATGTTGCCCAGGCTGGTCTCTGACTCCTGAGCTCAGACAATCCACCCACCCTAGGGGCTTGGATTACAGTGTGAGCCACTGCACCCAGCCAGTATCAGTCTTATGGGGTGGGGCATTTATTGTTATATGGCAAGGGCTAAGGTGTGGTCGTGGGGCTGGGTCTCATGGGATGGTGGAGGAAAGAGTGTCGTGGGAGAGAAAGCTAAGGATCTGAGAGCTCACTGCTCAGTGGATTATCTACGCGCAAGCTGAAGTCACTGAAAATGGTAACAAGGGTAGGTAGAGATGAAGATGGAGCCAGCCGCTGAAGTCCGTGGTGGATGAAGGAAAGAACGTGGGGGGTCTGAAGATGGCAGGGAAACGCAGGTGGTCTAGTCAGATGGCGTGTGCTCCAAAGGAGCTGGAGGCTTTTGGAGGAGAAAGGAGGAGATACCGTGTGAATACAGCAGTGGGAGTAAGGGCGTGCTTGCCCCACCTGCAGGCCATGGCTTATGTGCAATATGGGAGGAAAAACATTCCCGTGGAGAAGGAGGCTGGGAAAGTCATGCTCGCTGATAGCTAGGGGTGAAGAGAATTTTTAAAGAGGAACTACAGTATGCAAGAGAGGATTTAGGGAGCTGATATATACGAGCAGGATGCAGAGGAAGAGTTTGGGAAAATGGGATAGGGTGAGAAATTATAGAATGCACAGGAAGTGATGGAGAGGAGTTAGTAAATGGTCAAATGACTTTGAAAATCCAATCATTTCAAAGCACATAGCCTTCTGTGCTAAGGAGAAACACACAACTGCTTTGCTAAGGCAGGCATGGCAACATTAACTGTCCTCTGCTGCCCCTTCCCTCTGTCTGTCTTAAACTCAGAAGCCCCATTCTCCTGAGCTTTGGTTGGGCATATGGCTGCCTGCTGGAGACTGCATATCCCAGCTTCCCCAGTGAAAAAGCTGGACCATGTATCTAAGTCCCCCAGCAGTGAAAGGCCCTTAAAAGGAGGGATTTGGGGCTCGGTTTCTCTTCTCATAGGATTAAGCATGGGTGTGGTGGGGAGTCAGTATCGACGGCATGGATGATTAGAACATCCCGAGGAAAGCCAGTGCAATGTCAAGGGTATCAGAGCCCCAGATGACTTCATGCAGCGGAGCTGCTTACCTGCCCTGAGCCGCCTGCCTGCTTCTCGAAAGTGTGAAAGATCAATCGGGTCTACTTCGTTAGGCCCTAAACACTACATCGCATGTCCAGGTTCTGGCTTTGAACGTATTTGAACATATGCTAATAGCCAGTCTCATTATGTCACTTTATAGAATCACATAAATCACCCTTTCGGACCCTAGAATATTCCTGGTCGAGGTCAGGACACATTTGAAAATGTGGGAAAGGCTGTATAATAGCCTTCAGGTTTTCATGACTTGTTTACTACCTGAGGGATTAGTCAACAAATTTAGTAATCAATCCACAGATATTTGAATCAACAAAAAGGACTGACAAGTGTCATGTAATTTTCCTCATGTTTTTGAGGGTTACGTGGCAGGTGCTGTTTGTATCATGTCCTCTTCAGCTCCTTTTTAGGGGAACAGTATGCCAGCATTTCTGCGTTTTGGGGTGAGGCCTGCTGTCCTCACCCTGGTGCGAGCACATGAAGTAAACGGGACACCTAACAGTGTGGTTTTCCTCTCTGTGCCAGCGGCTCGGATTCCCTCCCTCACCTGCAGGCTGAGCAGGTCGGCTTGTCCGTCATTCTGCCTTTTAAGTGAATCAGAGGGCAAAAGTTCCCTTTCCCTGGCACAGTTGAGCCATCTCTTTTGATTCAGTTGTGGAAGTCTCCAGCCTCAGTGAGGGCTGTAAAAGGCAATCATGCAAAGTGTCTCGTTCTTTAAGGGAATGGTATTCGTCAGATTTCTGACTTTTTGGAGATGCTGTTGGTGGAGAAACACTTTCTGATGCTTCAAATGCAACATCTTTTATGCAGTTCAGTAAGAAAAAATCTTCCTCAATCCTCATTTTTACAAACATGTCCATTTGATTTGTTACTTTGCATGGTTACATTATTTTTGTGTAATAATTACTGTGGCTTTTAATAACAAGGTTAATTATCACTAGCAACTTAATGTATTCCACCAGGAGCACTTTTTTTTTTACCCTGTCTTCCTGTTATGTGGTAGTTTTTCTGTTTCTTCCAGTAGAAGCTTCAGTGAGGCTGCATGCATGCACAATAAAGGGTTGTACGAGCAGTGTTTTGGGCAAGACAGGCCTGGAGAGCTTTGTCCCATGCCAGTGCCATGGGGCCCAGTGAAAGCCTGGCCTGGGTATTAATTAAGGACAGAGACACGGAGCACCATCCAAGGGGAGAGAACAAATCTGTTCCTTCACAGCAGATCCTATTTGCAAGTGCCACTCTCTCTGCCTGAAATTCTCCTCTCCCAACTTTCCATCAGTTTCTTGAGAGTTTTCTTTTTTTTTTTTTTAAAAAAAAACAACTTTGTTGAGATATAATTCACATTCCATACAACTCACCCACTTCAACTGTATGACTCAATGGTTTTCAATATATTCACAAGTAGGTACAAACATCACCACAGTCAATTTTAGAACATTTTTATCACCTCAAAAAGAAACCTAGAACTCTTTCCAAATGGCCCCATCTTCTCACCCCCATGGCTAAGAAACCATTTACCTCCTTTCTGTCTGTGTGGACCCCTCCATTCTGGATTTTCATATGAACGGAATCATAGAGTATGTGGTCTTTTGTGACTGACGTCTTTCACCTACCACGATGTTATTAAGGTTCAAGCATGTTGTAGGATGTATTAGTACTTCATTATCTTTTATGGCTGAATGAGGTTTCATTATGCAGATAGACCTTATTTTGCTTATCCATTTAGCTATTGAAAATCTGGCTTTTGTGAACAATGCTGCTGTGAACATGGACATGAAAATGCCTCTTCAAGATCCTACTTTCAATTATTTGGAACATATGGGTAAGTTGTCTTTAGTGGCCTCATTAAAAAAGTAAAAAGCAAACAGGTGGAATTAATTTTAATAATACGTTTTACTTACTTCGATATATCCAAATCTCACGTCAACAAATCATCAATTAAACACGTAATAAGAGAGTTTGCATTCTTTTCCACTCTAAATCTGTGAAATCCAGGACATAGTTTGCACTTGCAGCTGACCTCAGTTGGAACCAGCCCATTTCACGTGGCCAATACCCACAGGTGCCTAGTGGCTACTGTGTTGAACAGGACCCTCTAATCCTTGAGGTGCTGGGATTCAGGAGTAGCTGACTGTGTGGTGATAGCTGCTGCTGAACTTCAGGTTGCATCCTCTTTCTCTCTCTCTCTCACTCCTCGAGAAACATACAGCAAAAGCTCTTGGCAAAGCTTCCAACCTCATTGTCAGACCCATCTGATTTTATTCAGTGAGAAGGATTATGTGATCTGGCTTTTGATATGATGAGCTAAGTTCGAGTTGTATTTCTTTCAAGAGAATTTTGAGTCTGAAATACAAAAAGTGTCCCAGAAATACACCTATTCTCCCTTGTGCTGAGTCACTTTGGACAATTTAACCTCAAATCATGACAGGGAATGCTTGATACTTTGCTGTTCAACATTTTGTCAGCTCTAATGAGTGTTCAATTTATAACTAATGACAATGCATCTTATAGGGTGGGCCAGCCCATATGGGTGGGGGTCGATGTGAGAGGGTTGTCGTTATAATTTCAGCACGTACTTTAACAGTGGCAGTTGTACATTTTGCATAAAGGCCTGAAGTCTTGTGACATCAAGAATATATGAGGAAAAGAAAAGCGTCTTCCAATACAAATAATGTAATATGATAGTTATTCACATAATATTGCCCCTTTTCACTTGCGTTGTTTATTTAAAACCGAGTTAGGGAGGGTGTGACAAAATAACAGATGCTCCCATGAATGCTCATCTCTTTAAATCTGGCCTCAGCTGATGTCAGTCAGAGTCTACTAGACTAATGGGGCTGCTGCAAATCTCAGCTTTGCCGCCGGCTTGGGCACGTTTCCTCAGCGTCTCTGGCTCCCCGTATTCTTGTCTTCAACACAATGGGTGGAAGTGTGGTTCAGTGTCTAAGAAAGTCTCCAGCACAGTGTGGGATGGGGACAGGCTCCTGTTTTCCTTTTCTTCTCAGAAGCCCAAGAGCTGGTGCACCATCTTGTTCGTCTCGACTCACAGGTACAGGTTTGGGATCACAGTGTGCATTATTAGGGACAGAAAGAGAGTGCCACTGAGATAAAGGCAGGAAGAGAGTACCACTGAGATACAGGCAGAAGGCTACCAAGGACATCTTTATATTCTTTTGCAGACCACTGGGGTCACTTGAATTTAGAATTTACCAGGTGCAATTTTGCAAACTATCTTAATTATCTTGACATTATAAAAGCCTGTAATCTTGTACTTCTGACATCTGAGTAATTAGGGCTTTGAACACCAGTGCCTTCTAGGTCACAGGCTTGCATTTTTTCCACTGCAGATTGGCTGTCAGCCATTACCACCTTTCTGCTCCAATGGAAACCTTTCTAAATGAGAGCGGGATTGGACAGGATGGCTTTGATTTGAATCTCTGTAAAAACAACTTTCATGTATTGAGCTGCATTGAATTTTTATTTGCGCACTGAACTTTATTTTATATTTTAAAAAGACAAATAACAAGCAATTATATTTGGCAGATAAAAAGAGACATATGAGCATGATAAATTTGGCTGTGGATCTCTCTGACCTAATCTAATAATCATTTTGGTTTCAAAAGCCGAATGATTTCTCAGAGCAGCTTGTTACTTGCTTATACAGCTCAGTTAAGAAGAACACAAATAGTTCCCCAGGCACACCCAAGATACAGCAACATTATAAAACACTGCTTATTAATTGCTTTTTAGGTTAAGAATTATGGTAAGGTAAGATTTTGATTTTTGAGAGACATTAAAGTAAAATGATATTTACCCTTCACATGCTAATTTACCCTTGTAAGTTATGCGACATTTTTATCCATTCTGTAAGTTGTGTGAAGCTTTTGAAACATCTTTAGATAGAAGTTATTTCTTTTCAGTCTATTTTTCTAAGAACCTTTGCTGGCAAATAAGAAAGTTCATTTACCAGGGGATATGTATAAGTATTGAATGTTAAATATTTGTTGGGGGAAGATGAAAATGACATTAACGCATCAATTAACAGTTAGTGCAAATATTTTTAACACATTGTTAGGCCCTACTTCTGGTTTTCAAAATTATAACACCATTACGTCATAGGAATAAAATTCTCCTTATAAAATATTTATATACATATAGTACATATTATAGGGTGTGATATATATATAGTGTATATTATCTGTTATTTTATATATAAATACACAGTATTTTACAGGACTTGTTTATTCCAGAAGAAAGCAATTTTGTTAGAATTTTATATAAATCTACTTTTTGACTAAAATTTACTTTAAAGAAATGATACAATCCTTTGGGCAAACTATTGAACAAACAAAAATTCCCTTTTCACTTTCCATTGAGATGATTTAGTTGAAAACATTCAGTTGAAAAAATCAATGTACATATTTTAGAATACTTTTTTTAGACCAAGCTGAGGATTTGGGGTCTGTTCTTTACTGTGGGGGAGGGAATGAAGCCTCAAAAATGATCTTGTGCAATCGGAAAAGTTGTTAGAAGCCTGTGTCCGTGAGAATGAGAAGCAGGTAACCATACTTGGTGAGGATGCTCAACCAGCTACCATTGCGCTCCGGGGAGCATGTGACCAGTGTTACTGCGGCAGACCAGAGCCTGGGTCACCCCCGGTATACCGACTGTGAGTCAACCACTCCCTTAAAAAATGGAAGCAGTGCATCAGAGTCATGCAAAATATCTGCTACACCTGCCTGACGGGTCACTGATGGGCCATGCTCACCCTGCAGTGAGTTCCCTTAGAGGCGGGTTATGACGAGGGTCCCATCCCTGCCTCCTACTGCTGCTTTAATGCTGCTGGCCTGCCCACTCACCATCACCCAGAATAGCCTAAGATCCCACCCTGGGCACTAAGCTCTGTTTCTCTGTCTTTCACAGATTTCCCTCCCATGTATCGTCATGGTCCAGTGTGTCTTATTTCACTTCCCTGGACCTTCACTGCCTGGGTTAGGATCAGTGCAGTGTCAGAAATACAGACTTTAGGTCGCAGCTCCTACTCGGGTAAGTTACTTAGCCTCTCTGTCTCAGCTCTTTCGTCTCCAAAACACGTAAATTTATTACATTGACTCATTAAAACCCCAAGCCTTGAGAGGAAGGTTGATAGTACATGGATCTTTTCATTTGCAAGGATGGGGAAGAAAGGAAAAAGAGAGAATTTAAAGGTAATAGAATAAAGTTGGAGAACTTGTTCAAATGACAATTACATTGTCTGCTTTTAAATCATGTATTTTATTTATTTGTTTTGCCATATTTTGTTATTTAGTACCAACTAATTGCCAGACACTGTACTGGGCTCTCGGTGTACAAAAGTACAGAGAACCCAGATCCAGGGCCTTCCATTTGCATGGAGAGGAGGTTGTAATAGACATATGAACACACAGGTATAGCAAGTGTAGAAACTGAAGTGTGACAAGATATTTGTCAGGCAAGAGGAAGGCACTGACGGTGGCCCAGAATTCTGTCACAGAGGAGGAGACATTTGTCTTGAATTTCGAAAGGTGGAAAAGGGTTAATCAGCATTAGCGGGGAGGAATCTGGGCAGAAAAGGAAAGATTAGAGTGTGCTCAGCCTCTTTGGGAATTGATAAGTGGTTTGCACAACCGAAAAGCAAGGTGTGAGGGGAGGACCTATGAGATTCAATGGTGGGGCATGTAGACAAGGGTCCTAGGAGCCAGACAAAGGCATTTAGAGTTCACACTTCAGGAATCAATGACCACGACAATGATGTGACGAGGTCACAGAAACCAGCAGAGAACATAGTTTTTTTAAAAAAGTTGCCTGAATATAGCGGCTCCTGCCTGTAAGCTTAGCAATTTGGGAGGCCAAGGATGGAGGATAGCTTGAGTCCAGGAGTTCAAGACCAGCCTGAGCAACATAGCAAAATCCCATCTCTACACAAAATTTAAAAAATTAGTCCAGTGTGGTTGCATGTGGCTGTAGTTCCAGCTGCTCAGGAGGCTGAGGCAAGAGGATCGCTTGAGCCTGAGAGATTGAGACTGCAGTGAGCCATGATTGCACCACCCCATCCCTGCCTGGGCAACAGAGTGAGACTGTCTCAGAACAAAAAATATTATTAACATTTGTTTTGATTGACAAATCATAACTGTATACATTTGTGGGGTACAATGTGATATTTTGATAATTGTATACAAGATGAAATAATTAGATCAAGCTAACATATTCATCGCCTTGCTTACCTGTTCTCTTTCATGGTGAGACAATTGAAATTTATGCTCTCAGTTATTCTGAAATATATGACACATCATTACTGACTACAGTACCTTGCTATGCAATGGATCACCAACCCTCTGTCTATCTGAAACTTTGTTCTCTTTGATCATCAACTCCTCACTCCCTGTCTTCCCACACCCCGCACCTGTCAGCCTCTGGTAACCATCATTCTACTTCCTGTTTCTATGAGTTCAACCTTATTAGATTTCACATGCCAGTGAGATCATGGGGTATTTGTCTTTCTGCGCCTACCTTATTTCTCTCAGCATAAAGTCCTCCAGATTCATCCATGTTGTCACAAATGACAGGATTTCCTTCTTTTGAAAGGCTGAATAGTATGCCATTGTATATATACCACATTTATCCATTCATCCACGGATGGACACTTAGGTTGATTCCACATCTTGGCTGTTATGAATAGGGCTGCAATAACTATGGATGTGCAGACGTCTCTTGGACCTACCTTCAGTTCCTTTGGATACACACCCAGAAGTGAGATTACTGCATCATTTACTGGTTCTATATTCAGTTTTTTGAGGAACCTCCATGTCATTTTCCACAATGGCTGTAGTAATTTACATTTCCATTACGCATAAGAGTTCCCTTTCCTCTGCATCCTCTCCAACATTTATTTTTCATCTTTTCGATGATAGCCATTCCAACAGGGGTGAGGTGATAACTCATTGTGGTTTTTATTTGCATTTCTCTAATAATTAGAGATGCTGAGCATTTTTTCATGTACCAACTAGCTACTTGTAAATCTTCTTTTGAGGACTTTGGGTCCTTTGCCCATTTTAACATCATCTAATTATTTGTTTTCTTGCTATTGGGTTGAGTTTCTTTTATATTTTGGACATTAGCTGCTTACTTGATGTATGATTTGCAAATATTTTACTCCATTTTGTGGGCTGTCTCTTCTCTCTGCTGATTGTTTCCATTGCTGTGCAGAAGCTTTTGAGTTTGATGCCATTTTATTTGTGTGTTTTTGCTTTTATTGCCTGTGCTTTCAGGGTCTTATCCAAAAAAAATTATTGTCCACACCAACGTTATAGAACTTTCCCTTATGTTTTCTTCTAGTCATTTTAGAATTTCAGTTTTTATATTTAAGTCTTTTATCCATTTTTTAAATTTTATTTATTTATTTAGAGACAGGGTCTCACTCTGCCACCCAGGCTGGAGTGCAGTGGTGTGATCTTGGCTCACTGCAACCTCCGCCTCCTGGGTTCAAGTGATTCTCGTGGCTCAGCCTCCTGAGTAGCTCGGATTATAAGCACCTGCCACCAGCCTGGCTAAGTTTTGTATTTTTAGTAGAGATGGGGTTTCACCATGTTGCCCAGGCTGGTCTCAAACTCCTGACCTCAGGTGATGTACCTGTCTCAGCCTTCCAAAGTGCTGGGATTACAGGCATGAGCCACCATGCCAGGCCAAATCTTTTATCCATTTTAAGTGGATTTTTGTGTATGTCATAAGATAAGGGTCTAATTTCATTATTTCACATGTGGATATGCAGTTTTTCCAACATCATTTGTTGGAGAGACTCTCCTTTCCCCATTGTGTGTTCTTGGCACCCTCATCAAAAATCAGTTGACCATAAATGTGGGGGATTATTTCTGTGTGTTCCATTCTGTTCCATTGATTGATTTGTCTGTTTTTTATGCCAGTTCTAGGGTGTACTAATTGCAACTGCTAAAAGAGTTTAAAATGAGGGAGTGTGATGCCTCCAGCTGTGTTCTTTTCCTTCATGATTGTTTTGGCTATTTAAGGTCTTTTGTAGTTCCATGTGAATTTAAGGATTGTGTTTTCTATTTCTGTAAAAAATGACATTGAATATTTGATAAGGGCTGGACTGAATCTATAGAACATTGGGTAGTTTGTACATTTTCACAACATTATTTCTTCTACCCATAAACATGGAAAATATTTCTATTTATTTGTGTTTTCATCATTTTCTTTCATCAGCATTTTATAGTTTTCAGTATGCAGGTCTTTTACGTCCTGGGTTAAATTAATACCTAAGTATTTATTTATTTTGTTGCTATTGTAAATGGGATTTTTTTTTGAAATTTACTTTTTAAATATTTGTTATTAGTATATAGAACGCTATTGATTTTTGTACGTTGATTTTATATCCTGAAACCTTAATTTGTTTATATGTCCTAACAGTTTTTTTGTGGAGCCATTAGGGTGTTCTATATAAAAGATCAATTTGTCCGCAAATAGAGACATTTCACTTCTTCCCTCAATTAGAATGCCTTTTGTTTCTTTCTCTTGCTAAGACTTCTAGTGCTATGTTGAGTAGGAGTGGTGAGAGTGGGCATCCTTCTCCCTGATCCTAGGAGAAACGCTTTCGACTTTCCACCATTGAGAATGACGTTAGCTATGGGTGTGGCATGGGCGTCTCTCCTGTGCTGAGGCAGCTCCCTCTATGCTGGATTTGCGAGGGTTTGCTATTACGAAGGGCGTTGAAGCACGCTGGGGGCTGAGCCTGGAGCACCTGTGGGGGTGCTTCCTGTGGCGTGGTGCCTCTGGCTAGTTTCTCTGATGTGGCACCTCCATGGGCCAGGCCCGATCTGTGCCCTGTTTGCTGTGAGCCCCACCTGTTTTTGTTTCTAACTGGCCCTGTGGGCACTCCCAATGTTTCCCGTGGGACAAGACAGGTGTGAGCTCCTGCAAAGTGGCCCAGAATGGTGGGGATGTGTTTCCCATGGGACAAGACAGGCGTGAGCTCCTGCAAAGGGGCCCAGAATGGCGGGGAAGCGTTTCCTGTGGGACAAGACAGGCGTGAGCTCCTGCAAAGGGGCCCAGAATGGCGGGGAAGCGTTTCCCGTGGGACAAGACAGGCGTGAGCTCCTGCAATGGGGCCCAGAATGGCGGGGGAGCGTTTCCCGTGGGACAAGACAGGCGTGAGCTCCTGCAAAGGGGCCCAGAATCGTGGGGAAGCGTTTCCTGTGGGACAAGACAGGCGTGAGCTCCTGCAAAGGGGCCCAGAATGGTGGGGAAGCAGAACTTCTGCCTCCAACTCACTTTCTCACCGTGCAACTGCGGATCCAGAGGAATCTCTGCATGTGAGGCTCTGCCAGGTTGGGGAGGAGTGTGCGCTCAACATCTCTCTCCACTTTTTACCATTGCAACAGCTTTTCTTAGCTCTGGGGTCCAGGAGTGTGTCTCAGCCTTAGTCCTGAATTCTGGGACATGCACGATGGTATTCTTGCCTGTGGAGAGCTGCTAGTTGAATTTCTGTGGTGGTGAGTGATGTCAGTGAAGTCCCATTCTGGTTTCTCTCTGATGTCACACTGAGAGCACAGTTTTGGTGAGAAGATTATCTTTGTGTAAAAGCAAAGAAGAGAGGAAAGAACCTGCGTTTCTCCTCTGCACTATCCGCTGCGTTTTTCTGTAGAATTGGGTGTGCCATTTGCAAGAGCTGTGTGTGTGCAGCAGAGCAGGCAGCCAACCAATCCTTGCGGTTCAGTGTGAGTTGGGAGGGAGAAAGCGCAAACCACTAAGTGTAGACAACACGCAGGGAGTTCATTTGGGAAGTTTAGCGAGTGGTGTCCAAAGCAGAGTTGCTCCCTCAGCACTATGGGCAGTTTGGGCCACACAATTCTTTGTTGTTGGGGAGAGAAGGCTGTCCTGTGCCTTGTAGGAGGTTTGGCAGCATCCCTGGCCTGGACACCCCATGACAGTGGCAACCCCTCCCCTAGCGGTGACAAACATAAAGGTCTCTAGATGTTGCTAAATGTCCTCTGGTGGGGGTGGGAAGGGCATTGCCCTGTGTGAGGACCGCTGGTAGAGACTGTTGCAGGGTTCAGAAAAGAGATTTTTGTTTTTCAGTTGGGACATACATGATCAGTCTTGGGGAAGGAAGCAGAAGCAATGGTGGAATAGGACAAAGATAAAGGAAAGAGGTGGAAAGTGATGAACACAGACCGCGATGACCCGGTGTGGGGTGATATGGGCGAGGACAGCATCCAGCGAAGAGGTCCTGGCTCCTGACTGCAATTTGGTGGCTCTACTGTACCCTGTGCAACGGGTATAGGTTGGTGCTTATTTTCTCTCCATGTGGTCAGAAGTCTCATCTTCAAAGTGCTTAAGCTGTAGCCCTTGCCCTGTCACCTCTGGTTATTGCTGGGACCTGGGTCACACTCCTGGTTCATCTGCTGGCCCCAGGCCGGGTGAGGCTCCCATGTGCCTGCTGGCCTGAGAAAGGCTTATGTGAGTCACGGGCTACTAGGGGCAGAGAGAAGGGAACAGGATGGAGAAATTAAGTGAGGAATAAGATTGTAGAAAGCCAGGAAGAAGCCGAAAGGGGACTTGGCTCTGGCAGCATTTTGTTTTGCATCAGTCTGTGCTGGAATAAGCTGTCGAAAGGTTGTCTACCCATTGCCCCCTGGTACCTTGTGCTGTGCTCATTGTTGGCAAAACACTTGAATGATTGTGGCCTAAATGTGCAGTGATAAAAGACAGAACATAGCTTTGTTATTTTTCTAACCAGAATAGGAGAGTGGCTTTTGGAATCAAGATTTAAAATTCAGCCTTATCCTCATGATTTGCTTGTGTTTTGGCTTGTATTTTGGCTTGTGCTTGAAATGACAAGAAGGATCAAGGGTTTAAATGTGATCTTGAGAAGACATGAGAGAGAGAATTGATATTTTCCTATCTAATATTTATATTACTTTCCTGTATAGAGTAGGCTAAGGATTTTATTTGGACGCTAATTGTATGTAATTCCTATAGCAGTTATTTTGATTAAGCCAACTAGATTTACCTCTAATTATTCATTTTAAGCCCTAGATTTAAAGATAACTTTTTATTCTCTGTAAACAACCTAAAAGTTGCCTTAGATTTATTTCATAATATGTAAAAATGCTGAAAAAGGGCTAGTTTGGCTGGAGAGACATTTTAATTTTTCCCTTTAATTTTAAATGACAATAGTGTGTGTATAGGAGCTGCGTTTCCTACCGAATATTCACCTGGTGTGGAGACTGAATAACATGCCACTCTAAGGGTTAATAAAAGCATTAAATAACTTGCATCTGGGAAACATCAATTGAATAGATAATTGCTTCTTTGTGTTTCTGCTTAGTAGTGGCTGGACATGTAAAGTTTCTATACCACAAAATGAAAACAGATGAGCAAACAAGAGGCCCGGGGTCACATAACCGATGCGTGCTCAAAGCTCGAAGCAGCGTCAATCAAACCTGGAGGGTACCATGTCGAGAGATGGTATCTTTCCATTAATCAGGAATTGGTACCCGGGTGATAGACGGCCTCTGTAATGAAAACCTCAGTTAGCAAACAGCCAGAAGAGAGAGAAAATAATCCAACCAGCCAAATAATCAAAGAACACATGAGGTGTCTGTAGGGAGATTTCCACAGTGGGAAACCCATAGAAAAAGTTCTGTCTCTCACTCTTGTTTTTGTTTTTTGGTTTTGGATACAATTTCATTTAAGTAGAAAGATCATCCATGATTTTCTCAATCTTCCTTATGTCTTTTATGCACTATACTTGCCAAAGTAGCATAGACAGAAAAAAAGCAGGAATCCTATGGATTTCCACCCTTAGTCCTTCAACTAACTTTAAAATAACTTTTAATTTTCTTATTCAGGTCTACATTCTAAGTCACACTCCCCTCCCACATGTCTTTGCCTGCTATTTTACTTCATTAATATTTACCAGCTTTTCTGAATTTAGACACCTAATTTTGTATTTTCATGTATTTCTCTGCATATCCTTCAGATCCTTATTTTCCTCAATATTCATGTAAAATATATAAACTATAATTTCTGTGTTCTTTTAAGAGATAGCAAGTACCTAAACAAAGGGGTGTTCTCCCGTGATTTTTTTAACTCAGCATTTTTTGCCAGAAATGGTCATTTGGGATTTATTCCCACGCCCTTGTGTTTTTCCCTCCCCCTCCCCTTTCCCTCCCTTCCCTCCCTTTATCTTTTTCTCTCTCCCTTCCTCCTGCCCACCCACCCTACATTTTTCCCTCCCTCCCTTCTTGCTCCCTCCCTCTCTTTCTTCCTCCCTCCCACCCTCCTTTCCTTCTTTTCCTCTCTTTCTTTGTCCTTTCTTCTCTTCCCTCCTCCTTTCCACCCTTTTCCTTTCACCACTATTTATTGAGTGCTTATTGCACAAGAGACTTTGAGTGTCCAGTGCTGGCTTGTGGCAGGACAAGCTGCAGACAAAACCCCTCAGACACCGAGTTGTAGAAGAAAGGGCTTTATTCGGCTGGGAGCTTCAGCAAGACTCACGTCTCCAACAACCGACCTCCCCAAATGAGCAATTCCTGTCCCTTTTAAGGGCTCACAACTCTAAGGGGGTCCGCGTGAGAGGATCGTGATCGACTGAGCAAGCTGAGGGTTCATGACTGGGGGCTGCATGCACTGGTAGTTAGAACGGAGAAGAACAGGACAGGGATTTTCACAGTGCTTTTCCATACAATATCTGTAATCTATAGTTAACCTGACCGATTAGGTCAGGGGTCGATCTTTAACTACCAGGCCCAGGGTGTGGCACTGGGCTGTCTGCCTGTGGATTTCATTTCTGCCTTTTAGTTTTTACTTCTTATTTCTTTGGAGGCAGAAATTGCGCATAAGACGATATGAGTAGTGGTCTCCTCCCTTAGCTAAGGACTCTGACTCCTCCTTCTGTGGGGCTCCATGTATTCTTTCTCATTGGCAACACTGGGAATAGCAGGGCCCAGTTGAGTTTGGAGAGTGTTGCTTAGTGCTCTTTAGTTGCAACCATCTGAAAATAACATGAAAAGAAAGGGGAATTTCCTGAAAAATGTTGGTGGTAGCAATGAGAGCAAGGCTCAAAGAATAAACTGGAAGCTGAGAAACTAGGCTTGAAAATAGAAATCAAAGGGACTGGGGAAGCAAGGACCCTGCATTCGTCTCTGGGCAGGAAGGGTTCGCTCAGCGCACTGGTGCTGCGATAAATATCATGTGCCTCTGCTGTTCTCTCATCACGGATCAAGAGTCCAAGCCTGGAGGGAGAGCGACTGACAGCCATGGTCTGGTCACACGCCTGCCTGAGAGCTGCACGGGAGCCGGCGAGGAAAAGCCCTTGCTGCTTCCAGTGTAAGGCAGGTGTCTGGATTTTTCTTCAAGAGAGCCAACACGATGAATGAAGGAACTTAAATCATGGCACGGTTAGAAAGAAAAGTAGCAAGACAGGAACTACTCCTTCCCTCCAAACAAAAAGAAAAACAAAATGAGATATTCACTGTAATTAATATGAATTTGCAAGGGAAATAATGCAGTATATGATCTCAGTCTCAACTTATATCTTTATTTCAACTATATCTACTTCAGAAAGGATTTGAAGGGTTTCCAATAAAAGACAAATAAAATGTTATAAATGGTAGATAAATGAAGATCAAATATGACCCTGGTAGAGGTATGAGAATTTTGTCTGTCTTGTTCAAGAGCTACACTGGCTGCACCTGATATAGTAGATGCTCAATAAGTATCATTACCTTCTGCCAGGTCCCTCCCAGGACACATGGGGATTATGGGAACTACAATTCAAGATGAGATTTGATTAGGGACACAGCCAAACCATATCAGTATTATATTTTATTGCAACTATTGGCTCAATAGGTGCACTATGTATTTTTGTTCAAAGTTATTGCTCAAGCGTTTACCGTGTATATTGTTAACTTATCACAGTTTATTCTTAAGTACTATTATATCATCTCCCAAGTAATATAAAAATCTTACAGCAGTCCTGGCTTTTCGTGGTTCTTATATGCAGGAATTTTTGTTACTGTGCTTTGGTTAGATAACATATATAATTCCTTCATGGACACAGTGCAAATTTCACTTTCCACAGTGTATTAACTATGTGTAATTTCATTCAGTACAAATTTTGATGCTGGTTTTTAGTACAAAAATTAGTAAGTATTTAATGGACAAGCATGATGATCAGTGAGCAATCATGCTGTCTCTGTGAAAGTGTGCTGGTTATTTGTCGCTGTGTACCTGTGCGTCTGTATGAATTTAGTTTAGACAGATATCAAGGTGTGTAGTTGTGTAAACTACTTGTCCTCCAGTCATAAACTCACATAATTTAACTTTTAAAGCACCATCACTGTTGGATAAGTGTCCAGGTCACCTTTATTCATTTGGATACCTCCATGAAGATGTTAAAAAGCCGCTTTTTACTAACAAATACAACTTTAATCGTCCAGCTAGTGGACCAAGGAGTTATTTCAATGTTTAAAGCCTACTGTCTTAGACAAACTTTTCAACAGACTACTGAAGCTACAACTGGAGATCATGCAATTTTTAAGCGAAGTTTTGAAAGATATATTACTTAAAAATGCAGTTGAAATACTTAAGCATCATGGCGGCAAAGAAAGTGAGTAATATGTGTGTGCAGTACAGCAGAAACTTGTATTGCTCTGTGAAAATAACATGCAGGATACCAACAGAATGCAAGTGGAGCTATTGGCTCATTTTGCTCCTGCTTGTGCAGAACTTTTCATGTCAGGCCATCTCCTGGGCTACTGGTGAGTTTATGGATCGGCCCAGCTGTAGTCTATCCTGTTGTTCCTGAAGTGGGGTGGAGGTCAGCCAGCAGCCTGCAAAAATGTTAGAAAATAAGAGTCAAGCAGGACTTCTGATGCCCCCAGATCATGTTATTGTTATGATCAGCCATCCACAGCAAGTGTCTTATTTGCATTATATCCGATGATAGTGATGGATCTGCATTGCTGTTTGCCTCTTGTAACCCACAGTGTGAGAATGCAAAATCCAGGGTTAGGAGTGCAGTCAGTGGCAGTGTGACTAGGTGTTTCTCTGTAGGATACTAAGAAAAATACAGCCCAGGAAACTGTTAGTGCTTTCATTTTGTTTCACTATAGGTCTGCCTGGATGATCAAAACAGATGGGAAGGAGCCATGGTGGGGCAATGATCCTGTTCTGTTGCCTCCTGGAGATTCAAGCATTATATATGGAGAGCTATCATCTCTACCCCTCCTCCCGGTTTACTCTCATGGTGAGCTCAGGTAGAGTTTAGCAGGGATGTTCATGTGAATATCGTCTGTGTTCGTGAATAGGCTCGTATTTCAGTTGCAAGCAACATGATAACCTTAAAGTTCAGTTGCTGGTTAATAACTGTCTTTTTTATTAAGTTGATACTGAACTTGATGTCTTTTTGCAGTACTAACAGAGATTACTGGTGCTACCTTTTAGCTTTTGATCATTTATGCAAGCCTAGATCTTTAGCTTTACGTTGTAAAAGGGGTATTTTTTTCAACATTTTTTTGGTGAGAGTATTAAAGTTGACATTATTATGATCACAAGTGTAAACAGGTATATAAGGAAGTGGCGATACATTGTTAAGACTGCTGTTATTCATGATGCTTAGCCAAATGGAGGTGCAATTAATACTGCCATGTAGAACTGGAATAACGTCAGCTCAGGAACAGCAAGTTTAGATAGTTTGACTGTAGTGAATTTTCATGAATGGAATAGTTAATCATTTTAGTGGATCTTGGGGGTCAATTCAGGCTGTTTTACTTGATCCACTTCTTATCATTATCCTAACAAAGTCTTCTGAGATAACACAGCACTGATAGTTGCTAACAGACTTTATATCTACCACGTTATTAGCATTTTATCTTGATACACTGATAAAATAAGCTTCAGGAATACTTAAAAGATTGCAATGGCTTCCAGCTGCCAAATGCTAGATTTAATTATTTTTTAGGACCAACATGAGGGTTTAGACACACCACTTGTGGTGCAGCACACATGTATTATCCAAACTGAAATTAGCAATTCAACTGAAGTCCATGTAGAGTCGAAAAATGTGAATATTTGGAGATGATCTAGCTCACTTTATTTTGTAGAAAAGAAAACAGATTCAGGGAAAGGGCATGCATTGCCTAAGGTGATTCAGCAGGTTTGGAGCAGAAATGCAATACAATCTCTGTTCTTTTGCTTCTCAGATCCAGAATTTTTTCACAGTACTGAACTACTTATGTTTCTGATTCCTTATTTTTTCTGTTTTATATTTTGCCAATATTGTCTTACCAAGATCCTATTCTTTACCCCAAATATTTAAATTCATTACCACTATTGTCTCTTTATAAGTAAAAGTACTAGTTGTTATTATAAATGATTATTCGATCACTTTTCATTTTTTTTTGGGTCCAGCACAAAGTTAGTAACAAATAAACATTATAGGCCTTGGCAATCCAAGGGGAGCTCAAGTCCTCCAGGGCACGTCAGGAAAAGGCTAAACGACAGCTGAGCTTCGAGTGGACAGAATACAGCTCTCATACGGACTGTTGAGTATTTGATGTTCTTCAACAATTTCATTCATCTTCAGTTTTTTCCTCTTTGAAGTGATGGATTTAGTCCTTGCTATACTCGACTTTCAAGTTTCTTTTGAAATAATTATAGATTCACAGGAAGTTGCAAAAGGTACAGGGATGTCTTAGGTACTCTTCACTAATTCTCCCAACGGTGACATCTCGCATAGCCATAGAGCATATCAAAACCTGGAAACTGACATAGGTACAATTCAGAAAGCTTGCTCAGATCACAACCATTTTGTACACATTTGTTTTTGTATGTATGTGTGTGTGTATTTGTGTGCATGTGTTCTGTGCATTTTTATCTCGTGTAGATCTCTGTAACTACAACCTCGACAGTCAAGATACAGAACTGTAGCCTCACCGCCAGGCTCCAACTTGCAATCTTTGTGGACACTCTGACACATTTTCCTCCATCCCTTCCCCTTGGCAACCCCATAGTCTGTTCTCCATCTTTACAATTTTATTTCTATAATTCATATAAATGTAATTGTACAAAATCGTATTTTTGAAGGGAAGAAACAAGTCACAGATATTTTTGTTAGCACTGCAAAATAATCTTTAATGCTAATTTATTCTATGTTCTATTTGTCTCAAAAAATGTGCTTTGTTCTTTCCCATATTTTCTGATATCAGGATAGGAAATCAATAGCAAACAAAACATAATTCCATTCATTTTTTTCCACAGCTTGTTTCTCACTGCTGTTTCCTAACGGTTATTGTTCCATTTACTCTTTCTCTCTGTTTTCCATCACATAAAAGTAACTTTGTGTTCCTTATCTCTTCTAAGAAAACTTGGTAATGAGTCTTTAATTGAAGCCCAGACCACCCTTGTTTTGATTTTGTGTTATGGGTGTTCTTTTTTGTGATCGCTTTCATGGAGAGTCCTTGTGAAGCTGGGCTTTTCCAATGGTTTGTCAAAATGGAAATAGATATTTAACAAACCAAACACAAAATGACCTTGCTCCAGGAATGCATCATTTCTGAGAAAACACTACCTCTTCCAACTAGAGATTGTGAATATTACTCATATTATCCTTTACTCCCTTTTATTAAAACTGTATTTTTTTTACACATTTGTATAACTCGGGTAATGAAATGTGAAACTAAGTGATTGCCTACCAATTACAATTGATATTAACGATGCTAGTGAGAGGCCACCTCTACAGTGGCTGCGCCGTGTCTAGGGACTTGCTAGCTTTGCTAAGTTACATGGGATTGCCTGCGTACTAAATGCAAACTTACTCATGTACATAGGAAACCATTTGTATTAATATGATTAAGAAGCCCTGCCTAACCCTGATGAAAAATTACTTGAAAATAACAGAAGACAGAGTCCTTATTTTAAAGTACATTAACTATTGGGAGTAATTACTATTAGTCCAACCATAACTGGATCTAATGAGACTGAATAGAAACAAATTAGACATAATTGGAAGCTAAGCAAAAGTCAATTAAATTCCTATAATTTTACCTTTATAAAAATTATTGAATTAAATGACCCGGATCAATTAGCAGAGGAAATAAAGCCATGAAGAATATTTCCAGGAAACTATTACCTTTTTTGAGGGAAAAATATTGTTTCACTTAATGATTAGAGTTTAGTAAAATGTAGCTTAATGAATTTTGCTGCCTTAGCAGTTTAATAACTTCAAATGAAGTAATTATGCAAATTTTTTGATAGTTTTACCTACAAAGTAATGCAGGAGTTGTTTTAAGGAATCCAGGAGTAGAATTTATTTGATAGAATAAAATAACATATTTATAAAAATCAGCAAATTCAGATGGTTTGGAATAAAGATATGATTGCTTTTACTCAATGTTCACTTTAGGGCTGGGTCAGCTGTGTGGGAATTGCAGTTGACCTGTTGTAGAAATTGTGTGCTTGGAAATATATCACCACATTGCTCCATGTAGACTCCCTCTGTGATTCAAGTCTTGTTCCTACAGCACTGCTGTCAACCCTCAACCACCGTCACCCTATAGACCCCAAGTCAGTTTGTATTCAGTAATGCAAGTGGTGTTCTGTGCAACTGGTCACCCAAGAACTTGGTGCTAAGAAACTGAGAAAGTGATGACCAAGACAATCTCATCAAAACACAGCCAGGGCCAGTCACAGTATCGTAATTTCTGCTTTCTGGATGTTCAAGGAAATGTAGATCATGGCTCCTTCTGTGATGCCTCATTATCTTCAAAAGGAGCTATAAGCGTACACTCATTTCCAAATGTGATGGAATAAGATCGCAGTTTCAATGAGGTCCTGAAGGATAATTAATTATATAATAGTTATCAAAATATTAATTCTGTAAGGACAGTCACAAAGGAAAGAACAGTGGCAAATAGGTCTCAGGAAATACATCAAATGGGATGTTCAGGTGTGATGCAGCTTCGTACATACTATGCTAAATACATTATGTCTGTAATTAAACCAGCTGCATACACAATGCAGGTGTGGCAAATTCTTTGCTGAAACATGTATGCCAGTTTCCTCATTTTTTAAAATGACAAGTGCATGCTTAATCAGGTTAGAGTGGATAGATTATGATATTATCAATGCACTGGACAAATCCATTAATGATACAGTGAGATTTTGTGCAGAAAAATGGAATAGAGAGGTGTGAATCCAAACTTTGAAGAATAAAGAACATACATTTGTAATTAGGAAATATCTCTCACTTTCATCCCTTATGTGCCACACATAGCACAATCCAGCCCCACCCAGCCATGACTCTTACATTTATCACTCCTGACAAAGCCGGCCTGGCAATTCAGACCCGGAGCCCGGAGAAAAAAGAGGAATCCCATGATTTCTGGCAAACACTGCTGCTTCTTTTGTAGTGGTGTGAGATGAATGCCTCTACATGCACACAAGTGCCATGTTGAGGGGGATGAATCTTTCAAGATTTGTTTAAAGTCAAATAATGTGAAGGTCCATGACTGACCTCCAGGCCTCTCAGAGCTTCAGTTAACTCCTTTGTGTTAGGGGATGTTAGAAGAACGTTTACAAGTCAGAGCAGGTGATGCTCAGGAGCAAGAGTGAATGAGGAGGAGGAACCCAAACAGGTCCAGCACAGAACATCAGCA
Source organism: Homo sapiens (assembly GCF_000001405.40). Lineage (NCBI taxonomy): Eukaryota > Metazoa > Chordata > Mammalia > Primates > Hominidae > Homo > Homo sapiens. Next base: position 189,711,826 of record NC_000004.12, on the reverse strand, counting down.
TCTGAGCATGAAGTCTACCCCTGAGAAAAAGTGGTCCAAAGGTTTGTGTGAACCCCATTCTCCAGGCCTTACAAACCCTGTGATTTCTGCCTCATTCTGTCCCGTCCTGTCACTTTGAGTCTGAATTGGAAGAGAGAAAAACAGTAACTAGATTAGTAAAGTAAGGAGGAGTGAAGAGCAGGAAGGTGGAGGTCGTGGTGGTGGAAGATGGAAACCTCTGCGAGTGAAATAGAACAGTTTGGATGTCAGCTGTGACTGCTCTAGATCTCCTAAAACCCACTCCATTTTTATTAAAAATATACATTGCATTTTTCCAGTGTACACGATATCATGTTAAGAGTTCATAAAGTTTTGAGGATGTGAGTCATCAGAAAGGAGGTTTAAAGAACCGATTATTTTGGTGGTCTGACTCCTTTACCCCAGTAGGAAAAGCTGCCATTTTGCTTATGCCCTGTGCTGAATCTCAGAATGCCTGTCAACCCAACACGCTTCAGCATGAACTTTAACTCAAAAAATCAAAAAGTACCAGGATCAATTTACAATCCTAGCTATATGATATTTTAGAAATTACAAAGCCTGTAAATGAGCTATTTTGTCAACTTCATAGATGAGAAATCTAAGAGTGGGTTAGTAAGTTCTCTTAGATTTCTCATATCCATAAAGTGGATAGAACATCTAATTTAGAGGCTTGTTGAAGGACAGACAGAAATGGCATTTATAAAGTATCTAGTGAAACTACTGCTAGGGATTATATGCTCAGTAAATGATGAGCACTATAATCACAAATAATTTGATCTTTGCCAGTGTAAAATGTATTTGTCTGTCTGCTTGGTTTTTCTCGGAGGCATAGTTTCCCTCTGTCACTCAGGCTGGAGTGCAGTGCTGTGCTCACTGCAACCTCTGCCTCCCAGGTTCAAGTGATTCTCCTGCCTCAGCTGGGATTGCAGGAGCCCGCCACCATGGCCCAACTAATTTTTGAGTTTTTACTAGAGATGGGATTTCACCATGTTACCCAGGATGGCCTTGAACTCTTGGCCTCAAGCGATCCATCCACCTTGGCCTCCGAAAGTGCTGGGATTACAGGCGTGAGCCACTATGCCCGGCCACATTTATGTTAATTCAGAGAACAATTTTTCAGTAAGGTTGTACAAATGATTGTCCTACATTCCTGCATGTTTGAAACTCTTTTTCTCTTTTCATCTCCATATGTGAATGACAGTTTGGCTAGGTATAGAATGCTTGGTTTACACTTTTTATTGTTCATAAATCTATAGTCTTATCTTTGTTTCTATCCTCTATACCAGCTTGAGTAGGATTAAGTGTGGGATTCACTATAAAACTCTATACCCACTGAACAAGTCCTCTTTTCCCCCTCCGCTAGTCCCTGGCACCTGTCATTTTACGTCTCTGTTTCTAAGAGTTTGACTACTTTAAAAACCTCATATAAGAAGGATCATGCAGCACTGTGTTTGTATTTTTGTGACTGGTTTATTTCACTTAGTATAGTATCCCCAAGGTTTATCTATGTTATGACATATGACACGATTTCTTTCTTTTTTAAGGCTGAATAATAATTTATTGTGTATATACCACTTTTTAAAATCCATTCATCTCTTGACAGATATTTAGGTTGCTTTTACCTCTTGGCTATTATGAATAATGCTGCAATGAACATGAGATGAACAAGCTCCTTTTTTATCTCTTTACTTTTGTTAGAAGCTTTTAATTCCTGATTAATGAGTTCTGAATGTATGCAGAGGTCTCTACCTGGCAGTGACCTAAAAGCCTTGTCTTCTGCCACCCTGCTCAGCCTTCAGATTCAAGTCTCTAGATTCTTGAGGTTGGGAAATGTTTCCGGAGCAGCCATGGTTTTGCATTCATTGGCCATTCAGGTTTTCTGCTTTGCCGTTTCCCCCCCATTCAGGTTTTCTGCTTTGCCATTTCCCCGGGGGTTTCCTTACCCTCTTGGAAGAACAACCATGCATTAAGTCCATGTTGACTGTATTTTACCTGCTGTTTCTATGTGTTTTGCAATAAGGGCTTTTCAAAATACCCATAACTTGTGGCTAAAAATGAGGTTTGTTCCAATGTGCCTTAGAAAGATCCAGTTTCATACTTACCTGGCAGGGCAGATACCATGATCTTAAAGGCAGTTTTCCCAGGGCAAGGCTTATCCATTCCACTCTGGATCCATTATAGGGGCATGCTGATCCCTGGAATTGCCCCAAATGTGGGAAGCTCTACTGCAAAATTTTTGGTAGTGAGCGATGGCATTATGCATTCATGTACGAATTCAACTGAGTATCCAGTTTCATACAAATAATAATAACATCTTCTATAAAATGTATTCTTGTGTATTAACACATGGGGCTCTGTAGTACTCCAGCTGAGATATATGGGAATCTTACCCTAGTTTTGCCATTTTCTCCTAACATCAGTCTACTTCTTTTAATATTCATTGCTTCTCCCCATTTCTGTAGTTCAGTGCATGTTCCTTTCCTCTGCAGGAACTACTTCTCTTTCCTCACCCAACTCATAAATCTCTGCCTCCCACCCTAAGGGTAGGCACATGACCCAACCTGGGAGATCAGAATGCCACACCCCCAATACAGGATTGGTTTGTGAGTAGGCAGATGATTCTGTCCATGCACAGAACTAAGTAGAAGAGAGTTTTTACACCTCAGCTTAGCTTGATGCTAGCAGAGAGCTACTGGAGTTCTATTTCCTCCTCTAGGGAAGAAAAGGATTTTGGTTTGGAGATAAAGCCAAGATACCAAGAAAGTGGGAATGAAAGACTTAGAGACAGGGAGTCCTGGCCCCTTTTCAGATGCTCAGATGCTGGCACTAGCTTGAGGCCCAGTCCTGCTTCTGCTCTTCCCAACAGCCCCTTTTCAGATGTTGGCACTAGCTTGAGGCCCAGCTCTACTTCTGCTCTTCTCAACATTTGGTAAGGGGAGCTCCCAATTTCTTTTCTAAGATAGCTGGTTTGACTTGGATATCCATCTCTTCTAATCAAGGGTCCTGATTCCTTGTCATTGTCATCAAAAAAATATTTGTAAATATTTCACTTCTCGCTGGTGTTGAACAAAGTGATTTGCACAGATACAATCTCTGCATCTTAATAGCTTACATTCTAAGAGCTGTACACCTGGCACTCTTTCTCTGGAACTATAACTGCTAAGTTCACGAATCTTTATTAATAATGCTTTTCAGATATATAGTTAAAAAATAATTTTAATAGTTGAAAGGCATCCATCTTTCCAAGAGGTTCAGACATACTGCAATTGAGTGCTAAGTAACTTTTATTTTGTATTTTTTAATATTTGTATTTCCATAGGTTATTGGGGAACAAGTGGTACTCAAGATGGATGAAGGACTTAAATCCAAGACAAGAAACTATAAAAATTCTAAAAGACAACATTGGAAAAACTCTTCTAGACATTGGCTTAGGCAAGGATTTCACGAACAAGAACCCATAAGCAAACGCAATAAGAACAAAAATAAATAGCTGGGACCTAATCAAACTAAAGAGCTTTTGCACAGCAAAAGGAACAGTCAGCAGAGTAAACAGACAACACACAGAGTGGGAGAAAATCTTCACAATCTATACATCTGACAAAGGACTGATATCCAGAATCTACAATGGACTCAAACAAATTAGCAAGAAACAAATAATCCCATCAAAAAGTGGGCTAAGGACATGAATAGACTTTTAGGTTACTTTTAGGTATTTGTGTGTGCAGACCTCTTGGTGTCAAGGCTAAACTGTTCCTTTCTCTGACACATGGGAAATTGATGCACAATACCTTGCAGTGTATAATTCCAGGCCCCTAGGCACTGGAGACTGGGTTATCTTTTCACTCAACTGACAGTTGATACATTGTTTGCACTGAAAAATCTGGCTTTGTTGAACCACACCAGTTTATGTTTTTAATTCCAAATCTTACCTTGTTATGAACTATTTTTTTGTCCTTTCCTCTAGAGAAATGCTAATGCTGCTTGCTTACATGGAAAGTAAAGTTAAGGAGTTGGTGTTGACATTTTGGCTTGCTGTCACAGGCAAAAAAGAATAGTGCTGTTTTTGTGTGTTTAATTTTCTTTCACTTTCCCCACTCTGTGTATTGGAGGATGCCTTTAGCAATAAGTAGTCCTTATCCAGGTCACTCACTCATTAACCGCCAACCACTGACAGTAATGTCTTTACTAGATATTTTGCTTCTTTTGATTAATTTGTCTCTATTTCCTTTGTTCTAAAGCCTATAGTGAGTAATCATATTTGGAGTAATAGCAGAGCTCCCTGCTGTGTTTTCATTTGCTTAAATCAAGACTTAGCTGCTGTATTGAGGAACCAAGACTGAGATGTGGGGCTAGGAGGGCCTAGGGTCTGTCAGGCACTCTTCAGTGACTTGAGGTGCTGAATGACTCACACTGTACTGGGAGATGACCACCTGTGTGCATCCAACACAGTCACAGATAGTGCCATTGAGCCACCAGGAGCAGCCACAGACCATCAGTGGTTGTGCTTTGGAATACGCAATTTTGTGTTTCTGGTGAGCTGTAATCTTTTCTTTTCCCATAGAATTATTTTTCATTGAATTATGCTATTAAAACTCATCTTTGGGTTTCTTGTAACGTCATTGCCGAGAACGTTATTTTTGCATTTCACAGTGATTTCTTGAGGAGGAAGTAAGAAGTAATTGTTTTCTGGACTCACTGTCTGAAAAACTTGCACTTTACTGAAGCGATTGTTTTGTTTACACTAAGTAACAATATGAGTTTTGTTAGCTTTTTGGATGGACTACAAAGCATAAAACCAACTTTGTTCCTCATCTCTGGCAAAGATGGAGGGTTGTTGGCTTGTGTTGTGTGATGAGTCTTATACCTGGCTCTGTCTGCTCTTGCCTTTTGCCTTACATTTCAAAGACCTCACTTTTTTCTTTTCTTTTTTTAAAAAATATTTTATCACATGATTTTCTATACATTTTAATAAAATTTCTTTTTTGTAAAAAAAGCAAAGCATAAATAAAATAGGGTAGCCATTTCTTCTAAGGTTATGTTGAATCTAACCCAAACTCTTATCAGAGAAAACTCTGCTTTAGATGTAGCCTAAAGCAGGAAGCAACAAACCTGTATACAGCCAAAGTATCATCTCAAGGGCCTGCATTCAAATCTCACACATGTGGCTTGAAAGTGATCTCTTTTGCCCTTATTTCAAGGCCTAATCTTAGGTTACATAGTACTTAAAGAAGCTTCAGTATGCAATTTCAAAGCCTGTAGTAGATGTAAAATGAGAAAATTAGAAATAAGGAGAAAAGCTGCTACATGAGGACACTGACAGCAAGGAAAGGGAGAGAAAAACTCACAAAGTAAGTGGAAAAATAGACCAATGCAAATAACCCCACATAGTTTAACAGACCTCATCATATCTATTGTGTACATGTTTGTATGACATAGATTATATCTATTATATGTAATCCAGTGTTCATAGTGTTGACTTAGAAATTATCAACCAAATTCAAAGCTTTTAGGCTTTGAAAATTGTTTGAAAAGATTTTCACCCAAAATATTTAAATTATTAAAAAAAATTATTGTTGATTAAAGTTGTAATCCTCAATTAATTAGAAGTTTTGGCTATCCAGAGACCTTATATTCCAAAGACTTTAGAGAGTTGTTTGTTAGATCACATAAATTATTACCAATATCCTACATTTAAGCTTCTAATTTACGTAAATTGTGAGCAAAATTGAGAGCCACACAAATATTCAATCTCTGAAGCTCTTATGGCAGCATTGATCAAATAGGTTAGAGAACACATGGATACAGCTTTATTGCCTTCTAGTTTTACTGCAAACGTGTTATTTAATAGTATGCAAATGATTGGCTAGATGTACAGACTGCCAGGGCCTTCATAGCAAACAGGTTTTGTGTTTACCCTAGCATACAAAAATGCTTCATCTACGATGTATGCTGTAACTGTGTGTATTGTCTACCCTAGCATGCAAAAATGCTTCATCTAAAATGTATGCTATAACTATGTGTATTATATTATCTATAATTATATTTCTCCTTGGTTTAATATTAGATATTTTCAGGTACAAGAAATGTATGCACATTATAGATTCAATGCATGTAGGTTATATGTGTAAATATTTATTGATAAGAGGCATTAAACCCCTGCCTTCTATGCTGGATAAACTCCTGAACTTAGCCTCCAAAACACCACAGTAGCCTCCCTGGTAAGCACAGGGCTCTTTCTCTACCCTTTTGTGTCTCCCACGCTCCCACTTGTCTACAAGAGCTGAGTGTAGACCAAGAGCAATAAAGTTCATTTCCCCAAAATAAGGCGTAGCATTCAGGTTTTGTGATACCTGATTGGTTTACATTGTTTACAGGTGGGGCCTCGAAGGGGTAAAAATCAGAAGCTTCTTATTCTGAGCGCAAGGGCAAGATCATTGAGCAGACATTGACCTCCCTTCAGACATTTCTTGGGAGGAACAGAATGAGAATTTCAGGGGCCAGTGCCTGCACCCTACTAGCTGTGGCAGCCTGGTGCTCATCTACTTCTCCAGCTTGGGAAGGCCTAGGTTAACCCCAGTCTTTGGAGGCATTGTTATTCCTCTTCTCTCCCTGCTTCCCCGTGTTTGTGTTCTGGGCCCGGTGTAACACTGAGGTTCAGAATTGCTTTCAAGAGAGGAGCCCATTTCTGTGTCTATGCAAGGCTGGACAATTTCTCCAAGTGGTTCAGCCTGTGGGGGTTAACGGGGCAAAAGCATCTCAGCTAGTAATAAACACTGCTTCGCCTCTTGCTTTTTTATTTTTATTTTTGCAAAACTTCTCTGTAGGTGTGTATTTCTCTAGAGGATTTCAAAAATTCTCTGTAGGTGCGTATTTCTGTAGAGGAAGGAGTGGTGACTGGGCCAGGGTGAATGGATTATTTGATCTATATTATCTTGAATTTTATATCTTTTATTTTAAAATTTGGGTGTTTTTTGAAGTAGGAAATCAATGCACATGGCTGAATATCTAAAAAGTGTAAAAGTATACATTGAAAAGTCTTCCTCCTAATCTCGTGATTGTCTTCGTTTCAGTCCCCATGGCCACATCATGAGGCTACTGATGTCATTAGTTTCTTTTGCGTTCTTCTAGGGTTTCTGTTGGCATATGCAAGCAACAATAAATGTATACCTTTATGTTTTCTCTTTTTACAGCAAGGACAGTTTATTAAACACACTGTTTTAAACCTTATTTTTTCTCTAAATAATATTTCATATAAGTCAGTATGTAGACTTTATGTATTTTTAAAATGAAGACATAGCGTTCCACTGAACTTAGACAATAATTTACTTAACTAGTCCAAGATTGAAGAATAAAATTATTTTGAATCTTTTGTTAATAGTTAATAGCTTTGATGAGTACACTTATGCATACATTATTTTACACATGTTCAAGTATGTTGTATAAACCCCAAAGTGGGAATGCTCTGTCAAATATTACAGGTATTTGCAACTTTGATAGATACTAATTGCCCTCGATAGAGGTAGTAAAAGCTTACACTCCACAGCCTTACTGATGATATATATTATAAAACTTTTAGTTCTTGCCAATCTAAACGTGAAAAATGGTATTTCATGGTAATTTAAATGCTTTTCTCGTTTTATAACTGAGGTTGACATCTATCAAAAAATTATTTGAATTTTTCTGAGAACTATTAATCTTTGAATCCTTTTCTGTTGTTTATCTTTTCCTTCTTCATTTCTAAAAGTTCCTATACAGAGAGATTCACCCGTTATCTGTGATATGATTACAAATGTCTGCCCTCCAATTTGTTATATGTCTTTAGATCCAAATACCTTATTTTTTGCCATGTAGAAATTTTTAATTTGTATGTGATAAAATGTTAATACTTTATGGATTCTGGATTTTCAGAAATAAAAAGGTCATCCTCACTTCCAGGTTTTAAAGAAATTCTTTAATGTTATTTTATGTTTTTGTATGGTTTTATTTTATTTTATTTTATTTTATTTTATTTTATTTATTTATTTATTTTTTTGAGACGGAGTCTCGCTCTGTCGCCCAGGCCGGACTGCGGACTGCAGTGGCGCAATCTCGGCTCACTGCAAGCTCCGCCTCCCGGGTTCACGCCATTCTCCTGCCTCAGCCTCCCGAGTAGCTGGGACTACAGGCGCCCGCCACTGCGCCCGGCTAATTTTTTTTGTATTTTTAGTAGAGACGGGGTTTCACCTTGTTAGCCAGGATGGTCTCGATCTCCTGACCTCATGATCCACCCGCCTCGGCCTCCCAAAGTGCTGGGATTACAGGCGTGAGCCACCGCGCCCGGCCTAGTTTTATTTTTATTCACATTAAAGTTTTTGTCTTATTTGGAATTTATTTTGGTATGTGATGTGGGAAATGAATCTAACTTTATTTTTTCATATATCTTCCTAGTTGTCCAAACATCAACATTGTTGAAACATCTCATCTGTCCCCTTGATGTGAGATGGCATCCTAATTTCCTTTACTTAGAGGGGTGGTGTCTGGGGATGAGATCACCTGGGGTGTAATCATACGTCTTTGACTGGGAGTGGGGCTGAAAAGGAGTTCCCATGTTCCTGGTCATGTGACGTGTGATCATGTGATGTGGAGATCTCCTGTGACATGGAGCTGGAGGAGGGAATAGGAACTAGCTCTGGCTCAGAGGGCACAGACTTCCACTGTTTTATCAACATTTAGGAGATTTTCTTGAATAAATGCTTATTAATTTGCATCTGCCCTTAGGTCAATTTCCAGAGACTTTAAGTGTGTTTTATAATTTTTACCAGTTAAACGGTTGTTTCACTGCGGGGAAAAGAGTATCCCAAGCTCCTCTCCTCTGGAAATCTGATCAAATTCTTTTTCAAGTCCTTCAGTAATGGTTAATTATATATGTGTATATCATATTTACATTTATATTTATTGATATAACAGTTATGCTTGGTGTTTCATGCGTATATGATAGCATCTTATGTGTTCATAAATTTTAAAAGTTGTTTTCTATGTGATCTGATTTATTTGCTTGAGAAAAACTTTTTTCTGGTAGCTTCGTCTGGGAACTTGCTCAGTGGTAATTTTTTAAATGACAGCTTTATGCAGTATTTTTATGATCTCTTCATTTACCCAGGAGTGATTACTTCTCTATTTTCCGCTGTGTTAAAACTAGGTGTTTTCTCTTTCTACTCCCTTCCAGGCCTCTCACTACTAGAATTCGGTCAATGAGAGTATCCGTGGCATGTTATTTAGTATTTGTTATTTTGCTATTACATACGCTTCTATTTCTAACATTTGATTTACTGCTTTGAATGATCCACTTTGAGTCCTGGCTGTTACAGCTGAGTTGACCAAGTCCTCCTCCTCAGACCCCCACCTGTGTGTGTGCACATCGTGTCTCTCAGCTCTGGAGCTGCAGATGATGTCAGGGTCTCAGCAAACAAGACCCCTCAAAGTTGAAAACTGTACAAACATCGTATGCAGCAGCCTTGATCTACCCTATGTCTTCCATTCTTTCCTCCTTCTTCTTCCACTTTTTGTTAGTTTCGATATTGGTTTATTTCCAGGGCATATGGCATTTATATGCATTTTATTACCCTGGTTCTCATGTTTATTTTAGTTTTAGTCAACACAATTCACAATTATAATATTTCACCATAGTTTTTCCTTAGTTATCTCTTTGTTGGCTAAAGTTTGTTCTCTGGGACTTTTCCCAAGTAGGAAAATATTCCCTGAGTTTGTGTGTATTTAAAACTGCCTGAAGTATACTTTGAAATGTAGCCTGACTAGGTATAAAACCTTTGGTTTTCATTCCACTTTTTGAATATCTTGTAAGTAATGGGCCACTGTATCTTGGCATTAAATTTTGCTAGGAAAAAATATGAGACTAGCCTGTTACATTCTCTTTTTTAAGAGCGGCTTGATTAAAGGATCTTTTCCTTAATGTTTCTTTAAAACTTTGTAGGGTGTTCTTAGTGTTTCCTTTTCTGTGGAACCTAATTTTATTCTGGAAAAGTTTTGTTGAATCAGTTCTTAAAGGGATTCATGCTCTTTCAATGCTGTCTTTTTTTTTTTCTTTCCATACCTTCCTTTTTTGATATATTTTAGATTGTCTCTGCTTATCTTCTATAGCCACTGTTTTCCCTCTAATAATTTTTAGATTTTCCCTTTAATTTTACTGTATTTACTTTTACTTTTTTATTTATATTTTCTATGTTCCTTACTGAGTTTTCTAAAGTCTGTTTTAATTTCTCTACTTCTTCTAGGTTCACCTTCGTTTCTATGAAGATCTTGGTTTTTCTTCATGTTTGCTGGTTTTTGTCAGCACATTTTTTTTATTCTAACGTTTCACCGCTTCTTTCTCTGAGTTCTTATATTTCTGCTTCATGGTCTTCCATTTTTGATCTGACAGCTCCATTAAGTTTTCATTTCATGGCAAAATATTTGGGTAACATTTTCATCTTGCTTTTGGCATTGATTTTTGTTGTGTGATCTTTCTCCATTGATAAGTTTGCATTTTTCCCCATAGTTTTTTCTTATAGTGTCTTTACATAAATCAATAATTATTAATTACTGAATTAATTGAAATGTTTTGAACCAATAATTTGTGAAAAGTTTCTATGAAGAAGAAAGGAGGAGGCAAAGTTGTCTTGCAAACTTAGCAACCCAACAATCTTCTCCTTCACCACCATAGAGTTAGATGGCTTCTGCAGATATGGCTAAATCTTCTCCTTCACCACCATAGAATTAGATGGCTTCTGCAGATACAGCTAAGTCTTCTCCTTCACCACCGTAGAATTAGGAGGCTTCTGCAGATACGGCTAAATCTTCTCCTTCACCACCATAGAATTAGATGGCTTCTGCAGATACGGCTAAATCTTCTCCTTCACCACCGTAGAATTAGATGGCTTCTGCAGATACAGCTAAGTCTCTTTCACCACCATAGAATTAGGTGGCTTCTGCAGATATGGCTAAGTCTTCTCCTTCACCACCATAGAATTAGGTGGCTTCTGCAGATATGGCTAAGTCTTCTCCTTCACCACCATAGAATTAGGAGGCTTCTGCAGATATGGCTAAATCTTCTCCTTCACCACCGTAGAATTTGGAGGCTTCTGCAGATATGGCTAAATCTTCTCCTTCACCACCATAGAATTAGATGGCTTCTGCAGATACGGCTAAATCTTCTCCTTCACTACCGTAGAATTAGATGGCTTCTGCAGATACAGCTAAGTCTCTTTCACCACCATAGAATTAGGTGGCTTCTGCAGATATGGCTAAGTCTTCTCCTTCACCACCATAGAATTAGGTGGCTTCTGCAGATATGGCTAAGTCTTCTCCTTCACCACCATAGAATTAGGAGGCTTCTGCAGATATGGCTAAATCTTCTCCTTCACCACCGTAGAATTTGGAGGCTTCTGCAGATACGGCTAAATCTTCTCCTTCACCACCATAGAATTAGGTGGCTTCTGCAGATATGGCTAAGTCTTCTCCTTCACCATCATAGGATTTGGTGGCTTCTGCAGATACGGCTAAGAGCTTAACAACCCAACAGTCTTCTCCTTCACTGCCATAGAATTCAGTGGCTTCTGCAGATACACCTAAGTCATCGGCTCTTTGTAGAGCATCACCTTCTCTGAGTGAAACTGGGTCCAGAAAGTCTTCGATGACCTCGGTCCATAGAGGTTCTGAATCCATTATTACAAACAAAGAATACAACTTTTATATTTCAGAGTCCCTGGCCTTCAGCCCTTTCTGAAATCAGCCACCACTGTGCCTTTAAGCCATCACTGTGCTTTTCTTCCTTTGGTCTTCCATGGCTTGCTTGATTTCAGCTGTTTAGAGTCTCTATATGTACTTTTGAGTCTATGGTCCATTTCTATTTACTCCTAGTTCAACTTAAAATGAAATTGTATTTTAAAATATATTCTTGCTGTTTTTAGTATTATTTTCAGGAAGAGTAGTGAGCAATGCTGTTTATTCAACTCTGGTCATACCATGTCCCCTGATTGTATTCTATTCATGCATCTCTAATAGAGCTCCTAGACTTTTCCAAGGCTTATATTGAAGTGACTTAATACATGTTTGTCAATGTTTCCTACATTTTCTACTCTTCATATGTCTCATATATGATGCTTCAGTAGGAGTCCCCAGTGTTTGGGGGACTCCTACTCTTTTGGAGTAGCCAAACTCTGAATGTATAATATTTATTTTCCCCTGCTTCCATCAGTGGTAGTAGACACCCTGGAGGGTCTAATTGCAAGCATAACCACCCAACAGTTCTCTCCTTTAGTTTAGAGCCCTGTAGTCAGTGTTGGCTAGTAAGTTGTCGTGGAGCACCCAGAGTGGACACTTCAACAGGGTCTGGTAGTCAGTGCTGGCCAGTAGGTTGTCGTGGGGCACCCAGAGTGGACACTTTGACGTGGTCTGGGAGCAGAGCATTATGTCCACTCTTGAATGATAGCTGGGACACGTTGGACGATGGAACCAACAGAATCACAGGCTTCATGGATGACCTGGGATTTTCCTGCATTCAGTCGGTAAAAAGTGTGAAGAGTATTAAGTCCCTCTGAGATTGAGAGGGAACATAATTTTAAGAACAACTGGCATCAGATCGTTTATTCATTTTACTTGACAAGAATTTACAAACATCTTTAATATGTGCCACAACCATGGACTAATATAAAATAGAATACAAATGCACAAAAGAGAACAGAAAAGTGGAAAATGCCAAGTAACACACAGAGTAAAATTACTGGCCGGGCACAGTGGCTCATGCCTGTAATCGCAGCCCTTTGGGAGGCCGAGGCAGGTGGATCAGCAGGTCAGGAGTTCGAGACCAGTCTGACCAACATGGTGAAACCCTGTCTCTACTAAAAATACAAAAAAATTAGCCGAGCATGGTGGCGGGCGCCTATAATCCCAGCTACTCAGGAGGCTGAGGCAGGAGAATCACTTGAACCTGGGAGGCAGAGGTTGCAGTGAGCCGACATTGCACCACTGTACTCCAGCCTGGGCAACAGAGAGAGACTCCATCTCAAAAAAAAAAAAAAAAAAAAAGTACTTGAGAGGATATGAAAAACTGTTCCCCAGAGGTGGCATAATTTGGAAGTCATAGTGTATGTTGGTGTCAAGGAAATAAGTGAGTTCTTTTTTTTAAAGAAAGATGTTTTGTTTTGTTTTGTTTTGTTTTAAAGAGAACAAGGTTCATTAACAATATGCAAAACAGATGAAATGCAGTCAATAACGCTATGAAAAATCACTTTCTCTACAGAATGCGAAAGCATCAATAACATTTTAGCCTTTATTTTGCTGTTTAGTAGAGAATTATCACTATAGTGTTTTCACTAGTTATCAGCATCTTAAGGGAAGTACTTATGTGTGTTGTACCTTTTGAAAACTGGAATCATAGAATGCTTTAAATTATTGTATTAAAAATTGAAGTGATGATAACTATTCAGCTGGAATGTCAGGAAAATGTTGAAAATGACCAAGAGTTTACCAGGAAAAGGCTGCAAGGTAGCATCTGGTCATACCTTTAAATGACAGACAAACACAGACACATACACACAAAAGCAACATTTAAGTAGAGGAAACTTGTTAGTGCTCATGTGTTTAGAGTAAGTACAATGAGTCGGATTAGTGCTTTCCATTGTGATGACCTCATTTGTGCTTGGAGCCACTTGGGAGGATTCTGTCAGCTTCATCCCGGCACCGACTAGCACTGCACAGCGTAGAAGGCACAAGGACTGAAAAGGTCATGTCTTTCTGCTCGGAAAGCTTGAATGGTTATAGAGTGTAGAGGGCCCATGCAAAACGCTCATTATCTGCTGTGTCTCTTGTTTTCAAAATTCTTTATCAGGTTACTGGCAATAAAATGCTGTTCCCTTTGGTTACCAGACAATGAGGCATTTATACCAGCAAGTCACCTGAGAACACAGCAGCCAACATTAATGAGTTGAAAGTACCACTGGGACAGTGAAGAATTGACAAGACTGCTGGCCTGCTGATCTTGTTTATCTTGCCTTTTTTTTTCTTTTTCAAGGTTTATTTGTGGAAAGTCTGTTTTCGTTGCTTATGTGCTCATCTGTGCTGCTTTAAAATGCCTTCGTGGTGGCAGAGAGTAATCAGCATATAGAGTCTGGAAACCAACTTTTAAATTTTATTAATGAGCTGAGTTTAGTTCCCCTTTATCTTTTAACTGACTCCAGGAGCATTAATGAAAAGTATATAAATATGAATACAGGTGTAGTAATAAAAAAGAATTATCAGTCACCCTTAATTTAATTGGTGTCACCTTAGCCTTTAGAAGGGTAATAGGATAGTATTGCCACCTGCAATCATTCAAGACTATTTTACTCACTACAGTAATTAGCTCACTTTAAAAAATTAGGTGACCTTTCAAAAGTGAGTAAAATAGAATCCGGTGAGAACCGTTAAGACACGTTTGTGAATATAGCATTGGTAGAATATCATAGATATTTAGGGTTTCGAGCGACCTGTGGTCATTTTGTGCAACTTCTGTTTATGAAAGAATCTCTTGAAACACTCTTTTCGTGCACGGAGTTACTAGGCATCTAGCAACTGGAGGTTATATCAATGTGTCAGATACTCCACAGTCTCTCTTCCAATATTACGTGCAAAATACCCTGTAGACTAGGAAGCATGTTTGATCTTCTTGGTTATAGGTGCAATTTATTCAACCAGCTTTCGTCTATGTGCATTGAATTCCATTATGACTACTTTTGGCATGGAGACAAACACAAAACATGGCCTCTGAAGAGAGTGTATGCTGGGATTTGGGATAAGGCATATAAAGAATAACTTTACTAAAAAGCTGAATATTACATCATATGAGTTAAACACTCTTGCCAAGAATTATCAGTAACCATAACAGCTGATGAAAGTGGATGTAACTGCAAATCAAACTAGTGGGCATCTCTTGTTTCTTAGCAAAATTTTCCACATTAAAGAAACGCTTAAAACGATATTTTTACTTGTAAGATACACAAGAGACATATTTGATTTAGGAGACATTCAGAGCAGTTTTCTGCCTTTGTTGCATATGTACATCAAAGTGCTTTAGTGATAGTTGCAATTTTGGTAGTTATCTGCCACGTTAGAAATGAATCCAAACTAGCATATTTTGACCTTTCAATTTAATTGCCACAAAGCAAAATTCACTAGTATTCAGTGCCTCCCATCAAGCGGAAATCCAAAGCACGTTTTCCCATTAAGGAGACTCCTTTTCTCACAGATAGCAAATTTCCTAATGAGGAGAGAGCTGATTGAAGGACCATGATGATGAGCCAATGATAGGTGTTATTGACCTTTCTTGAAAGAGCTTGACTTCTGAACATTTTTTGAACTTATACTTGAGATACAGTAGATTTGATATCACACATTATAATGGATGGTTTTCTGATAGGACCTGACCATTTACTAGCCTACATCCTTCTAGTTTTCTACATAAACTCTCTACTGCAGCAACTAATGATAATTATTATTATGGTTGCTAACATTTGCTGATCTTATTGTTTTCTAGGCACTGTGCTGAGAACTTCATATCCATTTATTTCATTTTATCTTGAGAGGTGACAGCGTGCTGGCAGCCCTCGCAGCCCTGGCTCGCTCTCTGTGCCTCCTCAGCCTTGGCGCCCACTCTGGCCATGCTTGAGGAGCCCTTCAGCCCGCCACTGCACTGTGGGAGCTTCTTTCTGGGCTGGCCAAGGCTGGAGCCGGCTCCCTCAGCTTGCAGGGAGGTGTGGAGGGACAGACACAGGCGGGAACCGGGGCTGTTCACGGTGCTTGAGGGCCAGCACGAGTTCCCGGTGGGCGTGGGCTCGGCGAGCCCCGCACTCAGAGCCACCAGCCTGCCCACAAGCCCCGGGCAGTGGGCTTAGCACCTGGGCCACCAGCTGCTGTGCTCGACTTCTTGCTGGGCCTTAGCTGCCTCCGGCAGGGCAGGGCTTGGGACCTGCAGCCCACCATGCCTGAGCCTGCCTCCCCCGCCGCACCCCCACATGGGCTCCTGTGCAGCCCGAGCCTCCCCGACAAGGGGCGCTCCCTGCTCCAGGGCTGTGCCTAGTCCCATCGACCGCCCAAGGGCTGAGGAGTGCGGGCTCATAGTGCGGAAGTGGCGGGCAGCTCCACCTGCGGCCCTGGTGCAGGATCCACTGGGTGAAGCCAGCTGTGCTCCTGAGTCTGGTGGGGACTTGGAGAATCTTTATGTCTAGCTAAGTGATTGTAAATACACCAATCAGCACTCTGTATCTAGCTCAAGGTTTGTAAACACACCAATCAGCACCCTGCGTCTAGCTCAGGGTTTGTGAATGCACCAATCAGCACTCTGTATCTAGTTAATCTGGTGAGGACTTGGAGAACCTTTATGTCTAGCTAAGGGATTGTGAATGCAACAATTGACACGCTGTATCTAGCTCAAGGTTTGTAAATGCACCAATCAGCACTCTGTCTAGCTCAGGGTTTGTAAATACACCAATCGACACTCTATCTAGCTAATCTAGTGGGGATGTGGAGAACTTTTGTGTCTAGCTCAGGGATTGTAAACGAACCAATCAGCACCCTGTCAAAACTGACCAATCAGCTCTTTGTGAAACAGACCAATCGGCTCTCTGTAAAATGGACCAATCAGCAGGATGTGGGTGGGGCCAGATAAGAGAATAAAAGCAGGCTACCCGAGCCAGAAGCTTCAATCTGCTGGGGTCCCCTTCCACACTGTGGAAGCTTTGTTCTTTTGCTCTTTGCAATAAAGCTTGCTACTGCTCACTCTTTGGGTCCACACTACCTTTATGAGCTGTAACACTCACCGTGAAGGTCTGCAGCTTCACTCCTGAAGCCAGCGATACCAGGAGCCCACCAGGAGGAACGAACAACTCTAGACACACTGCCCCAAGAGCTGTAACACTCACCGCGAAGGTCTGCAGCTTCACTCCTGAGCCAGCAAGACCACAAACCCACCAGAAGGAAGAAACTCCCAACACATCTGAACATCAGAAGGAACAGACTCCAGACACGCCGCCTTTAAGAACTGTAACACTCACCTTGAGGGTCTGTAGCTTCATTCTTGAAGTCAGTGAGACCAAGAACCCACCAATTCTGGACACAATCTTATACCACAGAACTGTAAGTTCTATTCTTCTTCCAGTTTTACAAAACAGAAACAGACAAACAAACAGAGGTAATTCTCTGAAAGATGTCTCTCTCAGTCCATTTCTGCTGCAATGTACCTTAGACTAGGTAATTTATAAAACAACAGAAATGTATTGCTAGTAGTTCTGGAGGCCAGAGGTCCAAGCTCAAGGCAGCAGTAGAATCGGTGCCTGCTGAGGGCCCATGCATCATGGATGGATTCTTCTGTATGTCCTCATATGGCAGCAGTAGACTCGGTGCCTGCTGAGAGCCAATTCATGGATGGAGTCTTCTGTATGTCCTCATATGGCGGCAGTAGAATTGGTGCCTGCTGAGGGCCCATGCATCATGGATGGAGTCTTCTGTATGTCCTCATATGGCAGCAGTGGACTCGGTGCCTGCTGAGGGCCCATTCATCATAGATGGAGTTTTCTCTATGTCCTCATATGGCAGAAGAAACAAGCAAGCTCTCTCAGACATTTTTATAAGGGTACTAAACCCATTCATGAAGGGTCCACCCTTATGACCTGGTCACCTCCTAGAGACCCCACCTCTTAATGTTATTGCATTGGGAATTAGGTTTCAATGTATGAATTTTGGAGGAATGCAAACATTCAGATCAGATCTGTTTGACCTCACAGCCAAAACTGGCAGTGGAATTTGCATGTTGCTCCTGGAACATATCTAGTAATTTTCCGTCTCTATACATTTGCTATGCTGTTTCCTCTATACTGAATGATCCATACTATCCGTTTAACTTTGTATCTTTAAAGGCTTGTGTGTGTGCCCATCTATTTTGGTGAGGTTGTTACCAAAACACCATGGGTTTGGTCTAAGTCCTGCTGCTCACTGCACAGAAAGCCAATCACTGAGATGGTGAGTGTTTCCAGGGAAGAAGCTTTCATCTGGTGCTGCAGCTGAGGAGATGGGAGCTCAGCCTCAAATCCATCGCCCTGACTGACTAAAAATGGGGTTTTATACAACAGGCAAGAAATGTAACAATGTGTAGGAAACACGAACTAGGGAGGAACAAGGAGGTCTCATCTGGTGAGTTTCAGTTCTTTAATGCTTTTTTTTTTTTTTTTGGAGAGGCCTGAAGGTCCTTTCCTGAGGAAAGAACTCAGATGAAACAAATACAAGTTTCAAGCTTTAAGAGCGGAAGAGTCAATGTCTATGTTTATACAAAAGAACACGCTGTGGGAGTATTGGGCCTGCTTCAAGGTCAGTAGGATTATTCCAGAATTACACACATCGTTTATAAGCCCCTGAGTCTAACCAGTGTTTTGAGTTTTTCACTTATCTTATGTGTAGCCAGCACGCATGTAACATGAAAACATCAATTACATGTGTGTGCTTTTGCCTCTTGTTAATTTTTGTTGCTGTTGTTTTTTCAATTTAATTCACAGGCTCCAGCACAACATGTAAGATGGGATAGGAAAAGCTTTTTTCCTACCCAACAGAATGCTGAAAATGTAAATATTTTTTCTTTGGTTTACAGTAATAAGGAGTGTGATTCCTTTTTTTTTTCTACCTCTTCTACTTCTACGTTTTAAGAGCTCTGTAGCTTAGTGAGCTCCCAGGCTTATGAACACCGTGACACAACTAGTCTTGAAATGTTGCCAGCATTGTAGGATTTGCATACTTAACATGCTTATACTGCCATAAAGTATGTAAGGTGGAAAGGATATTGTCTTTTAGTGTGGGTACATAGAGCATGGCACGACTTGTTGCCAGCCTCACATCACATCTGTCTTCTGCTTTTATACTTTATATCCAGGGTCATGCAGTCAATTTTAGACATTTTAAAAAATCTTATTTCTATATTACTAAATTATTCATGGAGCCCGACTCTTCTAAGTTACTCTGGGAAAATGCCTTAGGCCTTCCAAGGACACAAAATTTTCATTCTTATAAAAAGCATTTGGCTAGGAATCAGAAGACCTACATTTTCATTCAAGAACTGGTACTAGTTTGTGTTGTGATTTTAGGCAGATCCATTATTGTCTCTAAGCCACAATGTCCTGAACTCCAAAACCATAGCATTGGCCTAGATGGTTTCTTAGGCCTCTCTTTGTGTCAGGAATTGGTGAGTTCTTGGTCTCACTGACTCCAAGAATGAAGCCACGGACCCTCGCAGTGAGCGTTACAGTTCTTAAAGGCGGTGTGTCCGGAGTTTGCTCCTTCCTCTTGTCTGGAGTTGCTCATTCCTCCTGGTGGGTTCGTGGTCTGGCTGGCTCAGGAATGAAGCTGTAGACCTTCGCGATGAGTGTTAGAGCTCATAAAGGCAATGTGGACCCAAAGAGTGAGCAGAAACAAGATTTATTGCAAAGAGCAAAACAACAAAGCTTCCACAGTGCAGAAGGGGACCCTAGCAGGTTACCACTGCTGGCTCAGGCAGCCTACTTTTATTCCCTTATCTGGCCCCACCTACACCTTGCTGATTGGTCCATTTTACAGAGAGCTGATTTGTCTATTTTACAGAGAGCTGATTGGTCCATTTTGACAGGGTGCTGATTGGTGCATTTGCAATCCCTGAGCTAGACACAAAAGTTCTCCAAGTCCCCACTAGGTTAGCTAGACACAAAGCACTGATTGGTGCATTTACAAACCTTGAGCTAGACACAGGTTGCTGATTGGTACATCCACAATCCCTTAGGGAGACACAAAGATTCTCCAAGTCCCCACTAGACGCAGGAGAGGGTTTAGAAAGTGCAAAGGCCTTATACCTGGGAAAAAGGAAAGACAAAGGGGTGGAAGGAAAAGCAGTGGCTGAAGCACAGTGGCTCATGAAAGACGAGACTGGATAGAATAGGAGCAGGTCCTCGGGCCTGGAGGATATCTTCAGACATTTGTGCCTTATCCAAAGAGAAATGGCAAGACACGGACGATGTGAAAGCCAGGGGCTGTCCTCCAGACCATGAGACCTCAGCCAGCTGCCGCCCAGAGCCAAGTTGCTGCTTTGTGTGCAGCTCTCTCCAAGTGTGGAAGAGCAGATGGGGTGTTTTTACTTCCGCCCCAAAACTTACACATTTCACTAAAATATTCCTACTCCATGCTTAGCAATGAGAAACCTTCTCTATGCCATTCTTATCCTTTTGAAATGATACCAGATGCCAAGAAACACCACAGGAGTAGGGCAAAGAAGTTGAGCTTCAAGGGCAGATGTAGTCTAAGTGTCAGCTGTACCACAAATTGTGACAATAAGCACATCACCAGGCTTCTTATTTTACTCCCTCTTCCGTGCAATGAGGCAGCTTGACTCTGGGGCTGGAAATAGTTCTCTCCTCAAGGTGGAGGCAAACGGAGTATCGGACAAATTGATAATCCACACAATCCAAATTGTAATTAGTATAGTCTTTCTCTGGTTATTGAGACAAGTTTTTCACGTGAGCTTAGCTTCTGCTTAGCATTTTAACTGTGGGAGAGGGAAAAGTCCTTGAAAGTCCTGTGACTCATTGGTAAAATAAGAACGTACTAATGAAATATGAGAAACATCGAAATAAATTAAAAGACATTAAAAATCTATTGTGTATCCTGCACTCCAAAGTCATTTTTAAATGGTAATTACACCTTTGAAGAGCATCTAATTAGTATGAAAAGAACTTTGGATGAATGTGGAGCTCTTCATCTGACTTCAGTTGATACACAGTGATAATATTCAAGACCAATTTCTGCAGCTTTTATCGCCTGACTGAGCATTGCTCTGTTTCTGAAGTTTAAAGGGATTTTCTAATCTTTTGCTTATCAGAGGCTGAGCAAAGACCTGTCATGGTTTATGGAGGTAAAAGAGAGGAGGTACAAGTATTTTTAAGTGCCCTGTGGAAAGTGCTGTCAAGTCCAGGCTGTGTCAAGCTCATGCTTTGTGGTGAAACAGGGATCTAAGCCACAAACTCCTGAAAAGAAAGTTTCTAGTCCCTTTTTGTCTGGGTCATTCAGGAGCATCGAGACTGACACACCTGGTAAGACTCCTGTTCTTCATCCCTGTCATCAGTCATGTAACACTCTTAGTGCTCACTGTGTGCCTGGCTCCGTGTTAAGTGCTATTTCAGTGAAATGTTAGCACTGT
Source organism: Homo sapiens (assembly GCF_000001405.40). Classification (NCBI taxonomy): domain Eukaryota; kingdom Metazoa; phylum Chordata; class Mammalia; order Primates; family Hominidae; genus Homo; species Homo sapiens. Next base: position 189,690,591 of record NC_000004.12, on the reverse strand, counting down.
AAAATGGTTTCAGAAAAAGGCATTTGTGGTCACTCTCAAGTAAATGCCCAAATGGTCTAACTAGCTTATTAAGCAGGATCACTCATTAAAATCTATGAGATTTGCATAAAATGCACTCTGCAGCACCGCTCTCACAGACACAATGGCAACAGCCCTTTGAACTAAGGCCGTAAGTTTCCTTAATGGGTTACATCAAAATTTAATGGCCCAGAGCTGGGCCACTTAGGTTTACTACCTGGACAGATGTGTTGAATGCTGCTAATGGGAAGACTGTAAGGTACTGGCTGTATGATACCCTGCCTTTAAATTCTGTAATGGATACAGATGCCATTGGTTAACAGTTTTTATTTCTTCCTTAACAAAAAGGGTTTTATAATAAGCAAGTCAACGATTTTTCTTCGGCAAGGACTTCAAGTACATTTCTGACCTCATCTCCCACTCTCCCTCTGTCCTTTCCATGAACGCCACGCTGGCCTCCTTGATGCTCCTCGAAAATGCCAAGCTCCTCGGGGCCACTGTATTTGTGCAGCCTCTCTTGGAACACTGTGTACATCTGGGCTCTTGGAGCAGCAAACACCGGAATGGTATTTGCCACTCAAGAGATTATTTGGGAGAAGTGCATGTGGAGGAAAATGAGAAGGGGCTGCAGGGGGCTGGGCAGGCAAAGTCTTAAAATGCAGTGCAATTCTGAGAAACTTTTGGCAAGGCTGGTAGTAGAACCCTCCAGCCCAGGCTGCCCAGCAGAGGAGTCTTTCATCTCCTCGCAGCAGGCCTGCCTTTATACTCCACCATGGTGGGTTACCGGCTGACAGTGGTAGATTTCAGGGCGGCAGCTGGCTGTTGGCCAGCCGCTAACAGTCACCAGCCCCTAGGGGCCACGAGATTTGACAAGCCCCTTCCCAGGGCCACCACGAGCTCTCTTGGTCTACAGTTCTCAGGACTGCTTCTCGTACGTTTAGCTTCTGTTAAATATCCCCTCTGTGGGGTCTGCCCTGTTCATCCCATGTAAACATATAAATAGCAACCCCTTCATTTCCCCTCACCTTCTACCCCATGTCAGTTACTGTTATCTGCTTTGTTTATTCATTGCATCAAGATACAACATACAGTCATCTGTCGATATTCATGAGAAATTGGATCCAGGACCTCCCCCAGATACCAGAATCCCTAGACGCTCAAGTCCCTGATATGCAGTTGTGTAGTATTCAGCGTAGACTATGCACATTCTCCCTATACTTTAAATCATCTCTAGATTACTGGTAACACCTACTACAATGTAAATGCTATGCAAATCGTTGTTACACTGTGTCATTTAGAGAATAATAAAAAGAAAAACTTTGTATATGTTCAATACAGTTTAAAGGGCTTTTTTTGCAAATATTTTTGACTCGTGGCTGCTTGAATCAGCACATGCACAAATCACAGATACAAAGGACTAACTGTATGTTTCCTTGTTGATGTCACGTGACCTCGCTTTAGTAACAGATAGAAGGTCTGTGTTTCCTTGTTGATGTCGCGTGAGCTCCCTTTAGTAACAGACAGAAGGACTGTGTTTCCTTGCTGATGTCACGTGAGCTCCCTTTAGTAACAGATAGAAGGACTGTGTTTCCTTGCTGATGTCACGTGAGCTACCTTTAGTAACAGATAGAAGGACTGTGTTTTCTTGCTGATGTCACGTGAGCTCCCTTTAGTAACAGATAGAAGGACTAAGTGTGTTTCCTTGTTGATGTCACGTGAGCCCCCTTTAGTAACAGATAGAAGGACTGTGTTTCCTTGTTGATATCGCGTGAGCTCGCTTTAGTAACAGATAGAAGGACTAAGTGTGTTTCCTTGTTGATGTCACATGAGCTCGCTTTAGTAACAGATAGGACTAAGTGTGTTTCCTTGTTGATGTCACATGAGCCCCCTTTAGTAACAGATAGAAGGACTGTGTTTCCTTGCTGATGTCACGTGAGCTCGCTTTAGTAACAGATAGAAGGACTAAGTGTGTTTCCTTGTTGATATCACGTGAGTTCGCGTTAGTAACAGATAGAAGGACTGTGTTTCCTTGTTGATGTCGCATGAGCTCGCTTTAGTAACAGAAGGACTAAGTGTGTATCCTTGTTGATGTCACGTGAGCCCCCTTTAGTAACAGATAGAAGGACTGTGTTTCCTTGTTGATGTCGCGTGAGCTCACTTTAGTAACAGATAGAAGGACTAAGTGTGTTTCCTTGTTGATGTCACATGAGCTCGCTTTAGTAACAGATAGAAGGACTAAGTGTGTTTCCTTGTTGATGTCACGTGAGCCCCCTTTAGTAACAGAAAGAAGGACTGTGTTTCCTTGTTGATGTCGCGTGAGCTCGATTTAGTAACAGATAGAAGGACTAAGTGTGTTTCCTTGTTGATGTCACGCGAGCTCGCTTTAGTAACAGATAGAAGGTCTAAGTGTGTTTCCTTGTTGATGTCATGTGAGCTCGCTTTAGTAACAGATAGAAGGACTAAGTGTGATTCCTTGTTGATGTCACGTGAGCTCGCTTTAGTAAAAGATAGAAGGACTAACTGTGTTTCCTTGTTTATGCCACGTGAGCTCCCTTTAGTAACAGATAAGACTGTGTTTCCTTGTCGATGTCGCATGAGCTCGCTTTAGTAACAGATACAAGGACTAACTGTGTTTCCCTGTTGATGTCGCGTGAGCTCGCTTTAGTAACAGATAGAAGGACTAAGTGTGTTTCCTTGTTGATGTCGCGTGAGCTCGCTTTAGTAACAGATAGAAGGACTAACTGTGTTTCCTTGTTGATGCCACGTGAGCTCCCTTTAGTAACAGATAGAAGGACTAAGTGTGTTTCCTTGTTGATGCCACGTGAGCCCCCTTTAGTAACAGATAGAAGGACTCTGTTTCCTTGTTGATGTCATGTGAGCTTGCTTTAGTAACAGATAGAAGGACTAACTGTGTTTCCTTGTTGAAGTCACGTGAGCCCCCTTTAGTAACAGATAGAAGGACTAAGTCTATTTCCTTGTTGATGTCACGTGAGCTCACTTTAGTAACAGATAAGACTGTGTTTCCTTGCTGAGGTCACGTGAACTCCCTTTAGTAACAGATAGAAGGACTAAGTGTGTTTCCTTGTTGATGTCACATGAGCTCGCTTTAGTAACAGATAGGACTAAGTGTGTTTCCTTGTTGATGTCACATGAGCCCCCTTTAGTAACAGATAGAAGGACTGTGTTTCCTTGTTGATGTCACATGAGCTCACTTTAGTAACAGATAGAAGGACTAAGTGTGTTTCCTTGTTGATGTCACGTGAGCTCGCTTTAGTAACAGATAGAAGGACTGTGTTTCCTTGTTGATGTCGCATGAGCTCGCTTTAGTAACAGATAGCAGGACTAAGTGTGTTTCCTTGTTCATGTCACGTGAGCCCCCTTTAGTAACAGATAGAAGGACTGTGTTTCCTTGTTGATGTCGCGTGAGCTCGCATTAGTAACAGATAGAAGGACTAAGTGTGTTTCCTTGTTGATGTCACATGAGCTCGCTTTAGTAACAGATAGAAGAACTAAGTGTGTTTCCTTGTTGATGTCACATGAGCCCCCTTTAGTAACAGATAGAAGGACTGTGTTTCCTTGCTGATGTCGCGTGAGCTCGCTTTAGTAACAGATAGAAGGACTAAGTGTGTTTCCTTGTTGATATCACGTGAGTTCGCGTTAGTAACAGATAGAAGGACTGTGTTTCCTTGTTGATGTCGCATGAGCTCGCTTTAGTAACAGATAGAAGGACTAAGTGTGTATCCTTGTTGATGTCACGTGAGCCCCCTTTAGTAACAGATAGAAGGACTGTGTTTCCTTGTTGATGTCGCGTGAGCTCACTTTAGTAACAGATAGAAGGACTAAGTGTGTTTCCTTGTTGATGTCACATGAGCTCGCTTTAGTAACAGATAGAAGGTCTAAGTGTGTTTCCTTGTTGATGTCACGTGAGCCCCCTTTAGTAACAGGAAGAAGGACTGTGTTTCCTTGTTGATGTTGCGTGAGCTCGATTTAGTAACAGATAGAAGGACTAAGTGTGTTTCCTTGTTGATGTCACGTGAGCTCGCTTTAGTAACAGATAGAAGGTCTAAGTGTGTTTCCTTGTTGATGTCACGTGAGCTCGCTTTAGTAAAAGATAGAAGGACTAACTGTGTTTCCTTGTTGATGCCACGTGAGCTCCCTTTAGTAACAGATAAGACTGTGTTTCCTTGTCGATGTCGCATGAGCTCGCTTTAGTAACAGATACAAGGACTAACTGTGTTTCCCTGTTGATGTCGCGTGAGCTCGCTTTAGTAACAGATAGAAGGACTAACTGTGTTTCCTTGTTGATGTCTCGTGAGCTCCCTTTAGTAACAGATAGAAGGACTAACTGTGTTTCCTTGCTGATGTCACGTGAACTCCCTTTAGTAACAGATAGAAGGACTAAGTGTGTTTCCTTGTTGATGTCACGTGAGCTCGCTTTAGTAACAGAGAGAGGGACTAACTGTGTTTCCTTGTTGATGTCATGTGAGCTCGCTTTAGTAACAGATAGAAGGACTGTGTTTCCTTGTTGATGTCGCGTGAGCTCCCTTTAGTAACAGATAGAAGGGCTGTGTTTCCTTGCTGATGTCATGTGAACTCCCTTTAGTAACAGATAGAAGGACTAAGTGTGTTTCCTGGCTGATGTCACGTGAGCTCCCTTTAGTAACAGATAGAAGGACTGATTGTGTTTCCTTGTTGATGTCGCGTGGGCTCCCTTTAATAACAGATAGAAGGACAAACTGTGTTTCCTTGTTGATGTCACATGAGCTCCCTTTAGCAACAGATAGAAGGACTAACTGTGTGTTTCCTTGTTGATGTCACATGAGCTCCCTTTAGTAACAGAAGGAGTAAGTGTGTGTTTCCTTGTTGATGTCATGAGCTCGCTTGAGTAACAGATACAAAGGACTAAGTGTGTATTTTCTTGTTGTTGTCAGGTGAGCTTGCTTTAGTAACAGATAGAAGGACTAACTGTGTTTCCTTGTTGATGTCACATGAGCTCACTTTAGTAACGGATAGAAGGACTAAGTTTGTTTCCTTGTTGATGTCACGTGAGCTCCCTTTAGTAACAGATAGAAGGACTGTGTTTCCTTGTTGATGTCGCGTGAGCTCCCTTTAGTAACAGATAGAAGGACTAAGTGTGTTTCGTTTTTGATGTCACGTGAGCTCCCTTTAGTAACAGATAGTACTGTGTTTCCTTGCTGATGTCACGTGAGCTCCCTGTAGTAACAGATGGAAGGACTAAGTGTGTTTCCTTGTTGATGTCACGTGAGCTCCCTTTAGTAACAGATAGAAGGACTAACTGTGTTTCCTTGTTGATGTCTCGTGAGCTCCCTTTAGTAACAGATAGAAGGACTAACTGTGTTTCCTTGTTGATGTCGCGTGAGCTCGCTTTAGTAACAGATAAGACTGTGTTTCCTTGCTGATGTCACGTGAACTCCCTTTAGTAACAGATAGAAGGACTAAGTGTGTTTCCTTGTTGATGTCACGTGAGCTCGCTTTAGTAACAGATAGAAGGACTAAGTGTGTGTTTCCTTGTTGGTGCCACGTGAGCTCCCTTTAGTAACAGATAGAAGGACTAAGTGTGTATATATCAATGTATTAGCATAATATATTTATATTATGTATTAACATACAATATTATTTTATTATATGTTACATAACTAATTAACATGATTAAATAAATGCTGTGACTTTACCTGTATATCGAATTATCTAGACTCCTAGAAATATGGTTGCAGGATGAAGACTTTACCCTTGCTGAAATTTCTGTGCCTCTCCTCCCTGCTTCCAGAAAGGCAGTGTTGGAAAATGCCTGTCTCAATGCACACTCAACAGCACTGTTTTTTGTTTGTCTGTCGTTTTTTTGAGATGGAGCCTCATTCTGTTGCCCAGGCTGGAGTACAGCGGCCTGATCTCAGCTCACTGCAACTTCTGCCTCCCAGGTTCAAGCGATTCTCCTGCCTCAGCCTCCCAGGTAGTTGGGATCACAGGCGTGCACCATCATGCCCAGCTAATTTTTGTATTTTTAGTAGAGATGTGGTTTCACCATGTTGGCCAGGCTGGTCTCAAACTCCTGACCTCAGGTGATCCACCCGCTTTGGCCTCCCAAAGTGCTGGAATTACAGGTGTGAGCCACCGCACCTGGCCAGCAGCACAGTTTTTTAATCTCTATCATTTTGATATTTAAATATATTTGTATCTTGTCAATTTATTTGCACTTTTTATTATTTGTATTTATAATAGCTTTGTTGAGGTAAAATCAATATAAAAAACTACACATATTTAGTGTACAATTTGATAAGTTTGGACATATGCATACACTGATGAAACCATCATTAAAATCAAGATTCATTATTCATGCTTTTGAACCTAGGTTTCATTTTTTATCTACTTACTGTTTCTTTTGTAGTAAACTGTCCAGTACTTGACCAGTTTTTCTATAGAAAGGGCAGTGTTTTATATGGGAGGGGTAGCTTACATCTGTAATCCCAGCACTTTGGGAGGCCAAGGCAGGTGGATCACCAGGTCAAGAGATTGAGACCAGCCTGGCCAACATGGTGAAACCCCGTCTCTACTAAAAATACAAAAATTAGCCAGGCGTGGTGGCGGGCGCTTGTAATCCCAGCTACTTGGGAGGCTGAGGCAGGAGAATTGCTTGAATCCGGGAGGTGGAGGTTGCAGTGAGCCGAGATCGCGCCACTGCACTCCAGCCTGGGCGACAGAGCGAGACTCTGTCTCAAAAAAGGGCAGTGTTTTTATTAATGATTTCATGGTGTCAATTATACAGCTATATAGATACACACATGTGTTTGTGTATATAGTGAGTTGAATTGTCTCCCCTCAAATGATATATCCATCCGGAACCTGTGACTATGGCCTTATTTGCAAAACAAACAAACAAACAAACAAAGTCTTGCCAATGTTATAAAATTAAGGGTTTTGAAATGAGGTTATCTTGGATTATCCATGTGGTCCCTAAATCCAATAAGTGTCCTTATAAGACAAAGACAGACAAAGATTTGACACACACAGATGCACAGAGAAGGCCATGTGAAGACAGAGGCAGAGATTGGAGTGTTGCTGTCACAAACTACGGGACACTTGAAGCCACCAGAAGCTGGAGACGAGGAAGGGGCCTCCGTAGGGCCTCCAGAGGGAACACAGCCCTGCCAACACCTTGAGTTCAGACTTGGAGCTTCCGTGGCTGTGACTCTGTGAGAGAACCATTTCCAAATGTTTTGAGCCACCGAGCTTATGGCGCTTTGTTCCTGCAGCCCTAGGAAACTCTGTGAGTGAAGGTAATTGTGTGTTTCTGTATCTATCAGACTAGTCAACGTCAATGTGACTCAGTGTAATTTAACTTCACCGCCTCACATCCTTGCTGTCTGACCTAAAGATTAAAAATTCTCTCAGAACTTCTCTAGCTCTTGCTTCTATGTGGTAACTGCATTGAATTTTTTAGTACATCCCAAAAATTGAAAGATACATGGTAAGCCATGTATCTTTCCTGCCTGCCAGTTTGTCATTTTTCACATAATAAAGCAAGGTCACTCAAAGGTATTTTTTTCTTGTCTCGCTACTTGACACATTCAACCATGTTTATAAGCTCAAAGAAAAGAGATGGCCAGTTTGCTAAAATGAAAATATCATTCAATCCTGAAGATTTCATTCTTCCATAAAAATCGTCCTATGTAAAGATGACTAAGTATGATTTCAGGCATCACCTTTCATACAAGTCTTCTTCCCTAAGACCTATCCACTGCTCTTCTCCACTGTGGTTTTAATATTTTAATGTTTCCATAGCACTAGATTATGAGATCCATGAAATCAAGTATTGTGCCTCCCTGAGTCTCCAGGGTGCAGCCCTGGCCTTGGGACATAACCACTGCTTAGTAAGTGCTTATAAGATAAATCCTCAAAACCTTGAAATGAATTAAGTGCTTGTCCATTAAAACATCCCCCTACGTTGGGGGACTAAATTCAGACTACTATATAGTTAGGAAGAGCACAAATGCAAATACATGGGGTCATAGGTAATTTGTTTCTTCAAAGACCATGTAGACTTCTCTTTGGCAATTGCAAGGGAAATTCTATCAATCATAGTCCACACATGGATATAAGCCATAAGTAACTCTTTTCCATGCTTGCTTAGCACAAAGCCTTATATACTCTAGATTTGGGGTTATGTTTTTTTTTTACAGTAATATATGTAAAGCAATGTCACAAACCTGAGCACCTCACGCATGCAATTTAAACACTGGAAACCAACTATGTGGAGAGTATAGCAATGGTTTGACTCTGAGGTAAGAAGCACGGTGAAAGAACTGGAAATAAACCCTGCATCTGAGCTTTATGAAGAAGCGATTATAATCAATACCAAAATGAAAAAAAGAAACATCAACAGCTACTGTGAACCAAGGTCTTCACAGTTTTGCTTCTTTCCACTAATCTTCCGAAGAGGTTATTTTGAGACGATATGTTCAAAACACTATAAGCCATTCTTCTCCAAGAAGTGGTGACAATTACTTTGCTTCTTGCTTCCCACTCCTAAAAGGGAAATTTAATCAAGATTGTCAGTTCTTACAAGAAAAAGGGAAAACGCACACACACGTTCAAGCTCTACTTCTATAATCAAATAAAACCATCAAGAATTAATCAAAACTTGACTCGAAGCCCTTCCAGAACTGCAAAGCTCACATGGCATCCCAGAGATAGATGATACCATGATCTTTGATGTACACAGTGGAGCATTTGATAAAATGGTGATGTTTTTCTGCCATAAGTGGTATAATTACGCTATGCATCATATGCATCCATTTAATAATATCCCTGTTCACAGTCAGCCAGGCATTTCTCACAAGCTGGCATCTTCACAGGCCACTTGTTCTGCTGATTCCACTTTCTTCTGTAGCTGGGCAGGCTGCAGCCCCTGTTTTTTCCCTTACCAGGCAAACTAATGATCTAGTGCTTTCTTGCGTGTTGAGGTTAATAGATAACTAATATATTTCAGCACATTCATTATAGCCAGTTTTCCCCTAAGAAAAAATTGCACATTTGGGTCTTCTGCCTTGACAAATGTGGTGCTTCATCTTGAAAGTTGATTAAAATCAATACCTCTGTAGAAAATTACACGCAAAATGTATTAGTATCCAGTATATTCTGATAAGAATGCTTCTCATTCATAACTCTGATACCAACCCGCCCACCGCAAACAAAACAAAACAAAACAAAACAAAACAAAACAAAACAAAAAATAAAAGAAACACACACACACATGCTAAAACTGGATGTGAGCACTCATGGGAATAACAGTGTGTTTTTAACCAACAATAAAACTAAAAATTACTCATCAGTTAAACCATAGCTCATAATTTAGGAGAAGTTACATTTTGAAGTCCTGTTTTATCTCCAATTGAAATTTCAGAAGCCTCCAGAAATTCTATGGTATAAACTTTGCAATTTTAAAAATACATCATTTCAAAGCCAGCGGTCTGGAAGAAAATTGCCTATGCTAATGAACAAATATATAATTTTCACTAAACCATACAGCACACTTTCTTACATCAACTTTTTTCATCTCATCTCCTGATTCTCTCCCACAACCCATGTGTTAACCACACTTACCTTTTAACTTTTCTCCTAAAATATTAAGCCTTTTCCAAACAGTTTTGCTAGACAAAAATCCCTATTCATCTTTCAAGGTCTAGCTCAAGTGTTGCATAACTGTTGTTCAAGTTACTGAGGCTGTGTAACAAACAACCTCAAGACTCAGGTGCCTAGAACAAGCCCAGATTCTATCAGTCAGAGACTTGGACAGGACACAGCAGAAATGCTTGTATCCGCTCTGTCATGTGTGGCATTTCAGATGCAAAGATCCAAAGGCTGGAGGTGACCCAAAGGCTGTTGGTTGGAATCAACTGGAAACATCATTACTCACATGTCTGGTGGTTGATACTGGTTGTAGGCTGGGACCTCAGGTGGGGTTCTGATTTGAGAACCTTCATGTGGCCTCTCCATGTGGTCGGGCTTCCTCACAGTACGGGGGTCTTCGGGTATTCAGATTTTATACATGGTGGCTCGGGGCTCCTCAGTAAGTGAAGCAGATGCCACATGATCTTGTAAGAAAGGAAAACTTTTCCTCCATCCTCTTAGGTTCTGCAGCTTAATTTGTGAATTAAACTGACAAAAGAAGGACCAATGAATGAAGAGCATACAAATTTTATTTGTTGTTAATATTTTTATATGCATGGGAACTGCAGAGAAAGAACTAAAAAAATCCAAAGAAGTGGTTACACTTAGGAGCTTACCTACCATTTTAACAAAGTACGATAAATTGTGGGGAAGCAACCAAAGAAAAGGGGCTTGGGCTTCTAGGGGCATTAAATTGTAGGAAGGTAAATACATGGGAGAAACTATTATAGAAAAGGGTTATTTAGTTAGGTTTCTTTATGTAGAGTAATCTTGATGCTGTCTCCTCTTCTTGGTATGAGAACAAGGGGACACCTTTATAATGGAAATTTATTCCTTGCTTTTAAGCAGATAGAGGAAGGGTAAACAGCTCTTCTCGCATCTTCTTTTTCTCAATTGCCTTCAGCTTAAAATAAAAATTAAAAATTTAAAAAATAAAATTTATGCAAAAGTAACATATATTAGGGTTGTATATTCTGATACTCTTCAACATTTTCTGGTCTAGCCTCCAGAGTCATTCAACATCAGCATCACTTTCTCTACATTCTGTTGGTTATAAATAAGTCAAAGGACAAATAAGACAAAAAAGTATTTGTATTGTTAATACTGAGAGGTGACAACGTGCTAGCAGCCCTCACTGGCTCTCAGCAACTGCTCTGGCGGTGCTCCAGGAGCCCTTCAGCCCACCGCTGTGCTGTGGGGGCCCTTCTCTGGGGCTGGCGGAGGCCCGGCGGCTCCCTCTGCTCCCCACCAGGTGTGGAGGGAGAGGCACAGGTGGGAGCGGGGCTGTGCATGCTCGCGGGCCAGTGCTGGTTCCGGGTGGGTGCAGGCTCAGGAGCCCACACTCGGTGTGGCCGGCCGGTGCCTACTGGGCTGCCCCCTCTGGGCTGCTGGAGTACCCAGGCTAGGTGCCGCAAAGCCTCAGGGCAAGTGTCATTGAGAGGTGAAGCCAGCTGGGCTTCTGTGTCGGGTGGGGACTTGGAGAACTTTTCTGTTTAGCTAGAGGTTTGTAACCGCATCAATCAGCGCTCCGTGTCTAGCTAATCTGGTGGGGACTTGGAGAACTTTCCTGTCTAGCTAAAGGATTGTAAATGCACCAATCAGCGCTCTGTGTCTAGCGAAAGGTTTGTAAATGCACCAATCAGCGCTCTGTCAAAATGGACCAATCAGCTATCTGTAAAACGGCCCAATCAGCTTTCTGTAAAATGGACCAATCAGCTCTCTCTAAAATGAGCCAATGAGTAGGATGTGGGTGGGGCCAGATAAGGGAATAAAAGCAGGCTGCCCGAGCTAGCAGTGGCAACCGGCTAGGGTCCTCTTCCAGATTGTGGAAGATTTGTTCTTTTGCCTTTGGCAATAAATCCTGCTGCTGCTCACTCTTTGGGTCTGCACCGTCTTTGGCGGCTGCTGCTCACTCTTTGGGTCTGCGCTATCTTTATGAGCTGTAACACCGTGAAGGTCTGCACCTTCATTCCTGAAGCCAGTTAGACCACAAACCCACCAGAAGGAAGAAACTCTGGACCCATCTGAACATCTGAATGAACAAACTCTGGACACACCATCTTTAGGAACTGTAACACTCACCGCAAGGGTCCGTGGCTTCATTCTTGAAGTCAGTTAGACCAAGAACCCACCAATTCCGGACACAATACTATTGGATGTATGTTTGTTTGGTGTTTTCTTTGGTGAGTGAGTTTGTTTGTTTGTAACTGCTAAAAGAGTAGAGAGGAATGAGAGGGGGTTGAACTGCAACATCACAGAACACCTTAAGATGTAAGATTTAGGGTGTCTAATAGGCCATCTTAATTTGTTTGTGTTGCAACTGTCCCCGATATGGGAGTATTGAGAGGGGCATCCTTTAAGTGGTGATTGGATCACAGGGGTTATCCCCTTATGAATCAATCTACTCATGGATTAAAGAACTAATGGGTTAATGGATAAATGGGTTATCATGGGAGAGGAACTGGTGGCCTTATAAGAAGAAGAGAGATCTGAGCTAACACGCTAGCATTCTCGGCCCCCTTGCCATGTGGTTCTCTGAACCACCTTAGGGCTTTTCTGATTTCCCATCAGCGAGAAGGCCCTCACCAGCTGCAGACCCCCATCCTTGGATTTCTGAGCCTTCATAACTCTAAGAAATTAGCTTTTTAAAAATAAGTCACCTAGTTTCAGGTATTCTGTTATAAGCAACAGAAAAATGGACAAAGTATGTCTTAAGTAAATCTCACAATTGCCTGTACGGTAGATATAAATAAATATTATTACTCCTATTTTACAGAAGACAGAATCAGAGAGGCTCAGCAAATGCCAGAACTCAAATTCAAGCGCAACTCTGCCTGATGGAAACTCAGGTGATTTCCACTCTGCCTCCACCTGCATTCCTCAGCACCCTGCAGTTGGTCCCCAGACTCTATGCTCCATGCTGCTTGTGTTTGTTGGTTGGCTGGTTTCGTGTTCATGTGTTCTGGCTTCTTCATTTTGGGTCTTTACATCTTTACATCTCTATAGCAGTTCTTCCCATGTTGTGTAGCAGTTGTCTCTACGTGACAGTCTGTCTTGTGAGGTCGAGTTCCCTGAAGGCAGCAAGCATGTAATTGGTAAATTCTCATCAGTTAGCCATGTCTGGAACATGGTAGGTATTCAATAAAGGTTTTTGCTCATTTAATCGACTGTTCATTAGCATTTACTGAACCTCTACTGTGTGTCCAACACCGTAGCAGGCACTGAGGATGGAGCGGTGGAGAAAAACAGGCAACACACTCTGCACTCCATCTAGTGTGCAGAAAACATGCAAATAGTCATATACACCAAAACACTTCACACAACACAGACACTGCTGTAACATGCAAATAGTCACATAAAACACTTCACACAGCAGACTGACACACTGCTGTAACATGCAAATAGTCATATACACATGAAAACACTTCACACAGCACCCTGACACCCTGCTATAACATGCAAATAGTCATATACACATGAAAACACTTCACACAGCACAGCGACACATGGCTTTAACACGCAAATAGTCATATACACATGAAAACACACAGCACACTGACACGCTGCTATAACAAATAGTCATATACACAAAAACACTTCACACAGCACACTGACACGCTATTACACGTAGATAGATACACGAAAACACTTCACACAGCACACTGACACACTGCTGTAACATGCAAATAGTCATATACACATGAAAATACTTCACACAGCACCCTGACACCCTGCTATAACATGCAAATAGTCATATACACATGAAAACACTTCACACAGCACCCTGACACCCTGCTATAACATGCAAATAGTCATATACACATGAAAACACTTCACACAGCACAGCGACACATGGCTATAACACGCAAATAGTCATATACACGTGAAAACACTTCACACAGCACACTGACACGCTGCTATAACAAATATATACACAAAAACACTTCACACAGCACACTGACACGCTATTACACGTAGATAGATACACGAAAACACTTCACACAGCACACTGACACACTGCTGTAACATGCAAGTAGTCATATACACAAAAACACTTCACACAGCACACCGACACACGGCTATGTCAGAAAGGCGTGCAGTACTCTGTGAGTGTAGGATGGTGTCGAGACTCAGGAAAGAGTTGTGCAGAAAAGGGTATGTGAGTGAGGGGTCAAGGCCGAGCATCTAGGTGGAAAGTCCCGGCAGAGGGAGCCGTGCAAGCATCCCCTCAGGCAGCAGGGACGTGGCACGACTGGGGGACCGGTGGCCCGAGGGCAGAGGCAGAGCCGGGAGTGTGCGAGGTGAGCATGGAGAGGAAGCCACTGCACCCCAGAAAAAGGCACTCCTCCCACGAACAGGAGAGTCCACAGAGATTTCTGCAAAGGGAGAAGCCATGAGTGCTCGTTCAGTGCCTACAGTGTTTGGGGCAGCTGTGCATTTTCTTCACAAATTCATTCTTTAAGAAACACTGCTCCATGCGTTATACGAGACAGAAAATCCCGGTTAATACTAACAGATCCTTAGCTCGGGATTGTCCGGAGCAGGCACGCTGTCGGCAGGGGCTGCTCTGGGGTCTGTGGTGTCAGGGGCTCCCCAGAAGCTGCAGCGCAGAAATGGGGGAGGCTGAGAGCGACTCAGGCCTCTCTGCAAATGAAGCTGAGGGGAGATACCTTTCCGATCATGCTGGTGATGAAACTCGCAGACACAAGTGACTAACCAATTGATAAGTATTGCTCACTACTCGCAGAAAATATAGATTTTTTTCTTAAAAATCATAGACAAAACACAGTTAAATAATTTAATGGTTATACCTTTCCTGACATACTATGTAACCTTGGCTTATATGCCTGGCTTAGAGATGTTTTCCAAAGTTGTGGTGTAATAAAAACATTTAAATAGTGAGTATTCCGGTGGTATTTTTGAAATGGCAGTTACCAGCAAATAAACGTCTGTTTGGACGTGGTAACAGGGAAACTACTCTGCATCCGTTCACCCCTCTCAACAGTTGATTCTCCTGCAGCACAGAAGACTTTCTTTATTTATGAAGCAAACGTCTTCTTCACTCCCAGGACTTCACCACTGGTAGGCCACCCTAGCCTGCCTCTAATCATCACTTCATCGTCTTTCACAACCTGCATTTTCCCTGCCCCTGATTTCTCATTCTGTTATTGACCTCTTGCACATTCCCCCTCTGGTGTGAATTACTTTTGCCGACTAAACTCAGGCATGGTACCAAAACTATAATTTGAGCTCACCCCCATGGTCGCAACCTCAGGCTGATCGCATGACCTAATCTCAGCAGAATCCTCCCAGCTCAGGGACCGCACTCTCAGACGGCAAGGCCAGTGATCCCTCAAATTCATCCCACGCAGGTGAAGACAGCTCTTCCCTCAGAAGACGCAGGTTGCAGCTAGCTTGAGGAGAGATCAATTCTTCCCATGCAAAGGCACGAATATCCTGTGGCTAAAGTGTATTGGAATTTCCCTCTGATTAAGTATGTTTATAATTCCATCTGCAAAAACCAGCAGTAAGCTGAACTGGAAAGCATTACCTGAGATTATATTTCCATTTTGCCCCATTAAAAAAGACTAGAATTTAATTTTATCTCAGCACAGATGCTTAAATCGAATGCGTACTTCCTTAGGAATGAAGAAATAGCAATGTATGTAAGGATAAGTAAGTCAGAATGAGAGAAAAAAACAGTTTTTAAAAAAAGTACAGGTGACTAAAGCAGCATAGGGCTAAGTAGGTTTAAAGGATGAAGACATTAATAAAGAGCTTCCTGCAGGGTTATCAACAGAAATACTTTTTCATAGAAATTAGTGGGGTTTACACACTGCATGTTCTCAGTTATAGGTGGGAGCTCCAAGCTATGCATTGAGCACACATGGACGTACACATGGGAACAACAGGCGCTGTGGACTGCGCGGGGCAAAGAAGGGAGGGGCATGCATTGAAAAACTAGCCAGGGGTACGATACTCACTAGCTGGGTGTAATACACCCATGTAACACACCTGCATGTGAACCCCCATATCTAAAATAAGAGCTGAAACTTTCAAAGAGGAGCAGTTACTTTGACTGACTTTTATTAGTAGTTGTAACTCTTTTCTTTTCCTGGAAACCTGAGTCCTAAATTGGAAGGTAGTAGCCACAGGGTACCGTAGTTCAGACAGTTTTTGAAGATAAGCAATTAAAATAGATCAGGGAATGGCTCCTTTTCAAACTTGTGAGCTAAGAATCCAGAAAGCAGGTTGTTCCAAGACGATGCTGTGAAAGAAAAAATTGGCCTTTCACTGGGGACAGGGTTCTTTCCAACCTTATGTCTGGCTCTTGTACTTTCTCTTTCATCTCCTTTGTGACCCCATGGACTCTCAAATTGAAATGAATTAAATTTATTCACATTAAGGCATTAAACTACTAATGGCTTCATGTGTTCTGTCTTCCACTGGTGTTTGTATTTGATAGAAAATAATGCCCTAAAAAATGAATGGTTTAGGGAAGCTAATGGAAGAGATGAAGGCTGGAAGGGGCAGGTTCTCAATCACATGACGTTCAGCGTGCTCAGCTACATAATCAGCTCAGAAAGGAGCCTGAACATTGATTCTCAAAGTGTGGGCCAAAGTCCCCTGGGACATCCTGAGACTTTTTCAGTGGCAACAGGAGGCCAAAATGACTTTTATAATAATACTAAGATGTTATTCGCCATTTTTACCCTCATTCTCTCACAAATATACATGAAATTTTCCAGAAGATTCATGATAGGTGACTTCATAACAGATTAAATGCAGAAACAGAATAGTAGAGTTATCTTTTATTAAGCTACACATTAAGGAGATTTGCAAAAATGTAAAACAATTTCTCTCTTCTCAACACATTTATTTGGTTTTAAAATAAATGTGATTAATATACGATTAAAATAAATTACAAAATTAAATATAATTTTAGAACTAAATAAATTAAAATAAAAATTAAATTGGAATTTAATTTTTTTTTTTTTTGAGACAGAGTCTTGCTCTGTCTCCCAGGCTGGAGTGCAGTGGCACCATCTTGGCACACTGCAACCTCTGCCTCCCAGGTTCAAGCAATTCTCCTGCCTCAGCCTCCCGAGTAGCTGGGACTACAGGTGTCCGCCACCACACCCAGCTAATTTTTTTGGATTTTTAGCAGAGATGGGGTATCACAAGGTTGGTCGGGCTGGTCTCGAACTCCTGAACTCAAATGATCCGCCCGCCTCGGCCTCTCAAAGTGCTGGGATTACAGGCATGAGCCACTGCGCCAGGCGGAATTTAATTTTTTTTAATTTTCATTAAAATGTTATTTATTTGAAAGGTTGGTAATTATTTAAAATTAACTAATAAATATTTTAAATATTTGTCCATTTCAAATCTTAGTATGATAAATATGGTTTTATATACATATTTATATAAACAAATCATAAATTTATTTATATATTTATATTTTTTACTATATATTTTATAAATATTTATTTTTATCCCATAAAAGTGAAAGCTTTTCAGGGGGTGCAACACATTTTAGATTATAAAGAAGTTCTGAGAACAAAAAGCTTGAGAACCACTAAACAGTGTTCTTATTCTGATCCTGACTGTTTTCTGTGGTTTACCTGTTTAAGACTTCTTGGTGATCTTTGATTGACATATTCATCAAATCTGCATCCCATATATTTAATAAAGACAGGAAGAGAGAGAGGGAGGCAAAAAAAGAGGAAGGAAGAAAGGAAAGGGAAGAATAGATGAAGGGAATAAAGGAAACCTAATAAACTATCCACAGGGAATGCACTGTAGGGGCCACGGGGTGTGTATTCAGTGCACACCAGGTTCACGGCCAATACCCAGCTGTGCTCATGACTGAAATGCTTCCAGCAGATGTGCTACGCCCTGGATATCTTCCACATAAACCTGACCTGTGTTCATTTCCTGAACACACTGTAGACAGATTTACTCTTAGACGTTTTGTTTGACTTACCCTTTGTTTTACGACAAAAAATGTAATTGCTGGTAGTTAAATGTAGACAGTTTTATGTGAAAGTCTGTATTTCCGTTTTATCTTGAATTTGAAAATAACTGGTAAGACAGTCACCAAGGACCTGTGACGAACAGTGGGCTGGAGCTGCGGAGCCGCTGTCCCTCGCAGCAGGGCACCAAGCACAAACGTCCCGGAGTCACCTCTGACCTGCCCCAATCTTCCCTGTTACCTACCCCGGCAGGACTCTGAGAGGAGGCTAATTGTCTCAAGATCATCTTTAAATCTCTTCGGGCACATGAGAACAATGTTCTGTGCCAACAAAAATATAAATTAAAAGGCAAAAAGTCACCCGATCACACCACACAGTGGCAGCCCTCTACATTTTGGTCTGTTTTTAGCAAGCATTTTTTCTCATGTTTAGTATTACGTACTTAGGATCATATATGATACACGATTACACAAAAATGAGGATGTTTTTGTATATCCACGAAATCACTGTATTTTCCATATTAGAGTAAGTGTTTGACATGCCATTAAAAGTGCTTTTAAACATAGTGTTCAGTCCTGCGTAATTCCCCACTGTGTGCAGGCACCATAGCTCACTCCGTGAATTCTGTCAACATTTAGGTTCATTTTTTCTTACTGTAAATAATGATGATGAACATCTTTATAAAACAGCTAGTTATACTTAGGATAAATCCTAAAAGCGGGTGAAAGAATATACATACTTTTAAAGTATTTACTATGTGTATCTTCTTTCCCTTGGATGGAAATATAAGCAGTTTTTTATTTTACTTTTTGTAAAATTTTCAATTAAAAGTTTATTTTTTCAAAATTTATGTTCTGTATTAGCAAACAGAAACAAGGAGCTAAAATTTGAATCCCTAAAGTACATTTTAAGTGTTACTTTAAATATATTAGGCTGTCTATGCTATGTGGCACAAAAACATAAAAACTGTGGACTTGGTCCAAATGCTTGGGTGGTACCATTCTTTGTGGGCTGGTGTTCTCATTTTTTAACTCCTTTTTTGCACATCCATTATTGGGACACTTCTGGACTATGATGTCAAGGTGACCATTCTAACAGGCTAGTTTTTTAACTGCAGTCTGTGGCCACATGAGAGGCTTTGTAAAAGTCCTGGATGAAATTCTCACTTTAAAAATTGTACGTCTGACACTAAGTGGACATTCAAGTGTGCTGATAATGAGTGCGGGGAAGCTTTCACTAACTGAGAAGAAGGGCAGAAATTAGCACGAAATCATGGAGTAGGTGTGGGCAGCAAGAAGCCAAGCACAACCTGAAAGAAAAGGGAACATGATTAAGCAAATCTGATCCCAGGGCAGCTAAGAAAACCACAGACGATGTTGCCACCAAAATGGACATGTGACTGATGCAATATTTATATACACAAATGTAAAGCAGAATTTGCATTCTATCATCTTCAGGTTAGGCATGGATCAACCCCAAAACAAGGATTCTATGCTACAGACTTAGGAGAAAACCTTACCATAAGAAAAACTACTTCAAAGTCATCTGGACTAACAATCTGATCCTCATGGCTAATGCATGCTGAACAGAACACAGGGCAGCAAAAATTGACCCCAGAGAAGGAAGGAAGAGGGAACGGGAAAGGAGAGTTTGGTTATCATTGCTCTTGGAGAAACAAGATGCATGATGTTTTATTAATAGGCACAATTCCTTTATGTAAGTAACCTGATAAAAGGTAGTAGGTTGATTTCATGCTCTGCTGAAGAGAAGTGGGATGGCTTTCTACCCTGAAGCCACTAGGGCTCTTTTAGGCACTGCATGGAGCATATTTGCTTTTTTCCTTTATATAAATTGCAAATAGCATCTTAGTCACATAAAAGAGTTGGTCCAGCTCCCTGCAAAAATGCTCTGTTATGTCCAGTGTGCATTTCATATATTTCACATGCTCCAGGGGCTGTCAGCTCATGCAGTCATATCCAACATTGACATTGACTATGGCAGTCACAGTGACAGCAGTTTTGTTCTTTCATGCCATTTGGTACTCCACAATGCACTACTTAACCCAAGACAATTTTCAGGTTTCACTGATATCTTTGAATCCCCTTAGAAAGAGGAAACCTCCCTAAAAAGATCTTAGGACATGCAACCAAGTATGAATTCTACTTAGAAAATCTTATGATATGTGACTAAGGTACATAAAATTCTCATATTTTAGCCAGTTTTATTCATCACAAAGTTTTGGAGACATAGATTCCATTGTGTTCTGATTCACAACTGCTATTTACTCATTCAATTAATAAATCTGTACTGAATGCCTAGTTGTGCCAAGTGCTTCTAGGCCCTGGTCATAAAGCAGTAAACAAGACAAACAGGACTTTCTGATCTCGTGAAGAAAACTAAACAGGGCAGACAGAGTGCCAGCCTGCCATGCAAGCACCGTGATCAGGGAAGGGCTCGCCAGAAGGCCCATGAGCGAGACCTGTAGAAGTGAGAGAGCCACCCACAAAGATGTTGGAGAAAGGATGTTGCAGACAGAGGCCCAGAGGAAGGAGCATAACCTAACACGTTTGAAGAGCAGGAAGCAGTCAAGAGAGGGTGAGCAAAGGAAGCACATGTGAGGTGGAGAAGGAAGGGGCTGGGGGCCACCAGATGGAGGGTTTTTGGTTTTTACTGATTGTGGTGAGAAGCCATTGGACATGTTTACAAAGGACTGATATTACCAGACCTGTCTTTTAACAGGATCCCTACGTAATGAATAGAAGACTAAGAAGAACCAGTGGAAGAGGGAGAACAGTTAAGAGACTATTGCCATAATCCAAGTGCAAGGTGGAGGTGACTTGGACCAGGAGTAGCAAGATGAGTGGTGAAGAGGGGTCAGGTTATGGATCTATTTGGAAGGTAGAATCACAGACGTTCTGACAGATTAAATTAAGCATAGTGGAGAAAGAAGGGAGTGTAAGGATTATCTCCTAGGTACGTGGGTATACCCATTTGGAGTTCAAGGGTAAGGTCTGGACTAAACCTTTGAATCTGGGAGTCGTCAGTGTATGGATGGTGCTTAAAGCTATGAGACTGTTTGAAATCCCTAAGGGAGTACATGCGGGTAGAGAAGATGTCAGAGGACTAGCCCCTAAGCTGTTGCAGCGTGTAAAGCACAGGGTGAACAGCAGGAACCGCAAAGCAGAGGGAGAAATGAGGCCAACGATGAAGGAAGGAAACCAAGAAGTCTGGGGTGTCATGGAGCCAAGTGAGAAAGTGTTTGAGGGTCAGGCAACAACCAGCTGTGCAAATGCTATTCATGGCTAAGTGAGAAGAGGGTTAAGAATTGATCATGGGCTATAACAACATGGAAGATATTCACATTTTGAAATGAGCAATTTCTGTGAAAGGACAGAGGAAACTGTCAGACCTAGTGGATCTGAGAGGAAAAATGAAGACAGAAATTGGAGATGGTAAATATGAAAACCCTTCCAAAGAATTCCACTCTGAAGAAAGCAGAAATAGTGCAGTAGTTTGAAAGGAACATAAGATCAGGACAGGTAGTGCCAGATGGGAAAATTCAACTGTGCATGTTGATAGGAACACTCCAGTAGAGACAGAAAAGTCGACATTGTGGGAGGTAGAAGGAGAATTGCTGGAATTCGAGAGAGACATTGGGATTTAGTGCTCCAGTTTAACTTATGGGTAACAAAAAGGAAGACAGTGTTTGGACATAGATCCAGGTGGGGGGTGATGAGGAAGTAGCAGTTTGCAGAAGCTCTCATCTTATTCTGGTTTTGGCTTAAATTTGTTTTTCTTTCAGTGACATATACCCCAAAGTCATTAACTGAGAGTGAGGATGGGAGAGAAAACATTAGAGGCTTAAGAGGAGAGAGAATCTGAAGGAGCCTCCCAGAAACATGAATGAGCGAGGGAAGGCATTAGAATGGCAGGTGTGCTAGGAGCCTACTAGCGGTTAGCGACAGGGCCAGCTGCATTGGTGGCTTAATGTGTGTGACTGTGGAGTCACACATAATTTTTGCAATTTGTAAGTTTATGTTATTTCTCGTGTGTCACTGTTGCCTGCTTTATGGTTTATAAGTCACAAATTATTTTGAAAATGAAAACACCTTAGATTTTAGTGCATTTAATGAGGCTTTTTAAAAATGTCTTTTGAACGAACAGCCCCACACTTTCATTTTGCCCTGGGCCCTGCAAATCAGGCAGCCAGCCCCGGTTAGTGATCACGAATGTAAGGGAAGAGCAATCAGCGTCACTGTGGGCTTCTCCAGCCACACTCAGCTCTGTGGAGAGCTGGATTTACAAGGGATAGAGTTGTGCCAGGTGGTTACCACGAGGAGAGAAAGGGACAGGTTTGTTGAGAATATATAAAAATGATGATTCTGAAAATCAACTGGGAGTAAATAGACCCCATCTGGCTCCAACTCAATAAAACGTATACACTATACATCAGTGTATATTGTAAGTGTCACATCATACCTCAGGGAAGGTGCATTCCCCAGGGATCCTCGCACAGGATCCAGCAGTGGCTGAGCTATCTCTCTAGTTCTTTGATAGAAGCACCTGAAATTTTACCTGCTGTTGCTGGTTACACGCAAACCTCCTGTTAGTGAACAGTTAATTACTCCCAGAGGATGCAATACCTGAGTAGCTCCCAAAGTTTCCTGTGGGAAAGTTATCTTGGAGGAGCCAGTGTATTGAACTTCTTCAGCTAACAAATTTCTTCACCATGTGCATGACTATCTCGTTACAAGTTCCCACAGGCATTCAACACATTTGCTTTCTTTATTATTTTGTTAACATCAGACCATTTCCTAACTCATTACAGCTTATCCTATTACACATTACCATATGTCATGATTACTTTTATGTGTCAACTTGACTGGGCTACAGGGTGCCCAGATATTAAGCCAAACATTATTCTTGGTATGTCTGTGAGGGCTGTGAGAGTTTCAGGAGGAGACTAACATTTAAATTGATAGAGTAAAGCCAGTTGTCCTCCTAATGTAGGTGAATCTTATCCAACCAACTGAAGGCCTGAATAAAACAAAAAGTCTGGCCCTCTTGTGGAACAAGGGAACTCCTTCTGCCCGGCTGCTTGAGCTGGAACATCACCAGTCTTTTCCTGGCTTCTGACTCAAATGGAAACATTAGATCTTCTGGGTCTTGAGCGCACTGGCTTTTGAACTGTAAATCACACCATCAGCCCTCCAGGTTCTCAGGCCTTCAGACAGGCTGGAACTATACCATCAGCTCTGCAAGGTCTCCAGACTTCAGCTTGCCAACTAGAGATCACAGGACTTCTCAGCCTCTATAACTGTGGCAGCCAATTCCCTACAAATAATCTCTCTCTACACACACACACACACACACACACACACACACACTTCTGTTTCTTTGGAGGATCCTGATTAATATACTGTTATTCCTTAGTTTGCAGTTATTACTCTCATGTTTACAGTAACCACAATGTTCCTGTATTCCTCAGCCATCATACAACTGCAGGCTGCACTCCAAATTCTCACAAGCTTAACTGGATATAACTTCACAATAAAACCCAGGTATAAGAATAAAAGGTGTCTTGCCCAAATCCCTCTGCAGAAACAGTTCAAACATCTGCTATGCTGATAGTTGCTCAACAAAAGTAATTATCATACTTTCATATTCAACAAACATAAAAAAAATTCTGTGAGAATTTTTACAATTATTAACTTTAATTCTTAAAATATTCTAGTGAATAAACCATTATTATGCCCATTAAAACATGAAGAATAAAGAGGATAAATAACTTGCTTGAGTTCATACATTTAGTATAGAGAAGAGAACATAGGATTTGTAATTAAATTCTTGCTTTTCTACTGTTACAAGTTACCTAAACTCTCTAAGATTGAATCTTTCATCCATGAAGTGGGAATAATACTGGCTACTGCAGGTAGTCATGGTGAGAATTCATGCTATTCTATATGTTCAAAGCCCAACACAGTGTCTGTTTTTTAGAAACTTAACACCTTTTCTTTGTTTCTATTTTCCTTTGTCTCTCTCTCCTAAGATCTTTTTGTCTGCCTTGTGAAAGACACTGAATTACATGGATGTCTCTGAAATAAGAATTAATATATTTTTTCAAACTCTGATTTTTTCAAAGCTGATAATTTATTCCAGGTCTCCTGTTTTGCAGGCTTGGTATTTGTTTTCTAAATCCAAATTTGAACATCCTTAGAAGCATATTCTTTCTAGTTTTCCACAGAACCCACTCTTCCCCGCTATCCACATTTAGTCCGATTCATACATTCACGTTACCTTCCTGTCCCTACAAGGTTTGGAATTTCAGCCCCTGCAGTGCATCCTATGATTCCATCACTTCAATGACTTCAGAACTTTTTGGTTTGGGCACAATGATCTAATTTTATTTTAAAACTTTGGAGAATGACACAAACAAGAGTTATTATTTTTAACAGTTCAGGAATTCATATGTTCTCATGGTCAAATCAAACTTGTTTTCTTTGCTTCACCAACAAACATTGTCACATCGGCTACACCCAAAAGCCAGAGCTCAGCAGTCATTCACAACCGTCAATATACTTATCAACTCTAAAACAATCAGGAGGCGGATTTTAAATTTACAACGAGGTACCTCATTTTCAAAGTATTATAAAATCTGTTCTGTAAGTCATGTGTGGTGTCTTTTTTTTCTCTTTCTTTTCTCTGGAGTGCCTTCAAAATAAACATTGTAATTTGAGATGTGGACCACATAAAATGGACCAAATGATAAGATAATGGGCAAAAGCATTTCCAAAGTGAGACCAGCTGTCGACCTTGTCTTCAGAAGGGAGGTTCTGGCAAACTTCCATTGGCCCCCAGCCTAGTTTTGTTTCAAACTGATTAGCAAACTTTCTAGTCAATCAATCCTGTCCCAAATTAAGTTGCTGGTAAGAAAAAAGGAGCAGCCTGATTTGCATTACAAAGCTCTCAGGCATCTAAGAGTTGAGATGTGACTATCCTGAGGCTCCTTCATGCTGAGTAAAAGCAAAGGCTTCTCTTCTCTCCAAGTCAAGAGGAAGAGACAAGTAAGCCCAGAGCACTTTAACCTACTGAGGAATAGGTTAAAACTGAGCATTCAGATGTTTCTGTATTTGTGGGCAGATGTAAGTGAATAGTTTTTACATAAGCTGCATTTCTATTTTCACAAATACCTTCACTAGTAAATTTTCACCTAGTTCGAATAGATTTCTGGTGTTCTGAGCACAACAGTCTTTACCTATTACCCTTCTAAAAGCTAAGGTGACACCAATTAAATTAAGGGTGACTGATAATTCTCTTTTATTACTACATCTGTATTCCTATTTATATACTTTTCATTAATGCTCTTGGAGTCAATTAAACATATTAGTTTAAGCTTTTATATTTTATAATGTTTCAAGAATTATGATGTGAGTTAGAACATATTCCAATCCACAGGACAACAATACTGAAATAAAATTCCCTCTTTCTCCAGTTTTCCGGAGATTTTATGAAAATTGAATTTTATTTCAAGTTACTGCCTGAAAGTGTATTATTACCAGAGTAACAGACAAAACTGTAGCCTTAGAGCATATAGGAAAATTTGTGTTAAACATGAGGTGACAATGTGCTGGAGCCCTAGCGGCCCTCGCTGGCTCTTGGTGCCTCCTCGGCCTCGGCGCCCACTCGGGCTGCATTTGAGGAGCCCTTCAGCCCACCACTGCACTGTAGGGGCCCCTCTCTGGGCTGGCCGAGGCCACAGCCAGCTCCCTCTGCTGTGGACAGGTGTGGAGGGAGAGGCGTCAGCGGGAACAGGGGCTGCTGCGCACGGGCGGGAACCGGGTCTGCTGTGGGCGTGGGCTTGGCAGGCCCCCGCACTCCCGCACTCGGAGCGACTGGCCAGCACCGCTGGCCCCAGAGAGTAAGGGGCTTGGCACCTGGGCCAGCAGCTGCAGAGGGTGCACCGAGTCCTCCAGCAGTGCTGGCCCACCGGCGCTGCACTCCAATTCTCGCCAGGCCTCAGCTGCCTCCCTGTGGGGCAGGGCTTGGCACTTGCAGCCTGCCATGCCTGAGCTTCCCCCCTGCCATGGGCTCCTGCAAGGCCTGAGCCTCCCCGAGGAGCACTGCACCCTGCTCCACAGCGCCCAGTCCCATCAACCATCCAACGGCTGAGGAGTGCAGGCGCATGGCGCAGGACTGGCAGGCAGCTCCACCTGCGGCCAGGTGCGGGATCCACTAGGTGAAGCCAGCTGGGCTCAACCTGGAACACTGTTTCTTCTATTTATCTCAATAACTCCAACCCCTTCTTTATACCCTATTTCAAGCACTGCTCCCCAGGAAAGCTCTCCCTGCCCTCTGCCCAGCCCGGGGCCTGTGATTATGGGTCTTCGCAGCACCAAGGGCCTCCCCCTCACTGTACACATGGGTTGCATGTTTCTATTTGTGCATGCAAATATTTGATTCAGGTCTACATCCTCCAGCCCCCTTACAGAATATACTGCTAAGGGCAGGTATGGGGTCTGGTTTTGCCCACCCCTGCGTCTCCATAACATAGCACAGTGCCTGACACGGAGAAAGGAGAAGGTGCTCCATGAACATTTCCTGACCCAATCCCTGACCAAATTCTCTAGAAGGGTTGCTGTGCTCTCATTGCACAGACATGCTGCAGGAGCACTCTGCTGTTCTCCAGAATTCTGGCTCTCCATCTCAAAATGATTCTGTGAGTGGCTGCATAATGCATCCTGACCAAAGAGTCAGGAGCCCTGCAATCCTTCAACACTTCTGCAATTAATGAGCTTTCAGACACAGGGCAAACCATTTAACGTCTCTATGTCTTCTTATATGTAAAATTGGATTTTTAATATCAGCTTTATTTACCTTACCTAGTTATTCTTCTATAACAAGAACATTAAGAGCCTGGCTTGTATTCGTTTGAGTGAGAGATTGTTGGTGTGAAAAGCATTGGTTATATGCAGTTTCTTACTTCTACACACAGTGGATTCCTACACATGTGTTTCAAAGTTGAATAACAAAGAATAATGAGGGAGACATTTCCAGAGAACTAAAAATACATTCTAAAATTCCTAATAGTGGTTAATTATGTGCTGCCTCCCTCAGATTCAGACCCATGAGGCAGGTGAGGCCTTCAAATGCACACAGCACAGGGGGCCACCAGCCATCCTGGGGATGGGAAAGGTGACCTGAGCACCTCCTTTTCCCGGCCTGACCACTCCTCTGCCCACTGCTGCAGCGGCCACAGCATTTCCACGTCTTTAGGAAGATTTGGGTGGCTGGAAACAGACATCCAGATATCGGGAAAAGCAGTTCTATCTTCTTGCCATCTGTGGTAAATTGCAAATGTGACCCCAAATGTTTACTGTTTCCTTTTTCTCCAGCCTTTGCCATGTAATTTTATAGAGGTCACCAAGTTTGACTTTGGGCTTAGCCCTGTGAATTAGTCTAGGTTCTCCAGAAAAACAGAAACAATAGGATAGGTGTGTATATATATAAAATAATATTGTTCATAATATTATTTTTATTTATTTGTTTATTTTTTGAGACAGAGTCTTGCTCTGTCGCCAGGCTGGCATGCAGTGGCATGATCTCTGTTCACGGCAACCTCCGCCTGCCGGGTTCAAGTGATTCTCCTGCCTCAGCCTCCCGAGTAGCTGCGACTACAGGCGCCCGCCACCATGCCCCGTTAATTTTTGTATTTTTAGTACAGACGGGGTTTCACCATGTTTGCCAGGATGGTCTCAATCTCCTGACCTTGTAATCTGCCTGCCTTGGTCTCCCAAAATGCTGGGATTACAGGTGTGAGCCACTGCACCCGGCCTATAATACTATTTTATAAATATATACCATATGAAATTGGCTCACGTGATTATGAAAACAGAAGTCTCAAGATAGATATGCATTTGCAAACTGCAGACCTAGGAAAGCTGATGGGCTAATTCTAGTCCAAATGCTGGTGGGCTTCCAAGGGAAAATCTGATGTTTCAGTTCAGGTCCACAGGCAGAAACACAAAACACAAAACCCAATGCCCAGGTTCACAGCAGTCCAAGCAGAAAGAGTTCCCTCTGACTTGCTCCATTCAGGCCTCCAGCTGACTGGCTGAGGCCCAGCCACATCGGGTGGGGGGGAGGGGACAACCTGCTGTGCTCAGTCTGCCAATGTAAATGCTAATCTCATTTGCAGTCACCCTCCCAGACAGACCCAGAATAATGTTGAAACAAATTTCTGGGCACCCTGTGGCCCAGTCAAGTTGACACGTACAATTAACCATCCCACCATGAGATTTGCTGTGGCCAGTGGGATGTTCGCAGATGAGATGCCAGCAGACCCTTGAAAGACTCTAGACCCGTCAGGCCACCCAGGTAGTCACTTGGGAATGCACGCTGATGGAGGTGCTTTCGTGGCCACTGTGGCAGGCGAAGGGAGTGTGGTGTCCCCTGTGCTGGTCCTTTGCAGGAGGTGACACGTGCCGCTTCCACTCATGATTCCTGCCCGACTTGCATGAACAGACTGTCTGCACAAGGTGGGGTGTTCCAACCAACTTCTACAGATCTTGTAATTGATGATTTGACATCCACTAATCACAGGGCCAAACTAATGGCCAAAGGTGCCTACATCACCCTTCAGTCCCACTTTTGAGGTAGCATAAAAGTCATATCACAAACCCTCCAGCCACAAACAAATCTGTGACTTGTTTCCTGCAGAATAAGGGCCGTCCCTACTTTGTGACTTCTCCCCTCTGTGTTCATGGAGGCTTCGATCCGTGCTTCCTGTACTCCTGCCTCCTGCCCAATCCTGGCGCTGCCTGGGCAGCCCTGTGTGGCATGCCAATGCTCCTTTTTCTTAGGAACTGTAAGAAACAAGCTCTTATTTCAAAGGCAGTTGTTCCTGTCTGTGTCTATCACTTTACCATACCTGAATTAAACAAATCCTGAACTCAAATTGTAAAACATGGGGAATGCAAGCATATTATATGAGCAGAAGGAGTGGAATATCTGTGGACAGTCCTGATGGCTCAGACCCTTAGTTCCCACAGTGTTCTGAGCACACCAGCTGATCTCTGCTGACACTGACCTCCATGCATGGCATTTGCCTGCCGTCCCTGGCACCATAGGAGGTTATGGTTGTTGAGTGCAGTCATTCCTTAACCACTTTGCTATCCTGCCTTATTATTGTCAATAAACACTATAACATATGCTAAATTTTAGCATTCTGTGAAAGAGAAAAGGTGTATGATATTGTTTCTAAGGCGGAAACCGAGACAGCAAGATCTTACTGCACCATTCTGTGGCTTCCCAGCGCCAAGTCATTCTGATGACCCAGGTCTCACACTGGCACCTTCAGAAAACCATGGTGCCAGGAAGTTAAAATCTTATTTGAATCCAAATAAAGGACATATTCAGACTCCTAGTGGCTCATGATCTGAAGTCTAAGGTTTATTCGGAATTGGCGGAGATAGCACTGGTAAATATATATGTTTTTTTAAAATGAAGGATCCAAAAATACGACATTTCCCTAAGCATTAAATCAGACTGAGAAATTTGTACCAGTGATTTGGAGCCTGGGGGTAACGAGGCAAAAACTTCATGAGCTTATTCCGGGACCCCCACCTGAGTCAAGGCCTCAAAGCTTAAGGATACAAAGTTCCAGTGACGGCTTGTTGCCAATAACAGAGAAGGCGGAATCATGAGCAAGCCGGCTGTCTGTCCACCGAACAGAGTGCTCGCAAATGCTTGGCAACACTCCCCGCCTGTGTTATTCCCTCTTTCAGCCTGGAGGGCTTTCCACGTTCACAGCGTGCATCCTCTTGACATTAAAGACATTATCCCAGGGCGCTTACCCTGAGCAAAGCTTCCTCTTCTCAGCTCCTACAGTTTGGCTGATGCTGCTCAAGAGTCCCCCACAGTCCTGGCATCTGGTTTCCTTCTGGGAGGCATCTGCCCTGCTGAAAGACAGGAGGCTGTGGAAAGAACAGATAGAACAGGATCCCCGCGGCTCTGATTCTTAAGGGAAAGCAACATGACCTTGGCTGGTGGATCGGCTCACAAGAGGCTTAAATAGAGGCCCCGTTGCTCCCTACAAGAAGTTTGGACACACTGTGATAAGGCATTTGAAAGAAAACCTTTCGAATACAGTGCAAATCTGTATCATAAACAAAAGAAGCCTTTGGTATGCCCTGTGTGCCCCTGCACAGTGCACTCAGTACATAACTACACGCTGTTCTGCAAAAAAATGAAACAGCTGGAATTTTTAATATCATGTCTGAGATTTCCTGTGAGAACATGGTGTACACGTTCTCCTAAGTTCAAGGTGCGATTTTCCTCTAATTGTTTTCAATAGTTCCTTCCACTGTTAGCATCTTTCAGAAAAATATCAGCACATTGCTTTCCCTAGAGGGAATAGAAGAGAATAAG
This sequence comes from Homo sapiens, assembly GCF_000001405.40. Lineage (NCBI taxonomy): Eukaryota > Metazoa > Chordata > Mammalia > Primates > Hominidae > Homo > Homo sapiens. The sequence goes on along the minus strand of NC_000004.12, from coordinate 189,660,487 downwards.
ATCCTATGATTTAATCTTTAAAAAGTTGAGAAACAAAAGTCAAAAACATCCAAATTTAATGCTGCCTTTTCTAGCTTATGCATGTTACGTTAATACCTAAATGATGTCCAGAAGTATTTACTTGTGTCATATTTACAAAACTGGCTGACAGAGTTTAAGAAACTTGTTTTGGCTTTTGTTATTAATGTTCTCAGGAACAATTGACATGAAAGTTCTGGTTTTCTATAAAACAGAGTTTTGACATTTTTGGAGAAACTTAAAATAGGTCTACTAGGTTCTGGTGAATTCAGAATATTCAGAGGACATAGCATGACTGATGAGGAGCATAGGATTTTGTGCCTCAGAGCACTTACCATTGATTAAAGGCCTTTAGGTTGGATTCTGACCTGGAGATAGTGTCCACTGACTTCACGGCAGTCTCTCTTCTGCAAATAGGGGTAGTGCTTTGCCTCATCCTTATGGAAATGATATAGTGGGATGTGAAAACATGTGGTTTCCCCCTCGAAGTTCTAAACATTCCAAAAGTGTCATTTACTCACTAGATCCTTAATAGATCTTCCTCCTAATATGGATTTTTAAAAAAAAAATTTAGATCACTCTTCTTTCATGATTTGAGAAGGTGTTACTTAGAGAAATAAGGCAAAAGGAAAACTTTAAGATTGACATTTGTCTAGGGTGCCTCAAACATTTCTAGAACATTAGATAGATTATCACTCGATCTCCTGTTTTGAAAGCAAATTGGTTTCTTGAAGACCCACTTTGCTGATGAGACCTGTGGAGGTTTTCATCGCAGATGTTTATTTACACGGAGAAGAACCCCTGAACACGGTGACCAGATGAAAGGCAGCTCAGGGCTGAGCTCTCGGGACTCAGCTCTGCCATCAGCCACCAGCCACATTTTCCTCTGAGTTTATGAAAATGATGCACCCTTACACTCAGTGCTACAGTTCTTGAGTCAGCATTGTGCAAGTTGATTATCCAAATTGGGCCATTCTTGTCATACCCAACTAAATCAGAGAAGACGGGTCTGAGTAAAAGGCACTCAGGGTACATGACGTCACTCTAGAAATGCTGTCGTCTGCAAGTCCCGTGGCTGAAACTGCGTGTTGTAACCAGAGACCACTTTCATCTGTAGCAGGTGAGATAACAACTGCAAATCACGGACTAGTTTTGCCCACCACGGTCACCCACCAATCAGACCTTACCAGCCCCCAAAACTTTGCTAATATCAAAGAACTTTCTCACAGGACCACAGAGGAACAGTCCTCTTTTTCCACCTTCGGACCACCCTGTCTGCCTCTATATTGTGAATCGCAATTCTTTCTTCCTAAATATTAAATTTAGAGATTCATCTCTACATTTTTAATTTGCTTTAGAGAAGGTCAAGCAGACACTTGCCAAACCCTGTGGTTTCCTTGTCACTGTGTGGCTGGGTTCGTTCCTCTTCATTTTGTCCTCACTCACAGCTTCCTTTGTCTGAAGCTTCCTTCTCACTGACCCGCTTACCTCGGGTGGCTTCTCTTCTGTTGTATCTTAAGAGGTAGCTGCTGCAAGTCTTTCTTAATTCACTGGGGAATAATGGCAGCCTCTCCAGGCCTTCTGTGTCAAGACCTCAGTCCTGGTTGGCTGCAAAGCTCCTCATCCAGCCTTGCCAGATAGTCTTGTTTTGCTTTCTTCTTCTAGTCTTCAAATCCCACTCTGATTTTGAGATTCTTTTGTTAAAGCCCAGCAGCAAGGATGGTGGAGGGTGCATTGGGTGTTTGGGTGGCAGGACAGCTGGTTTCTACTCTTGGGTTGGAAAATGCCAAGCGATTTGGCTTTGGGGAAATGACTCCCCTTTTTGGTGTGAGGGATTATTTCTAGTAAACTGTAATGAAGAGATTTCATATCAGTCAACAGAAGTGGTTCTGAGCATGATCACTAAGTGGGAGCGGGAGTCACAGGGCCTCAAGGCTTATCTCCTCCAGGGCAGTTTTATCCCTGCCCCAGGAAGGAAGTATGTGGTAATATATTTCCTGGTCTGGCTGCTGGTCGGAATTTGTGAGGGTGATTGCCAAATGAATTCTCTATATGTAATCCAGATATCAACTGGCATTTCCTGCTCCTGTGATCTAGATAAGAGAGGCCTAGCAAGCAGGCCACTTGCCGTAGGTGCCGAGTTTATGGTCCGCATCACTTTTTTATGTAGGCTGAACCTGGCCCACATGACATCTGCCCAGATATAAAATTCCACCTCTTCCTTGATTTCCACCTAAAATGTCACTCACCTGAGGCAAGGATCCATGGAGATTTGAAGGAGACATGTGAGAGTACGCTTCAGAAAGGCACGTCCTCCTAGTAAATGTTCAATACTGAGATTCTTAAATGTTTCCTCATGCCCAAGTCTGTATGTTCTACATTCTTGAGAGGGAACCTAATAAAAGGAGTTATTTTTCTCGACAAATGGAGTTTATAAAAAGGACTTTGAGATCTTTCAAAATATGATCTAATATAAGAATCACTTATTTTTGGAAACACATTTGTTTATTCATTCACAGTTACATTCATTCCTTCTAGGCTTTTTTGGTTTGGCCTCTACAGAAGAAATTATAAAACTGGTTCAGTACTGCCCCCCATCAGATACACTAATTCCCCAAATAACGGAAGCCAGTGATTTCTGCATGTGAATTGTCCAGCTTTTAAAGTCAGCCATTTGGCCGTCTGTGGCCATTTGGTGATGTGTTACTTGTGTATGGACTGCCAGGGTTACTAGTGTGGTCTCGATGGAAGGTAGCTCTTCAAGGAAGTAGTAAAAGCCAAACTGCACAAAGCAAATCCTGTAGCTGACAACAATGTGCCCAGGCTTTTCCAGATTTGCTCTAGTTATTCCAATAAGCACTATTCAAACTTATAAACAGATGAAAGGAGAAAAGAAAGGAGCCTTTAAAGACAAAAAGAGGGCTTCTTTCTGCCAGTGAAACATTTCTCAGGTAAGATCACATCATCTGCAATATGGCTTGCAAATGTGTGTTTAAGATAATTTTTGGAACAGCCTAGACCAACCAGTTAAAGTGACTAGGGGTTAAACTCCAGGAGGCACAACAGAATATATATGTCTATATATATATACATATCTTCACACCAATACACACAAAAACCTTTTATCTCTTTATTTGTTATTTCACAAACCCTAATAACTCTAAGCTGCATAATATCTCTCTTAACGATATAGGCGTTAAGAAGAAACTGCTTAGGCAGATAGTGAGGGTATGGGAATCCTCAGTAGGTTTTGCTTTTTAATGAAAAGCAGCCCCAAAATCATTGTCTAACAAAGATCAGCCTGTAAGATGGAGCTGCAGACACAGACAAGCCAGCGGCAAGCTTGCATGGGTGAAGGTCAGCAGGAAAAAGCTACCGGGACTAGGCATGTTCAAAACGGAGGCTCCATCTCCCCTTCCCTTTGCCAACCACGTGTACAGGAAGGAGCAGACAAGATGGCACCGGTCAAGTGGAAAGTCCATTTGCATAATAAGATTCGGGTGGGGTGGCCAGCCTTCTCCGCATGCCGTGTAAACCTATGTAAGCTCTAGGGAAATCAGACACCGCCCCCTCAAGCCTGCCTAAAAAATCCTGCACACTCCTTGCCGGCTGGTCTTCCTTTGGGAAACCCTCTCTCTCTCACTAGAGAGAGACTATTCTCCTTCCTCTTTCTTTTGCCTATTAAACATCTGCTCCTAAACTCTTCCTGTGTGTCTGTGTTCTAAATCTTCCTGGCACGAGACCAGGAACCCTGGGTATTTACTCCAGATAACTTTCCATATGATTTGTTGAGCCTTATACGCTAGGCGCTGAGTTAGTTACTGACTACAAACAGTTGAATTTGTTGTAATTTTCTAAAAACCTCATATAATTTCCTGTGAGCTTGACCCTTCTGTTGAAGTCCAGCTGACATTTTGGTGAGTGTTTCTCTGTGGACTGATTCACCCCGTAGATAACTAGGCAGGAGGCCTGGACGGAGCTTGGGAAGGCTCTGCCTGCAGTGGGTGTGCAATGGGAGGAAGGTTTTCCCCATGAGCCTCTTCACTTAGGGTCCATTTGAATGGGACATTTATCTCCCAGCCCATCTTCAGGGGGAATCTGCCGTTGGTGAGTGGAGACAAAGGGCAGGAGTTGGAGTCTCAGCACTGTATTACGCACCCCACCACCATCTCTGGAGCCAAATTCCCAATTTGCTTCAGGCTTCGTCTCATATTGCACGTCCCCCACACACTGATCTTCCAGGTCTGTGAAGCATCGAAAACCTTTTCCATTTCAGGGCTGTTTGTGCTGTTTCCTCAGCTTCAATTTTGCCCCTTCCTGAAGTTTCAGGGAAGTCTTCTCCGTTTAGACCTGACCGTCAGAGAGGCATTTCCTGCCCCTCTCCGTCAGTCCCATTTTTGTTTTTACATAGCGCGTTCATCAGTTTTTATTTATTATTTGTCTATTCAGCACTTTTTTTTCTGTTTGTCCTGTTTTACTTTTCCATTAGAATATAAGCAACGAGAGGACAGGGCTGGGTCAGGCTTGTTTGCTATTATATTTGCAATACTTATCTTGTAGGCAATTAATGAATGTAAATAAATTACCTTCAATGCTATGAATTACAATAGTTGCATTTGCTTCTTCACACAAGTGTCCCACGATTACCATAAGCTTGTATGTGTGTTTAGGTTCTTTTTTTCATAGCATTTCCCATAAGATGATTATCTGAGTCAATGCATTGCTTAGGGTTCACCAGAGAAACGTGTGTGTGTGTGTGCGTGTGTGTGCGCGTGTGTGTACATGTCTGTGTAGGAGGGTGAGACAGACAGAGATTTCGTTGAAGGAATTAGTTCACATGATTATGGAGACTGCAAGACCAGAATCTGTAGGATAGACCAGCAGGCTGCAGACCCAGGAAAGGGCCCACATTGCACTTCTGAAGGCCGCCGGCTGGCAGCATTCCCTCAGGACTGCGGGAGGTCAGTTTTTGTTCTATTCAGGCCTTCAACTGATTGGATGAGGCCCACCCACATTACAGAAAGCAATCAGCTTTACTCAAAGTCCCCTGACTGAAGTATTAATCATATTCCAGCATACCCTCACAGAAATGGAATAAATAACAATATGTGACTAGAACAGTGTTTGACCACCTATCTGGGTGCGACGGCCTGGGCGAGTGGTCACATAAAATGAGCCAGAATAGACAACCTGAAACTTTAATACCGACAGGCTTGTCCTGAGGCCAGGACACATCTTCATCCAGGTGGGGTGAGGGGCTTGCCATGTTCCCACAAGACCTGTGATTTTCAGCAATCCTTAAGTCTCTGAGGTTCAGATGCCTTGTGTATATAACAGGCAGATTAGTCTAAATCCAGAGATTGCAAACTGTAGCCCCCAGGCCAGATCCAGCCCCTCCTGCTTATGTGTGGCAACACAGGCTGAGAATGGTTTTTATGGATGAACATTTGGGATTAATTTGGTTCTAGGGAACTAACTTTGAACTTCCAATAAGCAAAATGTTATCTCCTCCTCAAAGGATTCCATTTATCTCTTTTGTGGGCCTGTATTATCAAAACAAACAAAAACTAAATGATTATGTTATAGTTTGAATTTTGTCAAGAAAAATGTTGTGGAAATTTATTTTATCTCTTCTTTTATTAATATCAACATAATATCTTTGATTTTTGTCTCTTGGCTCAGGAAACCTAAAACATTTACAATCTGATCCTTTATAGAAAAAGTTTGCCAACCCTTGGTCCAAATGCCTCGTGTTTTCAAGTCATGACATTCTGTGTGCCTAGGTTCTCGTGGAATGTAACACGCTACGGGGATCAGCCGTTTGGTGAGTCTGAGGTAAACCTTTTATTGGAAGAGCAGTGTCTTAGATGAAATGAGCTTTGAACGATTTGGGGAAGTAGAGCAATGGGGGGTGGGGAAAGACTTTCTGCTGCAGACAAAGGTTCCCTACATGTCTGCCCTGATCCTGCACCTTTGTGCCCTCTGAACAATGAAGACAAGCCAGGCAAACCCCAGTGATGCTTTAACCTGCAGCTCGGGACAGCCTCCACTCTGTCTCAGACTCGCCCGGCTGTGTTCTGGCTTCTGCCTGGGGTTCAGCCACGGGCTCACCTGTCCTTGCAGCAGAACCTCTGTCTTTGGAGTTGGTGCTGGTCTTTGAGTCATTTCTTTGCCTGTGATTCAGTCAAGCCTGGTTGGATTCAGACCAGCATGAAGGGTCCGACTGCTCCTAATTCTCCCTCCCAGCTGGGCCTGCTTCAAATCCTCCAGCATTCAGCCCAGCAAACCATGATCTAGCCCAACGCTCCCTCTGGGCATGTGCCTCTCCAAGATGCCGCAGGCAGAGGAAGCTGAAAGGCTGAGTGAGCCTCCCATTTGAATGTCTGCTTTTTCTAGGGCAAGCTGTTCTTTTCCATACCTTGTTTGTAAGACAGAGAAGGGGTCCGCCTGAATTGTACCGGGCACTGTGTTAGCGCTCCATGCAGATGGGCCAGGTTGCTTTCACTCTTCTGAGATTAACAGTTGCACTTCTTAATAACAGAGCCATTTCACAGTTTGATACCAAGCACCCATACAGACAATATTTGGAGTCAGTGAAGAGAGTTTTTGCAAATGTCTTAGAAGATAAATTAGCGACAGTGTGAGAGATCAGTTTGCACTGTGCTTCAGTTTTCCATTGCAGGCTCTTACTAACCTGATCCCATTACAGCTTTGAATTAGGAAATAAGCCTGAGGCACAAATAGCTGTGAAAGCTTTGTTTGGTTGAGGGTTTTGGAATTCGAATGCTTAACAAAAGTTTGCAAAATCCTGTGAAATTTCTTTCTTTTCTTTTTTTTTTTTTTTTTTTTGCATTTCATTTACCTTGTCTTATTTGTTCTTTCTGTTCTCTCTAGTCTTATTTTCAAATGCAATTAAGACCACCTAGTTCTGTCATTGGCTGGAATTCCCAGGAATCAGTGACCCTTTGATAGAGGTGTGTGTGCCCTGCCCAGGGGACCCAGTGGGCAGCATGAGGCTCCCCTCTCCCCTTTCTCAACCAGCCTGGAGTATGTTGGAAATAAAACAGAGAGCTAAAGAATGTGGAGAAACTGCCGGCCTGAACCCAACTAGAGTGGAAAACATCCAAGGAAGGCTGGTGGCGCTGGGAAGTGAGCTGAGTCTCTTGGGTTCTAAAAAGCTGGAAGGATTGGAGCAGGAACCCAGCCCCACACTTTCCAGCTTGTTTTGTCGACAGGAATGTTTTGCTGGAGGAAAGGCCTGAGGAGAAGTTTGATTTTCTGTAACTCAAGTAGATTTGGAACATTGCTCTTCCTTTCCATTGCAAACAGTTTTTTCTTCCAATGCTGATATTCGTTGAGATGTTTAACTCCTGTGTATTTAAAAAGGAAGGGTATAAATACATTCCGATACTAAAAACATTATTTGCAGTTAATTTAAATATATATTAGAGTAATAAAAATTCGGAAAGTGATTGTAAGCTTACTTCACATGTGGATTTAACTATGTGAATTGATCGGAAGCTGAGCTTAAATGGCAATCACTTCCTGAGTTTTGGTTGGGTATCTCTTACTCCCTAGAGCACGGTTGGTTCCTTGCTTTCAGTTCAGATTGATTTGTGCACAAGTGAACTCCTTGTCTTCCCCGTCAAGTGAGCCCCCACACAACTACTTTATTTTTTCGGTGATACCATCATTCTTTCAGTTACCTGCACTCAGAAATTGGAGCTGCTTGTCATTTCTTTCTGTGCTCTGTCTTCCATGTCTTTGCATTTCCAAATCATGTGAATGTATCCCTAGTGCCTCACTGGTGTTTCCATCTCCATGACCCCACCCTCCACCCTTATTCCCCTGGTGTTTCCATCTCCACGACCCCACCCTCTACCTCTTATTCCACTGGTGTTTCCATCTCCATGGCCCCACCCTCCACCCTTATTCCACTGGTGTTTCCATCTCCACGACCCCACCCTCTACCTCTTATTCCACTGGTGTTTCCATCTCCACGACCCCACCCTCTATCTCTTATTCCACTGGTGTTTCCATCTCCACGACCCCACCCTCTATCTCTTATTCCACTGGTGTTTCCATCTCCATGACTCCACCCTCCACCCTTATTCCCCTGGTGTTCCATCTCCATGACCCCACCCTCCACCCTTATTCCACTGGTGTTTCCATCTCCACGACCCCACCTTCTACCTCTTATTCCACTGGTGTTTCCATCTCCATGACCCCACCCTCCACCCTTATTCCACTGGTGTTTCCATCTCCACGACCCCACCCTCCACCCTTATTCCACTGGTGTTACCATCTCCGTGACCCCACCCTCCACCCTTATTCCACTGGTGTTTCCATCTCCACGACCCCACCCTCCACCCTTATTCCACTGGTGTTTCCATCTCCACGACCCCACCCTCCACCCTTATTCCACTGGTGTTTCCATCTCCATGACCCCACCCTCCACCCTTATTCCACTGGTGTTACCATCTCCGTGACCCCACCCTCCACCCTTATTCCACTGGTGTTTCCATCTCCACGACCCCACCCTCCACCCTTATTCCACTGGTGTTTCCATCTCCACGACCCCACCCTCCACCCTTATTCCACTGGTGTTTCCATCTCCACGACCCCACCCTCCACCCTTATTCCACTGGTGTTTCCATCTCCACGACCCCACCCTCCACCCTTATTCCACTGGTGTTTCCATCTCCACGACCCCACCCTCCACCCTTATTCCACTGGTGTTTCCATCTCCATGACCCCACCCTCCACCCTTATTCCACTGGTGTTACCATCTCCGTGACCCCACCCTCCACCCTTATTCCACTGGTGTTTCCATCTCCACGACCCCACCCTCCACCCTTATTCCACTGGTGTTTCCATCTCCGTGACCCCACCCTCCACCCTTATTCCTCACTGATTCAGTAATCATGACTTCACGCTGAAGTCATGACTTCCATGACTGCACGCTTTGGTGTTGCTTTTGGTGTTTCTCTCACGTATTTTAAACATTGATCCACAGAGCTTTCTTACACATTACACATTATTTTCCTCATTTTATAGATGAATCAACTGAGACACCAAGGAACTGATGGACTTGTCCAATTCACACAGATAGTTAAGGATTGAGGCCAAGACTGGTACCTAGCACCTGGAGAGCAGCCTGCCTGGCTTGCTGTTGCCAGTAGTGTCTCCTCTTCAATGGGCCATGCAGAACCTTGGCCTCGTTCACTGCTCATAGCCAGGAGCTATGGACAAAGGCATTTTATTACCTACAGGGATAAGTCCGTTTGTTCCCAGACCAAACTGAGAGTCTGGCTGCTTATTCTCGTGGCCCAATAATGAGATGCTGATAAACTGGGAAAGAAGAGAGCTTATTTCTGTAACCGGGTACAGGGAGAAGGCCTGGAAAATATTGCCAGACTAACCAAAAATTACAAGGTTTACAGAGCTTATATACCTTTTAAGCTATATGTCTGTGTGTACGTGTGCATTCGTGTAAAGACATAAGTGATTAACTTACTCTAATCTGTAACTAAGATCTGAGTTTTGAAGCCCTTCCTCTGCAGCCTCAGTAAATTGACTTAATCTAGACGGGTCCAGGTCCTGGGGGTGATTACATTTATCCTGTCTCCTGCTAAATCATGGAGGTTTGGGGAGTTCCTTTAGACCCCCAATAAAACATTTTTGTGGAAGTCTGGGGAGTTTCTTCAGCCCCCCAATAACAAGTTGTTTAATCCTAAACAGGTCCTGTTAAGAATTCCTTCATTATCTTGTCACGCTTCAAGACCTGGGAGAGGCCTGGGCAAACCTCCTGGTGGGCTTTGGTTGCATTCCAGCCTTTGTATAAGGACACTGGCTCTCTCAGCTTTCAGTATGTAGCTCAACACTCAGTCAGGGCTGAGACAGTTGTTACGGAGGCCTGCCTGTTCAGCTGTTAGTGACACCTGGCCTGCCACAAAAATCTCCTTGGTTGGCATGAAATAGCCTCTCCAATCTGTCTAATTGACTTATCTGGTCTTCTATCACTCTTTTCAGCTCCTCAGAAACTCTGCTCCAGGCAGATGAGACTAATTTTTGTCCTTCAGCTCCACCTGCACCAATCACCTCCAAATTTCTGCTCATACAGTACCCTCCGCGTAGATGCCTTTCTTCTTCATGCTCGAGTCCCTTATTTTCATGGAGCCTTTCCTGTCGGCTCACACAGATTGTGTGCTCCTGTGTGACAAGAGTGGTCGATTCCGATTGATTTGTCCAGAATTGAACTCCTTGTTTTCCTCATCGCGTGGCCCCCACTTGTTGGAAACCTGAAAAGACTACATTTCCCAGACTCCCTTATGGGTGATGTTGGGAGCCTATGACCATGTTCTGACCAGTGCTGTGTAGATGGAACGCTGGCCACTTCCAGAGTTGACCATAAGACACGACTCTCTTCTTTCCTCCTGTGGGAATCCAGGAACCCACATGTTCCAGGTGGCAGAGTTATAGTATGGAAGCAGCTCCTATCTCTGAGTTACCACTCGGAGGAGACCCACCAAGTAGGGCCACTGAAGGGACAATGACTTCGAATGAGAAAGACGTAAGTTTTATTTTAAGCCACTGAGATTTTGGGTTGCTTGTTATAGTGGCCAGCAAACATTGCTCTGACTAATTTGGCCTGCCTGCCTGGTTTGATATATCTCTCCACCTGGATTTTAGAGTTAATGATTGGCATGCCATTTATTTTTTACCTTTCTCCCTTCCCTATTTCTTTTCTCATTTTCTCCTTTCTTTTCTTCATTCCCCATTTAATTTTTTTGTTTTCTCGTTTTTTCTCCCCAGCATCTTTGAGGGCCCTATTTAATCTTAATTGAGAAACCACCAGGGAGACAAATTCTACTAATTGCAAAAATTGAATAAAAAATGGTCTGAGCTTTCAAGAAAGTGACTGTTTAGTAAGAATTTTATAGTCTAGTAGTTGCTAACAATTTAAGCTGTTTGTCCCTCCATTACTCAGTTGTGCGGGCAAAAGAAATGGTCAGAGACCAGTCACTGAATGCAGATTAGGGCTTTCCAGGTTCTCAGGACTTCACTGGTCTTGCATGATGTTGTAGGAATGGTGAGGTGGGGCCAAAATTTACTTTCTGATCAAACAGCCCATGGTTCATTGGTTAGGTAATAAATATGATTAAGCCTCTACAGCCCTATAGGCTGCAGCACAGAGGAATTACAGGTAATCTTGATTTAGAGAGTGTGTTCGGGTAAGTGTTCCAGCTTATTTGCATAGCAAAGGGTTCTGCTGGGGCCACTGACTTTGTTCTCTGTGAACTCCCAATTCTCTGGGAAGCAGATAATACAGATTCCTCTGCTCTTATCAATTTCCAGTTGCATTCTTCCAAAGCACCAGGAGATTTGTGTTTGGCCATGATTTCAGTTGGCATACTTTGGCCCTGGGGTGATTTCTCATCATTATGATGTCAGCCTCCATTTTCATGCCAATGATACAGTTATACCTGTTTTTGGTTTTTGACATCCCTTCCCTTTCTTTGTCTGGCAGGCATTAAATCATTAATGTTTCAAAATCACATACAGCTGAAACTTTGTAAAACAGCATTTCTAGTAATGAGCTCCTTAAAATTGCAGAGACAATCCAGTCCTCTCTTTTACTTGGCCTCCGCTGACCTCCAATTTCACTTCAAACGAGGATGCAGGGGGTTATCTTTGATTGATAATTATTTTTCCTGATCTCAGATGTATGAAAACCTGTCTTTTATCATGCAAACCTTGCTAGAATGCAGGTATTTCTCTCCATTACTAATGCAGGGAGATTTTCGTCATGATTTATGTCTTTCAGATTAAATTACTGGGAAACATGGCCCTTCCTGAAGGCTGGCTATCTCTACAGCAAAAATAGTTCCGACTTCGCTCCTTTGCTTTGACAGTCATGATACATCATTGCACCTCTGGCTAATTAGCAGCTTCTTCCCTGGTCTTATTTTTCCACTATGGGGATGTTTGCAAAACTTTTTTTCATGTCAAGCTTCCATCTTACCTTACCAAGCACTTCACCTAACTGCTGAAGTTTATCATTCACCAGGGAGACACTGCTGGAAACCCCCAGGAATCCCAGAGCGACTGTCACTGTATGATTTAGGAGACAGTCACGGAAAATAAGAAGAAGAACGTAAGCAGCTAACCATCATGACGTGCACAGAACTCACATACATACTCGGTGGCAGACACAGCGGTGCCCTCGGATTAGCTCATTTAATTCTTGCTACAACTTAGTGAGCTGCAATTGGTTGAGAAATCTGGTTAAGAATTTAGAGATTAAATAACTTGCTAAAGGCCATAGAGCTAAAAAGCAGCAGATATGGGTTCAAATACAGGCATGTCTGACTTTGGTCACTGTAAGGGAGTAGCTGATTCTGTTCTAACCCCAATGCCAACACCAACAGAAATGCTCACTTAAACCATGGAAAGATCATTAGACGTAACTAACAACGGGGGAAGTGCAGATGTATTTTGTGATGTGCAACCACAGATTTCAGAAGCCACTCCTATTAATATCTTATTTGTCATGAGTATAAAACTTCTAAGAATATAAGCACATTATTATATTGATTGTCACACAGAGCACAATGCAGAATTTAGTGGGGATGAATGTAATTAATCTATGAGGCTATGCCATGCCACGCCTGTGACTGGTGGTGGGGGGTCAGGAGTCTGAACAAACTGTGTGCTAAAAATGGGGAGAGAGAGAAGGAAGGAAAGAGAGAAAGAGAGAGAGAGGTGGGTACTTGTAATGTACAGAGTACAGGTCTGGCCTTCCCCTCACCCCTCAGGGCCCCTTAAGGGAAGGGGAATGGGGAAGTGAGAATGAATGTCTTCAAGAGCCCACCAGGTAGGGAATGGGAGGAATGAAGGGCCAGGGCCAGGGCCTCCCCCACTGCATGGGAAACCACACTTGCCACGGGAGGAGCTTCTCCTTTATGGATACTTTGAGACTCTGCATTATTTTCTAATTCAGGATAATAAATCCAGCTCCCTCACGACTTTCCCTCATATTATCTGCCTTTCGTAATCCCTTGTGTCATGTTACATGTCACTTCTCTTCCTAATCTCCATGCTCCAGAACCCCCCAGGAATTGTCATTTGTGAATCCTTGGTTAATTAAGTCTTTTAATGTCTTTGTTTTTATATCTCTTTTCTATTTCATAGGAATAGAACATAAGATGTTATATATATGTAATATATATAAAATTATGCTCACACACATGCCCACACATGTACTAAATGTAGGAAGCACTTTGACCTCTGCAATTGAAAAGTACTTTATGAGGTGACAGAATTTTCTGTTAGGCTTTGCTGAACCTATTCACACGTCTGAGGTGACCTATTTTTCTGACTGTGTCTCAACACTGGCACTGATATGTTTTTCCAAGGATTTTTCATTGATATTTAAAAATTATTGTTACACTCCCTTTCTGCTTTAGTAAACAGATGATAATACAGGCTTTCCTTACTATTTCAAGTCCACCATTACAACTTACTCTCCTATACTTTAAATGTAGGTTTTTGGCTGATTCTACCATATTGTGTTCCCTTAAGTAAGTTCTGGATTAATTTTTTTTCATTTGCTTTTTTCTCATAAATGTACAATGAGAATGAGCAGCTGCACGGCTTCCCGGGCATCACAGAATCTCAGCCGTCAGAGTCACCATATTCTCCAAGAACGACGTCGTCTTCTCGGTCAAAGTCACCATATTCTCCAAGAGTGACGTCGTCCTTCAGTCACCTCCTTGTGCTTCACCCCACCACACTCCTGCCTTCTTTAGCAACTGTTGTGTTTGGACGGCCCTCACGGCCTCCATAATCTCCAAGAGTGACGTCGCCTTCTCAGTCAAAGTCACCATATTCTCCAACAGCGACGTCGTCTTCTCAGTCACATCCTTGTGCTTCACCCCGCCGCGCTCCCGCCTTCCTTAGCATCTCTTCACCCCGCCGCGCTCCGGCCTTCCTTAGCATCTGTTCACCCCGCCGCGCTCCTGCCTTCGTCAGCATCTGTTCACCCCGCTGCGCTCCCGCCTTCCTCAGCATCTGTTCACCCCGCCACGTTCCTGCCTTCGTCAGCATCTGTTCACCCCGCCGCGCTCCCGCCTTCCTTAGCATCTCTTCACCCCGCCGCGCTCCGGCCTTCCTTAGCATCTGTTCACCCCGCCACGCTCCCGCCTTCGTCAGCATCTGTTCACCCCGCTGCGCTCCCGCCTTCCTCAGCATCTGTTCACCCCGCCACGTTCCTGCCTTCGTCAGCATCTGTTCACCCCGCCGCGCTCCCGCCTTCGTTATCATCTGTTCACCCCGCCGCGCTCCCGCCTTCGTCAGCATCTGTTCACCCCGCCACGCTCCCGCCTTCGTCAGCATCTCTTCACCCCGCCGCGCTCCCGCCTTCGTCAGCATCTGTTCACCCCGCCATGCTCCCGCCTTCGTCAGCATCTGTTCACCCCGCCGCGCTCCCGCCTTCCTTAGCATCTGTTCACCCCGCCGCGCTCCCGCCTTCGTCAGCATCTGTTCACCCCGTCGCTCTCCCGCCATTATCAGCATCTGTTCACCCCGCCGCGCTCCCGCCATTGTCAGCATCTGTTCACCCCGCCGCGCTCCCGCCTTCGTCAGCATCTGTTCACCCCGCCGCGCTCCCGCCTTCCTTAGCATCTGTTCACTCCGCCGCGCTCCCGCCTTCGTCAGCATCTGTTCACCCCGCCACGCTCCCGCCTTCGTCAGCATCTGTTCACCCCGCCGCGCTCCCGCCTTCGTCAGCATCTGTTCACCCCGCCACGCTCCCGCCTTCGTCAGCATCTGTTCACCCCGCCGCGCTCCCGCCTTCGTCAGCATCTGTTCACCCCGCCACGCTCCCGCCTTCGTTATCATTTGTTCACCCCGCCGCGCTCCCGCCTTCCTTAGCATCTGTTCACCCCGCCGCGCTCCCGCCTTCGTCAGCATCTGTTCACCCCGCCACGTTCCCGCCTTCGTCAGTATCTGTTCACCCCGCCGCGCTCCCGCCTTCCTTAGCATCTGTTCACCCCGCCACGTTCCTGCCTTCGTTAGCATGTGGCTTGTCTGGACCGCCCTCAGCCTCCTCCCATTTCAGCATTGTCATCATCACAGTGCTGTGCTACTTGCCTTATTTTTCTCCTTGACGTCTCCCTTGGCTGATTTTTCTTCTCTCCGAATCATTTAAACACATTTCGTCCCCCCATTTGATCCTATTCTGTCTCTTCCTCTACTTGAAAAATTCTCCCTAAAATGGGTCCTCAGGACTTCTCTCTTGAGCCTATATATTCTCTGTGATTTTTGCGCTTTATGTATACGCACCTCTGATAAAGAATTTCCTCTGAAGTCTAATCAGCAGCGTCTCCTTATGCAGTGCACCCTCTTTCTTCATCTGGGGATGGAGTGCTCGTCCACAGTAAGCTACGGTGTCTGGCTATCCAGCAGCTGGCTTCAAGCACGGGACTCCGAGGGGACTCCTCTTTGGTCTTCCCGTTATTTCACATATTTACACAGTGCAGAGGGATTCTTCCTGGTCCACGGGTCAGAGAGGAGAATTCTAGTGTACTGCATCTAGTCCTTTCACTCGTATCCAGTTTCACCTGGGCTGCTAACCCACTTCCTAATTGACATAAATGGATCCTGGCTGTGCTCATGGCTAGCTCCGCCTTTCACCTGTGAAATTTCCGTTACGGGAGTTTGTGAAGTAGCCATTTCTCGGAGGCAAAGACAGAATTGTCTCAGAAATACAGAACACTTGTTATTAGACGGGCTTTTACAATTTAATTCTTGGAATGTTGCTCTCCATTGAAGAATAGTTAATCATTGGTAGAGACATGTCAGTCGCACACTGCAGCTTATATACAGTCATGTGTAGCTTAATGACCAGGATTTGCTCTGAGAAATGTGTCCTTAGGTGATTTCGTCATTGTGCAAATATCATAGAGTGTCTTTGCATAAACCAGGATGGTAGAGCCTCTCACACACCTAAGCTGTATGATAAAGTCTATTGCTCCTAAGCTGCAAGCAGCAGGGTACTGTACTGAATACTGTAGGCAGTTGTAACACAATGGTAAGTATTTGTGTATCTAAACATAGAAAAGGTACAATAAAAATACAGTACTATAATCTTACGAGACCACTGTTGTACATGTGGTCTGTCATCGACTGAGACGTCATGGGGCACGTGACCATATCACATGTTTTAGAATCAAGATTAGACTCTAAACTTTCCAACAACCCTATTGTCCTGTTACTTGTTTCAGGGCTCAAAACATTGTTGAGGCTGTGGCATGTTTTGTGCTATATAATCTGCTCCTATTCCCTGAGATTTCTCTTGTGAAAAACTGTCCATGGCTTTGTTCTTGGGCATGCTGAGCCACAATGTGGAACTTTCCCATAATTTACTATGCCAGTCACTGCAGCCCTTCTGAGAGGCTGGAGAGAACTCTGTTTCTTTTTCTGTTGTTTTTTTTTTCTACTGATATTTTGTTAAAAATGTAGGTAGACTTTCCCATCTTAAACTGATAGCAAAAAGAAGAGGCAAATAACAGAAGGAACTATCAACCACTGTTGTTGTTTCCATTCATGCTTATTCTTTATGAAATGTTTCTGTGCATGGAGGGAAAAAGGCTCTGAGAATACAGCTAGAACCCACCGTGCCCACGGAGACACTGGCTGTTTCCTGGCATTCTCTTTGGTGGTGGGAAGCATCTTTTCCCAGATTCACCTATGGTGACACAGACTCAAGTTTGAAAGCATCAGCACTGTTTCTGTCCCAACACCTGCCTTTTTCGGGAATCACACATATTGTTAGTGTTGAGATAACACATTTTGAACCTTTATTTTTATTTTCTGTGTGCTTTTATTGCCCAGAAAGTGTGTGTGTGCGTGTCTGTCTGTCTGTCTACGGTGAGGGGAGGTGGGAAGAGGGAGAGGGCAGGGAAGGAGAAGGAAGCAAAGCAAAGCTTTGAAGTTAGTGCAAAACTAATATTTTGGGTAAAAAGCTTTTCCTTTGCCAGAGCAAATATTTGATTGCTTCAATTCTTCTAAAATAGTCTATTTTCTTCTTGTTTCAGCATCTAGTAAATTTTGGGCAGTCCTGTTTAGCAAAAGAGAATGAATCCAATCAGCATGTCTCAGAAGGTACAGCAATAGGGTTGGAGGAAAAATAATGTATGAGAAAAGTGAACTGCAGTGTGCTTTTAACTCATTTATAACAGTTAATCAAACTAAATATCTGACTGGCAAATTAACCACTTTGAAGATATTTTGTCACGAGAGTGATGGTGGCGAAAGGTACAGGTGATACCTTGTATGTGCCAATCAGCCATTTATCTTACTGGCCAGCCAGAAAATGGCTTTCATTAGTTACATAGCTTTATGGAACTAAACTCATTTCTTTGAGGTGTGATGGCACAATAAAGAGAATATTACCATGTGACTGAGGCCAATCTTCTGTTTTGCCCAATAGGCCACTTTCCGAGTGATAGCATTTTCAAAATTTGAGGTTTGTAGGGCCAGTCGCTGAGGCCGATGACTGCAGGCAGGTCCCTTTTCCTTTGTTTGGGTCAGTGGCCCCAAGGTGAGCTGTGCTGCTCTGGTTCTTGTTTGGTGTATACACGATGGCATCCTCTGTTCAGGTCTAAGGTTTCATGTCTTCACCAGTAGAAACAGGATACCTTCTCAATTTTTAAATTAGAACTGCAAGTTTAATTCTTTATCAAACCATCTAAATATGATAACCCCAATCAGTAATTAAAATTCCCCCAGTTTAAAAATTGTATTCATCCCTGAGAGGTCTGAGAAACAAAATTTAAAACAAAAATAAACAATTTAAAACTGAAAGGGAGCTCTCAGATTCTGTCTGTCTAAGCTTCTCATTTTAAAGGTGAAAACAATACAGTTATCACGTACAGCTCTAAAGGTTCTGTTGTCGGTGTTTTGTATGTGTATAATGTGGGGTGTGTGTGTTGTGTGTGTGTGTGTGTGTGTGTGTGTGTGCGTATGAACTGATTCTTGCAAGCTGATGAGGTCGTTATGATTATTTATTTATTTATTTATTTATTTATTTATTTATTTATTTGAGAAGGAGTCTCTCTCTGTCGCCCAGGCTGGAGTGCAGTGGTGCGATCTCGGCTCACTGCAAGCTCCACCTCCCGGGTTCACGCCATTCTCCTGCCTCAGCCCCGAGTAGCTGGAACTACAGGCGCCCCCCACCACACCCGGCTAATTTTTTGTATTTTTAGTAGAGACAGGGTTTCACCGTGTTATCCAAGATGGTCTCGATCTCCTGACCTCATGATCCGCCCGCCTCGGCCTCCCAAAGTGCTGGGATTACAGGCGTGAGCCACCGCGCCCGGCCGAGGTCGTTATGATTATTATTATCCCTGCCTTACAGGTAAGAAACCTAGGCCTCGAGGGGTTCATTTACCTTCCGTGGTCAAAGATCTAGCAGTGGCAGCAGCAGACGCAAGCGCAACTAGGTGTCCTCTGGAGGACTGAGGTCTCCACCACCTTGGAGGAAATCAAGACGCAGAGGAAGGAAGGCTCTTGCCAAGGCCACACAGCTGCTGGTGGCAGCAATTGCACTGAATATTGAAAATACATAAAGAGCAAAATTTAAATAAATAGCTTCATACGGGACAGACCATAATTGATCTTACTTTTCTCTTATTTATCAACGTTTAGTTTGTTTTCCAATTTTGCTGTTAGAGAAAAATGTCCAGACATCTTTTAAACAAGTCTTGGCCCAAATTTGTTTAGATAAGATTTCTAAAAGGAATAATAATAACAATTATATATATATTTTGAGATGAATCCTCACTCTGTTGGCCAGGCTGGAGGGCAGTGGTGTGATCTCGGCTCACTGCAACCTCGGCCTCCTGGGTTCAAACGATTCTCCCACCTCAGCCTCCCAAGTAGCTGGATTACAGGCATGCACCCCATGCCCGAGCCACCATGCCCAGGCAGGAATAGTAATTTATGTCCAAAGTTATACAGAGTCTTATCAAGAATGATTTTACTAAAATTCACTTTTACTAGCACAAGAATGAGCATTTCACTGTACACAATCCATATTAAATACATTTATTAAAAATAACTGAACAAGCACTCAATAATTTGAGAGGCATTTCAAAATTTGCTGTAATCTGTGTTTAAGCGGTTGTGAGATTAATTTTTGTTTTTCCAAGAATTTTTAATTCAATACCTTTATTCGTTTTTCTTTTCTTTCAAGTTTTTAAAAAATAAATCTTATGTATTAACATATTAACTCTGTGACAGTCACATTCTATGATTTTCATTCTCTCCAAATACTCTTCTATTCACCCATTCCCTGACTAGGGGTAGAGAGGTCACTTGTATGTGATGTCAGCACCTCTGCTATCCTTCCTAATGTCTTGCTCTTTGGACTTGTGGACTCACATGGATCTTGGATTATCGGAATGACAGGCCAAGAATGTAGAATGTGGGACATTATCTTGGACAGCTTCCAGTAGTTCCACTTGTTTACACACTCTTTCTTTTTGTTCCTTATGCTGCTATTATATTTTTGAAAAACTTGTACTTCATACTGTAAGTAAGTATTTGGATGCCAAGTCTATTGCCCAGTAGGGAGAAACAATGACCTATCGGATATATGTGAATATATACATATATGTATACACATATGTATTTATATTGATAAAGGAAATATCTGTGTGTATATGCTTTTGTGTATATATACATACAAATAAATATAAAATAAAAATTAATATATATCTTATGCAAACATATATTTTATAATCTATCAATATATTAATCTAAAATTATCAATTATATATCATAATATATACTGTATAAGTTAGATATATTAATTATAAATGATTACTATTTAATAAAATTATCTAGATGATATGGTTTGGCTCTGTCCCCACCCAAATCTAATCTTGAATTTTAGTTCCCATAATCCCCATATGTGGTGGGAGGGACCTGGTGGGAGGTAATTGAATCATGGGGCAGTTACCCTTATGCTGCTGTTCTCAAGATAGTGAGTAAATTCTCATGAAACCTGATGGTTGTATAAGGGGCTTTCCCCGCTTTGCTAGGCACTTCTCTCTCCTACCCCTTTGTGAAGAAGGACGTGCTTGCTTCCCCTTCAGCCATGATTGTAAGTTTCCTGAGGCCTTCCCAGCCATGTGAGTCAATTAAGACAAAAACTTTCCCTTATAAATTACCCAGTCTTGAGTATGTTTTCAAAGCAGCAAGAGAATGGACTAATACACTAGAATAGAAAAATATGAATAAATTTAATAACATTAATATACAACAATAATCATGTATACATACATATCTAAGTGTAAACATAAATATACAGTATTATTTGGGAAAACCTCTCAAACAGTGTTTCCTCTGCTCTGATACCACATATCAACAATCAACACAGAAGATTCTGGGATCCCAAATGTGTGAGGATTTTTTCCCAATGGCAAGCAAACAATCAATTCTGCAGCAGACACCAGGTGAGTGTCCTTCAATTCTATTCCAACATTATCTACCTGGAGACAGCATCAGATTCCACACGTTGGGGGCTCAGTCCCCAAGACTGCCCTCCACCCCGACACTAGTCTCCAGTCTGGGCTTCTGGAACTTCTGATCAATGGGCTTCAATTTGGGGTTCCCATGACTCCCTCTTTGGGCTCAATTAATTTGCTGGAATGGCTCACAGAACCAGGGAAACACTTACTTGCGTTTATCAGATTATTATAAAGGATATTGCAAAGGACACAGATGAAGAGATGCGTAAGTTGAGGTATGGGGGAAGAAGCAAGGAGCTTCCATGCTTTTTCTGGGCATCACCCTCTAGGAACCTCCCTGTGTCCAGGTATGTGGAAATGCCCCCAACCTTGTCCTTTCGGGGTTTTATGGAGGCTTCATGACATAGGCATGACTGATTAAACCATTGGCCATTGGTGCTCAACTTGACCTTCAGCCCCTCTCCCCTCCCAGGAGGTTGATGGGTGGGTCTGGAAGTCCCAACCCTCTAATCCTTCCTTGGTCTTTTTGGTGACCAGCCCCACCTTGAAGCTATTAGTCAACATTAGCATGCAAAAAGACAGCACTTAGAGATTCCAAGGACATTAGGAGTTGTATCTCAGGCAGGGGGAAAGCAGAAGGAAGGTCAAATATATATTTCACAGCATCACAAGTGCATATGATATAGGAGTTGAAAAGAAATTACTTAGTCAGTTAGTGAGGGTACAGAAGTCCTCAGTAAAGTTTTCCTTTTAATCAAAAGTGGCCCCCAAATCATTATTTTTCTAACAAAGAGCAGCCTGTAAAATCAAGCTACAGACATAAACAAGCAAGCTGAAAGCTTGCATGGGTGAATGTCAGCAATTGTGCCCATAGTAATGTACTACCTGGGCTAGGCATGTTCAAAGTGGTGGCTCCATTTTCTCTTTTTGCCAGCCACTGTATTGTAAGGAGCAGACAAGATGGTGAAGGTCAAGTGGAAAGTCCATTTGCATAATAAGATTAGGGTGGGACTACCAGCCTTTCCCGCCTGCTATGTAAACGTCCCACCTGGTCAAGCCAATCCATGAGCCCTTGGGAAAGCAGACACCATCTCCTCAAGCCTGCCTATAAACTCTGCTGTGGTCTGACACTGTCCCCCTTTCTGACACCTCTCTCTCACAAGGAGCTGCTCTCCTCTCTCCTTTCTTCTGCCTATTAAACTTTCTACTCCTTAACCCACCCACATGTGTTCATGTCCTTAATTTTCTCAGCACAAGAGGATGAACCCCTGGTACTTACCACTGACAATGATGCTGCTTCACACATAATGTAAATATATATTTAATAACCTACATATTTCTACATATATTGATGTGTACACACACACACACACACACACACACACACACACACACACTCAAATGTGGGCCATTACAGATGTTAATTTCTAAAAGAATGGTGCAGACGAATGCCGCGGTTGAGGAGAGAGAGTGCTTTGAGCGTGGGGCTGGACAGGCTTAGCCTGGCACGAGCACCTGCAGCCTTGCACTGAGGAATGGGAAGTCCCCACATACTGAAAATCTTCAGGGAGGACATCCTTAATAAGTTCAGCCAACTTTTTTCTGAGCATATCTTTCCCACCAAAAATCACTTTCCAAAGGTTCGTGTCAGGTAACGAACACAGCACGTTCTCGAGAGAATAAGCTAGTTTGAACTAGAGGGTTAATTTAGGTGAACAGCAGCAAAATTGTGGCGATAGTGAGTTGCGTTTTGAAGTGTTGTAATTTTTGACCTGTTAAATAGGTTTTAACCTTTGGCAGGAGTAAAGAGCCATTGGAGGTTTTTCTGGAGGAGACTGATCTGCACAAATTATTTTTGTAATAAAGAATTACATTAGAAATAGAAGTTAGATGGACTGAGACAAAAACTTGAGACAGGGAAGCCAAATGAGAGTGGGTGGCATTATCCTGGGTGAACCGCAAGGAGGGTGTTGGGGTGGCTGTGTGAGGCATCCCTAGAGGAGGGCTGGGAGCTGACTGCATGCTGGGATTCAGATGGGAAGAGTCAGTTGACTCCATGTTTTATAAGCATGTAGTTGACAGAAATAGCACAGTCAAGAAGGAACTTTGGCTTTGAGGAAAATACATGATCTATTTTGTGTAGGCAAAGCAGAGAATCAGGTGAAAAGCTATCACCTTCTTTTAACTTGTTAACAACTCTTATAAAATCTGCCAGGGACAGGGACATAAATGATGGTAATACACATAATTATTATGGGGTTTCAGGAATCTGTGTTTCTCTTTTCCCTATTAATTCTGAAATATGGCGAGGCCGTGTTCAGATTTCAAAGAAGCACTAATTCTCTCAGGTCATTCTTTACAATCTGCGGCCATATTTTTCCACTCGAGCAAACCATTTCCTTTTTACTGGATTTTCCCCTCCCTCCCTCACTCCCTTTCTCCCTTTCTTTTTCTCTCTTTCTTTTCGTCTTTCTCTTTCTCCTTTCTTTTCTTTTGGTCTTTTTTCTCTTTCTTTCTCTTTCCCTTCTTTCCTTCCTTCTTCCTTGATTCCTTCCTTCCTTCCTTCCTCCCTTCCTTCTTTTTTCTCTTTCTTCTTTAGAATACATTCAACTCTGGTTTACACGCCCTAAGAGTTAATAGTATTTAAAAGTTGATACCCTTATTTAGTCAAAATAACAGTTGGGACTGGTTTAGTTTCTAACACAGGTTTCCCTCTTGTCTCCATCGGCAATATTGGTTGAGAAATTGTCATAGTGTCTAAACTAATGAAATAGCTCTTTATGATTTTGGAGGAGACGCCCTACAGAATTTGTATCAAATGAATTGTAACTCCTAAAGGTTTACTGTGCTTTTTGGAGGTGCTATATAAATGCCAGAGCCTCAGGGCAAGACCACTTATCATCTAAGGTGGGCTGGGGAGATCCTTCAGCTATTCCTGCTTCAGGAGAAAGGAAGCTGGCTTGAATAACCCACACACCAAGGTTCATAGTTGATTATTATGTCATATCTGAAGATAGAATGTTTTGGTTTTATTTGCTAGAGTAAATAAGCAACAAAAGTGTGAAGGGGACTCCCTTTAATTGCTTCCACCCTCTACCATAGACTTGTTAATAAGACAAGAACATAAAAAAGTAAACAATATTTTAATTTCAAATTTCTTGTTAACAAAAAAATATTGGAAATTCCTACTATTGGGAAGAGAATTTCTACTTCCATGTCCTGGAAACATAACAAAGGCAAAAAAAGAATATTTGGGACAATGTTTAAGTTTTACATTTTTCCAACTTAATAATGAAGCGGTGACATTGTCTGGTGTAAATACCTGGGGTTCATTGTCTCATGCCAAGAAAATTTAGGACACAGACACTCATGGAGGAGTTTAGGAGTAGAGGTTTAATAGGCAGAAAAAAGAGAAAGGAGAATAGCTCTCTCTCCTGTGAGAGAGAGAAGGGCTTCTGAAAGAGAAAGACTGGCCAATGGCAGAGTGCGCCAAGTTTTATAGATAGGCTTGAGGAGGTGGTGTCCGATTTATGTAGGACCCACAGATTGGTTATATCAGGTGTGAGGTTTACATAGCATGAGGAGAAGGCTGGCCGCCCCACCCTAACGTTATTATGCAATTGGGCTTTCCACTTGACCGGTGCCATCTTGTCTGCTCCTTCCTGTACACGTGGTTGGCAAAGGGAAAGGGAGATGGAGCCGCTATTTTGAACATGCCTAGTCCCGGTAGGTTTTTCCTGCTGACCTTCACCCGTGCAAGCTTGCAGCTGGCTTGTCTATGTCTGCAGCTCCATCTTACAGGCTGCTCTTTCTTAGAAAGTGACTTTGGGCCTCCTTTTCACTAAAAAAGAAAACCTTTACCGAGCACTTTTGTACCCTCACTATCTGCTCAAGTAATTTCTTTTTAACTCCTATATCAACAACAGGACTAAACAATGAATTGTAACATTTTAAAGTCAGGGTTTATTAAGGTATAATTTACATATGGTGACGGGGTTCTTGATATACTACCCCAAAATACGTTACCTTGGCACTTGGGGAAATGGCAGATGCAGAAAGGTCACTCTCACCTTCCCCTTGCTCGTCTCCCATGAAACAGGTCATAAAATAACTCTCTGACCTTCCTCTAAAGTAGATAATAAAACCTTCACTTCAGGGCTGCCCTCCCTATGTCCTAGGAAAGGAACATCTCTATCCTTCAAGACACAGAGCTGTCAAGTAGAATCTGAAGACACAGGCCTTGCTCAAGTTCCCCCAATTTATTACTATTATATCAAGGCTTTTGGCCTCCAATCATATTTCTCTACTATACACTTCTTCACCAAATTTAGCATAAAAATACACAGGTTTTTCTGTTTTGTTAGGCCTTCACTTGTGAAGTCTTCACGTTATGTATAACTTGTGTTAAATAAATGTGTATGCCTTTCTCTTGTTAATCTTTTGTTTTCGACTCTCAGTTATGAACCTAACAATGAAAGAGGAAAACAAATCCTTGTCGTACTTCACGATCGCCGCAGTCATGATGCAGAATGTGTCCGTCACCCCCAATTCTCCCTGCCTCATGGCAGGCGGTCGTCTTTCCTGAGACCCAGCCCTGCAGCCACTTGTCTGCTTTCTGTTCCTAGTGTTGCCTTCTCTAGAATGGCATCTAAATGGAAACAGACAGTCTGTGCCTCGTTTCTTTCATGTAGACTAATATTTTTGATATTCATTCGTTCTTGATCGTATTAGTAGTTGTTTCCTTTTCATTGCTTCGTAGAGTTCAGGTGTATAAATGTACCAGAATTTATTCACCAGTTGATGGAAATTTTGATTTTTTTTCTTTTCCTCCAGTTTTTGGCTACTGTGAATAAACCCACTGTAATATTTGCATGCAAGTATTTATGGGTACATATGTTTTCATTTCTCTTGGGCAACTATCCAGGAGTGTGATTGCTAAGTCTTATGGGAAATATACGTTAAACTGTATAAGAAACTGACAAACTGTTTCCAAAGTGGTTATACCATCTTGCATTCCTACAAGCAATTTATGAGAATTCCAGTTACTCCTCATCCTCATCAGCATTTGGTATTTTCCACGTATTATAAATTTAATTAGTATTCTATGCATTGTTTCAAATATTATATATAACCTTGTGGGTTCTGTCCAGCTGCAGAGAATTATTATTATGGCCAATCCAAATCCTCTAGCTCAATTTTCATTATAGTTTGGAGGACAGGTTAGTGTTACGGAAATCATTATTTGCTTCTGCTTAGAGCAAAGGAATTAATTACAGCTTCTATTAGAAATTTTTTCTTCCTTTTATTAAACCAATATTGATTGATTGCCTATCATATGACAAATACAAATAACATGTGATTCCTGCCTTCTGGGAATTCATGTTCCTGTGAGGGAGGTGGACCAATAAATACAATTGCAATATAATGTGGTTCATGCTAAATCTCAGAGGAGGAATGGCTACTCAGTTCAGCATGAGGCCTTTAGGTGTTATTAGTATTTCTCATATCTAAAAGCAGAACTGACTCTGGAATGGCAGGAAAATTGTTGAAGTTCATGTGGCTGAGAGGTTTTCATTCCCCCCGACACCAAAGATGTGGTATCTTTTTCAGCATGGATTCTCCAATTCTCCAACATCAACTGAGTGTTCAATGATTCGATTCCATTCTGACACTTGGTTCCACAAGACTGTCTCCATTTCAGATGCCAGCCACAAATGGGTCACCCAGGCTACCCACATTTTTGCCTGGCTGACTACAAATCTGGAGGCTCCCTTGACATCTCCTAAATCTGGAGGCTCCCTTGACATCTCCTAAATCTGGAGGTTCCCTTGACATCTCCTTGTGCAGGTTTCAAAACTCACTAGAATGACTCACATAACTCAGAGAAAGCATTACTTACTATGATTGGTTTACTATGAAAAATGTAGCTCAGGAATAGCCACATGCGACAGATGCACAGGGTAAGGGATCAGGGGAATGTGTGTGCATGGGGCTCCCACACGCTCCCTGGATGTGCCGCCCTTCTAGCATCTTGATGGGCTCCTCAGCCTGGAGCTTCTCCAAACCCCATTGTTTATGGGTTTTAAGGGAGGTTTCATTACATAGCATAATTGATCAAATTATTGACCATTGGTGATTAAACTCAATCTCCAGCCCCTCTTCCCTTTTCAGAGGTAGGGGGAAGTCCAGCTGAAAGTTCCAACCTTCTAACCGCTTGGTTGGTTCCTCTGGCAACCAGCCCCTATCCTGAATCCATCTAGGGGCCCAGCAAGAGTCACCTCCTTAACATAGACTCAGTATTGTTGAAAAGGGCTTATTATGAGTAACAAAAGATACTCCTATCACTCCAGAAATGCCAAGGGTTTTAGGAACTCTATGCCAGAAACCCGTGTCAATGATCAAGTATATTTTCTACTATACCATAGCAAGTCTAGCTTATCATCGAAAAAAAATCATTCATGACATTTGTTAAAACAATAAGGCCGAATTCATTCAGCGGGATTATCTTGATAGGTTAAGAGACCACTGCCATGGGGTTTTACAGTAGGGAGAGAAATTGGACTCAGCTCTAAATATATCAGGGACAAGTGAGGATTTACAGCCAAGGGTGGGAGTCAGTAGGTGCCAAATTATGAAGAAAAAACCTCAGGAGTACAGGGGATTCTGTCTGAACTTATTCAGAATCCTGCAGGCACTAGAGTGCTGAGATATCACCTGGGGATGGTGGGGGAGTGAGGACATTGCTCAGAACACACGTTGAGTGCAGGAGGTTCTGGGAGGAGTGAGGAAATTGATCAGAACACTTGTTGAGGGCAGGAAGTTCTGGCTAAACTGACTTAGCAGGTTTCTGGCTCTTGGCTCTTGAGGACAAGGCCCAAGGATGAGACCTTGTTGAAAAAGTAGCTCAGAGGAGCCTGACTAGAGTTTGGTCAAGAAGAGAATCTTTGTTGCTATTTGACCCAAGGTTTATAGTCATTTGTCCCGAGTCATTTCTTCATGGTAGTCTGTGTAGCTACTGAAAATGAGTTGGTTTCTAGTTTGGCCACCAATTCTCTTAACTAAGCACAGCACTGGTAACATTTAGAAAGGGCTGGCGCATATATCCTTTCATCCGACTGTGGCACCGACTGGCATCTCCAGGCTTCTGCGTGTACTTAAATCTTTGTTATAGATTTATTATAGAACATTCCATGGTTTATATGTTTTTATACTAAAATCTATATGCTTATCTGTGTGAGTTCCTTTTGGGCAGAGACTGAATCACATTAATCTTTATGTCTTCCACTTTTAGTAAAGGGACCACCTTAATATGAGTTAAATGCAAAAATGAAATGCATCAATTTCCTGATCTCTAAAGCAGAACTAATAATTTATATGACCAGGGATCAAAATAATGTAAATGATTTGGGAGGCTTTAGTGCACAGAGAACAAGTCTGCATAACCACAGCAAAGCAAAATGTTTAAGAGCCTTGTTCTGATAATTTAGGTAAAATATATGTCTTTTGATTCAGATAATCACCTGAATTTTCCAGTTTGTTTGAATGAGAAACTTATTGAAAAGAGAGACAATGATCACAGGAATGATATTAAAAAATGTAGGGAGAGTCGTGGGGCATTTTTGTTCACTTTACAAAACAGTTTGTAATTTGAGGGCAAATCTCTTAGATCTGTGGATGGAAACATTGTCTTCAACATAAACATTTTTTTTTTTTTTTGAGATGGAGTCTTGCTCTGTCGCCCAGGCTGGAGTGCAGTGGCACAATTTCGGCTCAGTGCAAACTCCCCCTCCTGGGTTCAAGAGATTCTGCTGCCTCAGCCTCCTGAGTAGCTGGGATTACAGGCACACACCACCATGCCCAGCTAATTTTTTTATTTTTAGTAGAGACAGGGTTTCACCATGTTGACCGGGCTGGTCTCGATCTCTTGACCTTGTGATCTGCCCGCCTGGGCCTCCAAAAGTGCTAGGATTACAGGCGTGAGCCACCACGCCTGGCCAACATAAACATTTTTAATATTTATGTTTGTGTTTAATATCCAGAAAATAATATTTGTCAAAGTTATTGGCCAATGGGTTCTACTCGGTGACAACGGAATCATTCTGTTTCATGTGATTCATTTATAGAGTTTCTCTAACATAGCAGGTTCTACTTGGTGACAACAGAACCATTCCGTTTCATGTGATTCATTTATAGAGTTCCTGTAACATAGCAGGTTGTACTCGGTGACAACGGAACCATTCTGTTTCATGTGATTCGTTATAGAGTTCCTCTAACATAGCAGGTTCTACTCGGTGACAACGGAATCATTCTGTTTCATGTGATTCATTTATAGAGTTCCTCTAACATAGCAGGTTCTACTCGGTGACAACGGAATCATTCTGTTTCATGTGATTCATTTATAGAGTTCCTCTAACATAGCAGGTTCTACTCGGTGACAAGGGAACTATTCTGTTTCATGTGATTCATTATAGAGTTTCTCTGACAGCAGATTCTACTCATTGACAATGTAACCATTCTGTTTCCTGTGATTCATTTGTAGAGTTCCTCTAACATAGCAGGCGTGCTTACCACAACACTCTCTCTTCCCTGCATCTGTGCACCTGCAGGAGTTTTGAGTACAATAGAGCAGGGGCAGTTAACGTGGCATTTCCTCCTCCCATTTTTCATGAGGGTTTTGAATTTTATTAGAAGTTCGTCAGGTACTATTTTCTGATTTTTTTTAATGTAAAAGCCTTCTTTTAGATGTTTTGTTTGCTTACCTGTGCTTCCTTGCTTGATTGCGGTTCTTACTCATCAGGATCTTGAATGGGTTTTCAGAGATTTACTTTGAGATCTGTTTCTCAAGCTCACTGACACTTAGTTACTCTTGATGTCTCCCACTTTGTTAAATTTAGATGAAAATTCTCCTTGATTTGTTTTATTTTGTATTCAGTCACCCTTTGACTGAATACAAAACATTTTGAAACAAACATTTATTGTTTTCTAGGTTAAATGTTTTCTTTATTATTTTTCCTCATGGACAGGGTGCTTTGTTTCCCACTGCTTACATTGAGGGTTGAAATTCAGAACAGAAACAGTAAATCTTTCCAGTTCCACAGGAACGAGAATGGCAACGACATATATGAGGCCACGGTGGAGAAATAATGGGAAACATTTGAAACTTTAAGAATAAGACAACAGTAAGGGTTTATCACTTGTCATATTCTGTTTGGTATTGACAAGATACAACCAAAGGGATCCTCATCTGCTATGGTATATGGGAAGTTTATACACGTTAGAGGAATGAGCAGGAGCAGAATGGAGTAAAGAAAGAATTTAGGGCGTTTAGGTGTTCGGAGAAAGCAGCAGTTTTTTTTTTTGGCGGGGGGAGAAATGGCTGTTGCTTTAGGGAAGAAAAGCATGGGTTACCGCCCTCCTTGCTCCTGTGGGGTCTGGAAAAATATCAGAGAATAAACACCTTCCCATCTATTTTTTTCTGTCATTTTCTAAAGGTGACTTTATTCCATGGTAAAGAGTTAACTTATAGAATAAATCATGTCTAAGTGTTTAAGTGAAACATCTTTGTCTACTTCTCAGTTAAAATACAAAAAGAAGAAACCCGGTGTTCAAAAACAATTTCAGAACTCAAATTTACATTTCCCCTGGAACAATGAAGCTGCCATCATCCTGAAAAGTATTTTCCTGGAACAATGAAGCTGCCATCATCCTGAAAAGTATTTTCACAGGAAAAAAAGGAAGGTGGGACTAAATTTCTGGAACACAAATCAAGAGTTTATGTAACAACTAAGAAAACTGGAATATCCACTATAAACCCATCCAAAAAGGACCAACATACCAGGCTAAATATAGGAAAAAATTTCATTTAAAATTTAGAGGTGTTAGGATCAGGCCAATAAATAAGAACACTAATATGTCCTTCATAAAAAGGAAAGATGTCCATACATGACGTAATGCCTTCCACAGGAAAACAGTTGCCTTTATTGAGAGAGGTGACTTTTCAAGGCTTCTGGCGATCTTTCTCTTTTTTTTCTTTTTCTTTCTTTCTTTTCTTTCTTTCGTCTTTCTTTCTTTCTCTCTCTTTCTTTCTTTGTCTTTCTTTCTCTCTCTCTTTTTCTTTCTCTTTCTTTCTTTTTTTCTTTCTTTCTTTCTCTTTTCTTTTTTTTTCAGATGGAGTCTCACTCAGCCCCAGGCTGGAGTGCAGCGGTGCGATCTCAGCTCACTGCAACCTCTGCCGCCCGCGTTCAAGTGATTCTCCTGCCTCAGCCTCCCAACTAGCTGAGATTACAGGTGCCCACCACGATACCTGGCTAATTTTTGTATTTTTAGTAGAGATAGGGTTTCACCATGTTGGTCAGGCTGGTCTCAGACGCTTGACCTCAGGTGATCCACTGCCTTGGCCTCCCATCGTGCTGGGATTACAGGAGTCAGCCACTGCACCCAGCCGTAGTGATTTTTTTATGTGACTCGTAGTTTTGAAAAGTGCTGAAATAAAGTAAAATTTTTACTTAGCACAGAGAGGGATTGACTTTCTTTTTCTCTCAATGGTGAGTCGAGTTTCTTTGAATAGTTTTGCCTTTACCTGATTCCACTGGTTTCCATGTATTTATAATTTTTTTTGGAGTCTGGCCTTGAGAAAATTTTCAAGGTAACTAATATGCACGAAGCACATATCGATCACACTGCCAAGCATTGTGTTTGGGATGGAGAGTCACAGATGAGACGAAATGGCCTTTGGGGAACATGGAGTCTCATGGGAGCAGGAGAGGTGAAAGCAGTTGCAGCCGATGAAATTCGGGGCTGGACACCACAAAGTACGACACCTTGGCATTTGAGAAAACCACAGAAGCAGGAAGGACCCTCTGACCTTCCCCCATCCCTCTCCCCTGAAGCAGGTGATAAAAACTAGAAAAGAGGCAGGGCACAGTGGCTCATGCCTGTAATCTCAGCACTTTGGGAGGCTGAGGCAGACCGATCACCTGACGACAGGAGTTTGAGACCAGCCTGTCCAACGTGGTGAAACCCCATCTCTACTAAAAATACAAAAATTAGCGGGACGTGGTGGTGGGTGCCTGTAATCCCAGGCATGGGAGGCTGAGGCAGGAGAATCCCTTGAACTCAGGAGACAGAGGTTGTAGTGAGCCGAGATCGTGCCACTGCACTCCAACCTGGGCGATGGAGTGAGACTCCCTCTCAACAACAACAACAACAAACTAGCAAATAATTTTCTGACCTTCCCCAGAATCAGGTCACAAGATCCTCATGTGAGAGGTGCCCACCTCATATCTGGAAGTAATGAATGTCCTTGTTCTGAGGACATGAGGACAGAGAAGAATCTGAGAAAACAGGCCTCATTCAAAAAGTGTTGCCTTGGTTTGTTACCATTAGGCCCTTCCTCCTTTGTCTGATGATACTTCTCTACAGCTATCCACGATGTCACACCCAGCATCAAGATGCACAGATCACTCTGTTTCTTTGGGTCTTCATTTTCCAAGGCTCTCATGTCACATGAGACTTACTTTAGTAAATCTGTACGCTTTCCACTTGTTAATCTGTCTTTTGTTACTTGGGCTTCAGCAGTGAACCCAGTGATGGCTGAGAAAGGAAATCTTTCCTCCAGTGTCCAGGCCACTGTGATATGCGCGATGAGGGGTCTGAGTAGAGACCCATCTGAATCCCATCTCTTCATAGAGACACAAAACCTTTATTTAGAGCAAATAAAATCTCCCTAAATCTCCACTGTAACCTGAAAAGACAAAAGCTATTATGATATGGACAAAACTAAGCTCAGCAAGAAAATGCTGTTGGTGTGTCTACTTTTTCTTTGGTTTACTTTCTCATTGGAAAATGCAATATGGTTAAACACTTTTCCCCACATAATCTTTTTCTGATGTAATATTTTGTCTTCAGCCCCATGAGACTTCAAGATCTTAACATAAAGTTGAAAACCTTGAGAGAGTTACTTGTATTCCTGTGGGGTCAATAGAAAGCCTTTCCTATGGGCCTTTCTGAGGGCAAACATCTAACATCTGTGGGTTTCCAGGACCTCATGGTGTAGTCTAAAGTCTTCCCTTTTTTCTTTTTTTCTTTGAGACAGAGTCTCGCTCTGTCACCAGGCTGGCGTGCAGTGAGGCAATCTCGACTCACTGCAACCTCCGCCACCCGAGCTCAAGCGATTCTCCTGTCTCAGCCTCCCAAGTAGCTGGGACTATAGGCATACGCCAAACACACCAGGCTAATTTTTGTATTTTTAGTAGAGACGAGGTTTCATCATGTTGGCCAGGGTGGTCTCAATCTTTGGGCCTCATGATCCACCCGCCTCGGCCTCCCAAAGTGCTGGGATGACAGTGTGAGCCACTACGCCCAGCCTAAAGTCTTTTCTACCTTCATAAAGGTTTACGAAAAGCTCAGATTTTTCCACAAATGAGCTATTTGAAAGCCACAAACACAGACTAACACCTATTACAGTTGTTTGGTCAGTAAATAAAAATTACTAATAATGTGGGAATTATTATCTTTTTGACTGTGGGAGTAAGTGCTTCTCTGGTACAGGTTTCCTGTTATCTTTATGTGGGCAAAAGAAAGACATACACACACACACACACACACACACACACACACCAGTTGACTGGGATTCTGAAAACCAAAGTCTCATTGTTATTCTGACAGCCTCTTTTCACTTTCAGGGTTTTTGTTGAGATGAGGCTTGAATGTAGTGTAGGGAGGATTTCAATTGTGCAACTGTCTTTGGCTTTATACAAATATTTAACCAACAGGAAACTTCTTGAGGACAAATAAAAAAGCAAAGAGAAAAAGGTGCTGTTAGACCTTCAATAGTAAGTCAGTTTCACAAAACTATTTTTAAATTTCCTATTAAAATATCGCTCTATTTCTTAGTATATCACTTTGGCATATCTGCTTCTCTCTCTGTATTAATAAATAGCGCATATAGTTTGCCTTTGGTACTTTGTACAATGTTGTTTATCTCAGTGTAAATTGGTAGCGTGTCCACAAAGGCGATTGGAGTGTGAGGCGCGAGTCCTTAGGAGCCTGTCTGCCATCTAAGCCCTGTTAGCATTTTCCTTTACTAATGTTGGGGCGGGGGGACCTCAGAAGGGGCAGAGCAAGCATATGAAAGTTTTGTTACAGAGATGCCAGTATTTGTCCTTAGAACAGGTCCAGTTGACAAAGGCGCTGCAGGATATGAAAGATTCTCATTACAATGTCACGGCAACATGACTGAAATTATTAACTCTCCACGTGGGATGATGGATGGTATAGGGTGGAGATGTCCTTGGCAGAACATATTGCTTAATTATCTTCTTTTAGTACCAGCTTACAGTCACGTTCCTATGATCGAGTACTATTCCAAATGAATTCATAAAGAGAGAATATTTAAAGATCTTATCCAATAAAAGAGCAGATTAAATGTCAGATCTTCATTAGTGGTTCTTTAATCAAAGTTCTTTTTGTGGTTTTATGACAAATGCTTTCATTTTTGGCACTTGAACCTAAGACCCCCAGGTCTAAAAGGAACTTTTCTCATTTGAAATAAAGGAGGATTTAATGATTTTCAAAAGTAGAATTTATGGTCTGGTGGATAAGACTTATAAGTAGAATCTGGAGAGCCTTTAATTTTAGTGTTGGAATGAATGACACCTCGGATCTTTTACAGGGCTGTAAAGCCCTGTGACTTAGTTTCCCTATAGGTTAGAAACAGAAGGCCATAAAATATACGAATACTTGCAATGCTGTAGATTGGTAACATTTATCAGGCGACATCAGGATTCTTAATAGTCTGCAGTGGGCTCATGTCATTCTTAAAAAAATATAGTCACTACCTTTAAGCAAGTTACCCATGTAATTGATTTAATTAGTTAATATTTGAGAAATATTTTAGAGATGGAATGGATAATGCGATATCATTATATCCAGGCCTGCACCAAAACAGACTTTAGTAGCATTCTGGTTTTCCAGATGAGAAGTACATTTTATGAACAGGAAAAACCGACCACAGGGAGCTTCAGGAGTGCCCATCCCAGGCGGTTTCCAGGGAATCCTGAAGTAAAGTATCAGATCCAGAAACAGCATAGCTCTGCCGTGAAGGAGTTGATTCAGCAGAGGAGCGAAACTAGCCTGTTTCTGATAATACGGAACTTAGAAATAACTTTTATTTTATTTATTCCAAATAATTTATAATTTATTATTTCCAAGTGTATTTATGGTCCTGGTTATCAGATGCAAAAATAAAAATGGATAAACAAAATTTAGCTGCCAGAAACCAAGTCTATGTGTTCATATATTAGAAAATCGTATGCATCCAAAGCCAAAGTCAGGTGTTTGTCTCATCTGAAGAGTTTTTGTGTGAGAGATTATAGCCTTTAGACCCTTACGCCGGGTTCAGATATGAAGGAAATGGTCTCATAGATGACTTCTTTTTGGTCTATTAATTTGTAGACCAATTGGAACTCTTTGTAAGCAGGATACTTACGGTACAGTAATCAGTGCTGCTATTGAGGATGACTTGAGACAAAACAATACTGTGGTGGAACTCTGGATCATGAAGTCCGATGATTTACACTCAACTGAGTATATTAATTAAATTGCAACTAATGATTCTTGTTACACAGGTGTGGGTGCTTTCAAAGATCAAATAAAATAAAATAAGTGTTAATACTCAAAAAGATAATAAAATATAAAATGTTATAAAACAAATATCATGTAAGACCCTAAAATAGAAAACAGTAATCAATTGGGACCTGTTTATATTTGCATTAAGTCATTAAACTAAATCTATTTCCTTTTTTGATAGGATACGGTTCTCACAGATCAGATATAGCAAATATGGCCCCTGTGAAAGCCTCATAGTTTTTCTTTATGAACTAGCTGTAGAAATATGGGCTGGCATATAACACATTTACAGAGCTTTTAGTTCACTGGAACAGCTGTATTCGGAATGTGTTGATGAATTAATATTAGCTTTGGGGAGAATCTAGTAGTATAACAAAGGGCTATGTGATTGTTCATGTTCCATTTAATGTATGTATTTTTATCAATGCCTTCACTATAGAACACTTGAACACAGGAAGGGGAACATCACACACTGGGGCCTGTTGTGGGGTGGGGGGAGGGGGGAGGGATAGCATTAGGAGATATACCTAATGTAAATGATGAGTTAATGGGTGCAGCACACCAATATGGCACATGTATACATATGTAATAAACCTGCACGTTGTACACATGTGCCCTAGAACTTAAAGTATAATAAAAAAAGAGAAAGTACTCAATACATATTGAAAAAGAAAATGAACAATTTATATAAAATATGAACAGTATGCTTATTGGATAATGACAGCTGAAGAGGTAGATATTCAGAATGAGATTTTTAGGTTAGAATAGAAGGGGAGATCAACCAGGTACAACTTTACAGGGATAGAAGCAAAGTCATGTCTATAGTGGAAAGAAATATTGATGTAAATATCAGGCAGTAGCTTGACAGCAGTACCTGTGAGGAAGGCTAGGGGATGGAGGTAGTATGTGACTCAGCTTCTACAACTGTTAACTTGCAGGGACTATGGATTACTTACATTCTAATATTTAGGAATTAGCCTGGTATCTGGGCATGAAGAGCACTCATCAAAGGTTTGTTGAATGTGGGAGATTGTATTTTCCAACCAAGTGTGATCACAACGTCTTCCACAAGCTCTTTATCACGTGACCCTATCAAGCAGTGGAGTCTACCTCTCCTCCTCCTTTAACAGGGGCAAGTATAATGACTGCTTTGAGCAATGAAATACAGCCAAAATAATACTGTGGCCCTTAAATGCTCTCAAAGCTGCTGTTTCCTCCTCTTTAGAAGTCAGCTGCCATGTTAAAAGTGTGACTACTTTGGGATTCTCAAGCTATTAAAAGTCCAAGCCACTGATCACGAGGTCAGGGGTTCGAGACCAGCCTGGCCAACATGGTGAAACCCCGTCTCTACAAAAATATAAACATGAGCCAGGCATGATGGCAGCTGGCTGTAATCCCAGCTACTTGCGAGGCTGAAGCAGGGGAATCACTGGAACCTGGGAGGCAGAGGTTGCAGTGAGCCAAGATCACGTCATTGCACTCCAGCCTGGGTGACAGAGCAAGACTCCGTCAAAAAAAAAAAAAAAAAAAAGTCCAAGCCAAGTGGCAATTTCCTTGGAGACTGACAGCACATGTGGAGGCAGTGGGGGGAACGATGGCTGAGGTGAGTGAAGAGGCCACCCCACGTGAGCTTTCAGATGGTTCTAGTCACACTGCCGTCTAACTTGCAACCACTTGGGAGATTCCAATCAACAACTATGATAAGGCCAGTCAAACCACAAAACGATGAAATACACTAATAAGCTGCTGGCTTAAGTCATTCATTTTGGGAGTATATTTTAATGTAGAAATAGATAAACGAAACACTGAATGGCTGAGAGATTCTAGATGTAATTAGATTCTAGATGAGTATTGATGTAGATGGCATCCATTTGCAATCTCTATTTCTAGGAAACGGAAGAAAAATGGGAAAGAAAATATGCTCATTTCATTAAACCGTAGAGTGCTTTTTAGTCCATTTTTCCTGCTATATATAATGGAATACCACAGACTGGGTAATTTATAATGAACAGAAATTTATTGACTCACATTTCTGGAGGCTGGAAAATCCAGAATTGAGGGGCCGGCATCTGACAAAGGCCTTCTTGCTGTGCTGTGACATGAAGACACCACATGGAGAAAGAGCAAAGAGAGGGAAGAGGGGGGGAATGGAGGGGGAGAGGGAGGGGGAGAGGAAGAGGGAGAGGGAGAGGGAGACCTGTTTCTGCATAACAGCACTAGCTCATTCAGGAAGGCAGAGACCTCATGATCTAAGCCCCTCTTAAAGGTCCCACCTCCCAATATCATCACAATGACAGTGAAATTTCAACATGAGTTTTGGAGGGACAAACATTGGAAGGGTAGCAGCTTTTACACAGAAGACTGAGTAAAATTAGTTCGCTTTACCCCACAGGCAGAACTGAGAGCATGAATGAAATTTTCTGGGAAGCCCCTGCCCTTTAGAAGAAACATTGTAACCTTGTAGTGACTGGTGTTATCACTCCTGAAACCAGCTGCTCTGCCAGGCTGTGAGTTACACAGTCAAGATACTTGCACCTAGTGAAAGCTTAAAGGGCCATCCACCTGGAATGAAGCAGGAGGGAGTCATGTTTAGGGGAGGGTTGTTGGCGGGTGGAGGTGTGGAAAGGTTGAAGCAAGGTATAAAAATAACACTGGTTAACTCTAGAAAGAGTGTGTTTACATTCGAGTTTCAAAGGGCATTTATCTTACCTCACAATGTTAGCATATTAACTATAGAGAGATTATAATGACATCTCGTGGATACTACATTTCTGTTGATTAACTTATGTGAAGCCTAAGACTTACTTTGTGCATTAAAGAATTAAGCCAATTACCTAACAAACTTAGACTTTTCTGTACTTTCATTTATTTTTTAACAGAAAATGTAATGTAGACTAATTGTTTACAAATGTCACACATGTAATCACCCAGGAAGCTTCTTTAAAAAATCTTAATGTCCAGGCTATTCTGTGTAATAATAAAGTCAAAAACTTTTAAAATGTATAGTAAAAATAAAAATCCAGAAAGGGTGTTGTTAAAAATAATCCACAAGCCTGTAGAGAAGGTCTTGAAGGCAACAATTATGACCACGTTAGAGAAAATGCATTCATGAAAACAAGACCCACAACCATTTTAACACTGGAAGTTTCTCTGTTCTGAAGACTATGTGATTTAAAGGGACTAGAGTTTGTTTGTAACAAGAAACAAGTGGAGGCCACAGCTACAGGCAAATGCATTGGACTAAATGGCCAGGTGTTTATTCATTTTACCTCTGTGGTATTTTCTATATCTGCTAGTGAAGATTATTGGCGTTACCACTTGAGAAACTCTGAGGGTCAACGTTTTAGTGTTTTTGATTTCTTTGCAGCACTGAATGTAGGCATTGTTATATTCATGGAACATGTAGAAACACGTGCTTCATTAACTAAGTGGAGACTCAGTCTACTGAATTTTTTTTAGCTGTTGTTCGTGATAGTTTAAAATATAATGGCTTCTAATGACTTTTAGCGTTAGCTATATTATTCAATGCTTTGTTCCTCACACTAAAGCACTTTCAAAGATTGCTTTATATTGCATTTAAAAGCTTGGTTACCTAAGTTGTTAACAAAATATTTCTGTAAGTTAACATTTTTGTTGTTGTTGCTCAGATAATAATGCCCATGCATGCCTAAACCGTGGTTTCTTTAGCTGAGAGCAAGTCTGATAGCTTTTATAATACTTCAAGACCTATACACACTTTCTTAGTTATAAATGAACATGATAGAAAAGTTATTTATTTGAGACAAGTCTAATAGCTGAAGATTTTTTAAAAATAGTAGTGTTTTAAGGGTAATATTGCCTTGGCATTGATTCTCTGTTCAATATTTTGAAGAGTAAAATATGATAATTCATGTTACAAATTAAGAGAAGCTAAACCCAATATAAATGACAAGATAATTTAAAAATGACTTATTTCAGTAATAAAACAGGTTTCATCCGTCTCTTCTATAGTTTAGTCTTATCTGAGAACTCATCTATTTTGCTTTACTGCACTGACTGGATGAGCTATTGATGAAGAAATTGGGAAACTTTTTTGAAATCACCAACTTTTACGTGTCTTATGTCAAGAGTCGGCTTCCATTGTCTTCCAAGAATTATGGTACACTTCAAAAGTCAGAGCTAGATAGATTCTTTTGTGAATGGAGGAACTATCCCAAGATTAGCTTTTGACTGTGATGTTTACGTGCTTTTTGATGCCATTGAATGCCATCATTAGCTTAAATAGTGCTTGTTGGAGCCAATGAATAAACTTAAATGACTCTAATATTAATAGAATATAGAAAGGAATAATAGCTATTAGCCTAAATAGCTTCAGAAGAGTGAATCCTTTGCCCAGAGACAACAGATAAGTAGTCTGCACTGATTCCTGAGTGGGCGCTGTGTGTTCATCAATGCTTTCCCGAAGTTTATTTGAAAACTCTACATCTTTAATTGGTTACTTTGTTAATGCACTAATAATACCCATTGTATTAGCACCCATACATGTCATTAGTTTATTAAAGTAACATCATTACCATGGAATAACATGATTTATATTTTTTCAAAACAGTCTTTTCAAAGACATGGAACTAATATTGAATGCATTTCCTGAAAGCGCTATGAAGACACTAATGGGTAGCACTTTATAAGTTTTAACATTTCTGGAATAGGGCAGAATTCGTTGATATTTACTCTATGCTTCCCATTCAGGGTTCCTGTTATACATTTCTATCATTTGATTCTTTTAACATCTTATTGCACTTAACTACTAACATGCCCTGCCCTAGTGCCTAAAGTCGAGCCTGCCCATCTACATGTAAATGGATAACATTTGTGTTTGTTGGAATGAATAAAAAAAGATTAATTGGTTATGCAATCACATTAAAGTATCTATGGGAAGTTTTAACTTAACCAAGAGGCTGGACAGAAACTACAGGGCCAAAATTTGGTAGGACATATAGAAAACTTGTGAATTTTTGTTTGTAATAAGACCCTAGGCATCAACAACACTATGAATCTGTTGAATCAAGTTTAGCCTAACTGCCTCCTTACGTATTTTCTGTTCAGCCTAAAGGTTTCTCTGTACATAGTGAACTATAATCTAAAGGGAGGTGTAAACAGATTGTAACCTACTTTTGTGCAATTGCTGAGTTTTGGTCAATCAAAGGGGGCCAGCTGTTCAAGCCACATTCAAATAAGGCAAACACTGAGCTGTAACCAATCCAGCTGTTTCTGTAGCTGGTTTCCATTTTCGGTATATCACTTTCCTTTCTCTGTCCATAAATCTGCTATGACGTGGCTGTGCTGGAGTCTCTCTCTCAGCCTTCTCTGATTTGGGAGGCTGCCCGATTGGCGAATTGCTCTTTGCTCAGTTAAATTCTGTTGAATTTAATTTGGCTAAGGTTTTTATTTTAACACATTATAGAGGTGCGGATAAACAATGATAAGATGTCAAAACCCTTCTGGGGAGCACTGGAAGCCTCTTGCTATGATTCTATGATATAATTCAAACACCATATTTTGCTGACAACTTCCTGAGTGATATTGGAAGTACAGATATACTGCATTTCTGGCCAAACAACCATGACATACACTGTAGATTTGGAATGAACGCTATTAAGATAACCCAACCCTCTCTCTAGACAGGCAGGCAGCCAGCCATGTGTGTCCTCTCTTCTTCTTTATCACCAAGAATGACTGGGAGCTAGAGCAGCAATGTTGATGGGCATTGATCTGTTTCAGAAACATCTCAAGGACTGAGAAATGACTTCGGGCATTCCCTTTTCAAAAGATGCTATCTCATTTCCTTACTAAAGAGATGAGAAAAAGGGTGGAAATTGAGAGATGCAAGGTAAGAGCTCAAATAATGTGAATTAAGTCTGAAGGAGATTT
This sequence comes from Homo sapiens, assembly GCF_000001405.40. Lineage (NCBI taxonomy): Eukaryota > Metazoa > Chordata > Mammalia > Primates > Hominidae > Homo > Homo sapiens. The sequence continues at coordinate 189,619,394 of NC_000004.12, read as the reverse complement.
TTTTTCCCCTCCTATGAGGTATTTACTAGCTGATAATCCTGCAGTGAAAGAATATCCAACCAGTGAGAGTTAGGAAAAAATATGGATTGTTGATTTGGAAGGAGACTAATAAACTATCCCTGCCATAATTTTTTTTCATTTTACACCCCCTTAAAATAACTAAGAAAAATATTACTTTTATAAAACACTGCAGTGAACACAGCCCTGGAATTCTGGTATTATAACAACTTTCAGGTGGAGGCATAAAGTGATATTCCAAAATGTTAAAAATCATCAATACGAGTAAAAATCTGACTTTGAATATTGGACTGCAGTGTTATTACTTCCTCTTGGTGGTGTGTTTCCAATTTTAGGGACTGTGGGGGAAAGACAAGCTGCGTACATACATGCATTCTCCCAATATCAGCCCCATTTATTTGGATGGATCTAATGATATTACTTTCAAACTTAATGCCCCTGAGATTCCTTAATAATCTCAAATTCTATCAGAAATGCCCCCACCATCAAAACTATGTCTTATGAATTCATTTCTTTGATTTGTAGAGTGGCAGGGTACATAAAGTTAACATTTGTCACAGTGTTGCATAACACCTTCATTAGGCCAATTACAGAGAGTGGCTTGAGTGGGCAACCCGTGGGCAGTCATGGTCCCGTGTATCTTCCCACCGGCACTGCTGGGACCAGAGTGTGGGTGACAGAACAAAAGGATTCCGTCCAAATGTGTTAGCAGGCCTCTTCAGGTAGGCTGTGGGAGGAGAGAAGAGGAAGGATGGTTCAATAGATTATTAAGAGAATGTTTCAACATTAAAAATATGGGGCAATTATATGAACACTACATGCTGCTAAAAGTAAAATATACAATAGAAATGTTCTGAGGAAGAAAAACACATTCAAATGCAAATGAAGAAAACCAAAATGAGAAAATAATGAGCCAAATAGCAAAAGTTAAAACTTGGGTATGTTTGTCTGGCAATAAATCTCTTCTCCATTTGAAAAACAACTAAATGTCTCTATTCCATTATACTAGATTTAAAAATTCTTAGAGTTTGAGTAGTTTTTTTTAATAAAGTCATATACACATCCAAGCATAATAATTTACTATTCACTACAGTGCGTTCAGCATAGTGTGTTATATTCAGTATATACGTAAATGCCTCAAGAACATGATCATAATGCTGATTAAACTCCTCAGTAAAACATTCTCTCAAGACAAACTTTGCTTTTCTATCGTTCGGATTTTGTTTAGGAAGAAAATTTCAACAAGCCGGCCACATAGACAAACTTCGAAGACAAAGACTTTTTTGAAATAGAAAGTTACAGAGTTTCTCTTTTAAAAGTTCCTTGTGTTTATACATCTTTGGGTGTTGCTCTTCTTTCATTATCAGAGACAGCAGTGCCTCAAGTCTAGTGTCAGAGGCATCTCTCTGCACCCGAAGCACTTTGTCAAAGTCAGGAGGGCTTAATAAGGCTCGATTTTCACTGAATGCATTTGTTAGGCTCTTGAATGTTAAATCGCAAGCTGAATCATTGTGCAATTGCTTTCTTTTCTTTTTTTTTCTTTTTCTGGCCAAGTCAGAAATGGCTCTGCAGAGACAAGCTCTGAGTTATCCATTAGTGGATTAATGAATGACAATTTGTACTAAAACTAATCTCTTTTTTCCTTCAAAATGAAGCTCATCTTCCTCAATGTGTTTTTTCCACGAGGTGCATGAAATTATCAACATGTTACCAAGAAGATGAATTCTGTGTGTGACCCGTCAGCATCGTCGATACGTAACAGTGTTATGGCAGAGCTCCAGCATAAAGCCACAGCATGACACCAGGGTTGGAGAGGACCTAATACCTGCAGTCTTGGGCAGCCAGGGGATTTGTTGCTCTACACCAATTTGCTCAAATATAGAAAACATATATTTACTGTTTCCTGTAGATGTATCAGCAGCTCCTTTCCCAGGGATGGTTGAAAAGCTTTGGCTCCGTTTTGCTGTCTGCTCTCTAAACTTTCTACCCTTCTTTAACTTGCTGACTATCCATTTGGATGCTGGCTGACTGATTTCTCAATGAACCTCCTCTTCAAATTGGGCTTTCACAAATTGAACATACTATCTGTGGTGGGTAGTATTGTCCACAGGTATCCACAAGTGAGGGAGAAGGCAGCATATTGAATATACTCTCTGTGGTTGGTAGTGAGAGGTGACAGCGTGCTGGCAGTCCTCACAGCCCTCGTGCGCTCTGAGGCGCCTTCTCTGCCTGGGCTCCCACTTTGAGGGCACTTGAGGAGCTCTTCAGCCCACCGCTGCACCGTGGGAGCCCCCTTCTGGGCTGGCCAAGGCGGGAGCCGGCTCCCTCAGCTTGCAGGGAGGTGTGGAGGGAGAGGCGGGAGCGGAAACTGGGGCTGCCCGCGGCGCTTGCGGGCCAGCTGGAGTTCCGGGTGGGCGTGGGCTTGGCGGGCACTGCACTCGGAGCAGCCGGCCAGCCCTGCCGGCCCTGGCAATGAGGGGCTTAGCACCCGGGCCAGCGGCTGCGGAGGGTGTACTGGGTCCCCCAGCAGTGCCGGCCCACCTGTGCTGCGCTCGATTTCTCCCCGGGCCTTAGCTGCCTTCCCGCCGGGCAGGGCTCGGGACCTGCAGCCCGCCATGCCTGAGCCTCCCACCCGCTTCACGGGCTCCTGTGCCGCCCGAGCCTCTCCAATGAGCGCCACCCCCTGCTCCATGGCGCCCAGTCCCATCGACCACCCAAGGGCTGAGGAGTGCAGGCTCCCGGCGCGGGACTGGCAGGCAGCTCCACCTGCAGCCCCTGTGCGGGATCCACTGGGTGAAGCCAGCTGGGCTCCTGAGTCTGGTGGGGACCTGGAGAACCTTTATGTCTAGCTAAGGGATTGTAAATACGCCAATCGGCACTCTGTATCTAGCGCAAGGTTTGTAAACACACCAATCAGCACCCTGTGTCTAGCTCAGGGTTTGTGAATGCACCAATCCACACTGTATCTAGCTACTCTGGTGGGGCCTTGGAGAACCTTTGTGTGGAGACTCTATCTAGCTAATCTGGTGGGGATGTAGAGAACCTTTGTATCTAGCTCAGGGATTGTAAATGCACCAATCAGCGGCCTGTCAAAACAGACCACTGGGCTCTACCAATCAGCAGGATGTGGGTGGGGCCAGGTAAGAGAATAAAAGCAGGCTGCGGAGCCAGCAGTGGCAACCCGCTGGGGTCCCCTTCCATACTGTGGAGGCTTTGTTCTTTTGCTCTTTGCAATAAATCTTGCTACTGCTCACTCTTTGGGTCCACACTGCTTTTATGAGCTGTAACACTCACCGCGAAGGTCTGCAGCTTCTCTCCTGAAGCCAGCGAGACCACGAACACACCAGAAGGAAGAAACTCCGAGCACATCTGAACATCAGAAGGAACAGACGCCAGACGCGCCACCTTAAGAGCTGTAATACTCATCGCGAGGGTCCGCGGCTTCATTCTTGAAGTCAGTGAGACCAAGAACCCACCAATTCCGGACGCAGTAGTATTGTCCACGGGCATCCACAAGTGAGGGAGAAGGCAGCATATTGAATATACTGTCTGTGGTTGGTAGTGTTGTCCACGGGCATCCACAAGTTAGGGAGAAGGTAGTGAGAGGTGACAGCGTGCCGGCAGCCCTCGGTCGCCTTCAGCACCTCCTTGGCCTTGGCGCTCACTCTGGCCCTGCTTGAGGAGCCCTTCAGCCTGCTGCTGCACTGTGAGAGCCCCCTTCTGGGCTGGCCAGGCGGGAGCCGGAGCTGGCGCCCTCAGCTTGCGGGAAGTGTGGAGGGAGAGGCGCAGGTGGGAATTGGAGCTACACACTGTGCCTGCGGGCCAGTGCCAGTTGCGGGTGGGCGTAGGCTAGGCAGGCCCCACACTCGGAGTGGCTGGCCGGCGCCACCAGCCCTGGGCAGTGAGGGGCTTAGCACCTGGGCCAGCAGCTGCGGAGGGTGTGCTGGGTCCCCCAGCAGTGCTGGCCCTGCTGGCATTGTGCTCAAATTCTCGCTGGGCCTCAGCTGCCTCCCTGCAGGGTAGGGCTCGGGACCTGCAGCCTGCCATACCTGAGCCTCCCCCCTGCGGTGGGCTCCTTCATGGCCCGAGCGTCCCTGATGAGCGCCGCCCCCTGCTCGATGGCTAGGGTCCCCTCGACCACCCAAGGGCTCCTCAGCCGCACTCCTCAGTGCGGGCAGATGGCGCAGGACTGGCAGGCAGCTCCACCTGCCTCCCCAGTGCAGGATCCACTGGAAGAAGCCAGCTGGGCTCCTGAGTCTAGTGGGGACTTGGAGAACTTTTATGTCTAGCTAAGGAATTGTAAATGCACCAATCAGCACTCTGTGTCTAGCTCGAGGTTTGTGAACACACCAATCAGCGCCCTGTATCTAGCTCAAGGTTTGTGAATGCACCAATCAGTGCTCTGTGTCTAGCTAATCTAGTGGGGACTTGGAGAACTTTTGTGTCTAGCTAAAGGATTGTAAACGCCCCAATTAGCACCCTGTCAAAAAGGGCCAATCAGCTCTCTGTAAAACAGACCAATCAGCTCTCTGTAAAACGGACCAATCAGCAGGATGTGGGTGGGGCCAGATAAGGGAATAAAAGCAGGCTGCCCCAAGCAGCAGTGGCAACCCGCTAGGGTCCTGATTGACACTGTGGAAAGTTTGTTCTTTCACTCTTTGCAATAAATCTTGCTGCTGCTCAATGTTTGGGTCCACGCTGCCTTTATGAGCTGTAACACTCACCGCAAAGGTCTGCAGCTTCTCTCCTGAGACCAGTGAGACCACGAACTCACCGGAAGGAATGAACAACTCCAGACGCGTCACTTGAAGAGCTGTAACACTTACCGCGAAGGTCTGCAGCTTCACTCCTGAAGCCAGCGAGACCATGAATCCACCAGATGGAAGAAACTCCCAACATGTCTGAACATCAGAAGGAACAACCTCCGGATGCACTGTCTTTAGAAACTGTAACAGTCACTGTGAGGGTCCCCGGCTTCATTCTTGAAGTCAGAGAGTCCAAGAACCCACCAATTCTGGACATAGCAGCATATTGAATATACTCTCTGTAGTGGGTAGTATTGTCCATGGGCATCCACAAGTGAGGGAGAAGGTGGCACATTAAATATACTGTTTGTGGTGGGCAGTGTTGTTTACAGGCATCCACATGCGGGAGATGGTAGCAAATTGGCATTTACTTCCCATAGAAATATTTTAGGAGAGAAGTTATTAGGGTTTTTGAAATAGTGTTTATGTTTTAGTGCATGCCCTTTAACATCTTCCTCCTAGCAAAAATAAAAAATGAAATAAAATAAAATATATAGATAAATAGCCTCCATCAATGAACATGTAACTTGTGATTAATAAGTTGTTACTACAAATAAGAAAGAGTTGAGTAGTTTTAATGGTCCTAGTTCACATACTGTGGTGAGCAAGGGATAGAAGTTGAAGATCCTTTGAACAAAGCAATGTTCTTCTTGTGTAGCCTCATCCTCGTGCTTATAGAAACCAAGGTTTCTTGATGAAGCTTCCTTCTAAGTGGGCATGGGAGAAGCAGGGCAGCTTACAGCTCTTCCTGAGCTGCAACCTCTGGTTGGGGACAGATTCTCAGCCTTCTGGAGTCCCTGTTGGATGCTGGCTCTTTGTTCTCAACACAGTCCCTGGTCACCCCACCTGTGTTCCCCAGAATCCAGCTTTTAGTCTTGGTAACTTCACTCTTCCCAAAGGCAGAATCAGCTGTGGCTCCCCAGAGCAAGCTGACTTGCTTCTCAGAAACCCCAGAAATAAACAGTCTTTGAATCCCAAAATGGTGTACTTGAAGGGGCCTACAGCATTCAAATTTCATTCAAATCCAGAGCTTAAAGGAGTCTAGGTTACCCAGAAGCAGATAACAAACAGGAAAAACTGCTCTGTGAGCTGGTTATGCAAATATTCTTTCAGATACATGGAGCTTCTGGAATGAAGGAAGATGACGGAATTAAGTCACGTGTGTGGTTGGCCCTGATTGCTAAGGGGAGGCATTCTGTGAAATAAAAATGACTTCCTGTCAAGGGAAAAATCAGTGTCTTCCAGAGAGGGAGGAAGCGGGAAGTCCCAGTCTAGCAAAGACCACAGCTTGTGCCTGTAGCTGTTTTTAGTTCTCTAAGCCTTTATTTTGCTCAGTTCTGACACCAGTGTTAGCCACCCGCTAACCCCACTCTTAGCCACTCGCTGCAGTCTTCCTAGGGGAAGGGCTCCTCTTCCTATGGGTTGGATGAGTAACCACAGTGGGCTCCTGGTTCTAAACTGCCCCTCATTCCTGTGTTGTCTCCACCATTTTCTTCCTCAGCCTGGAAGCTGACACTTGTAATTTGGCCTTAGGCCCTAGTTAGGAGTAGCTCACGTGGGGCCATGGACCACAGCTAAGCCCAGGGATAGAACTGTACTTTCAGGTAATAGGTTTTCATCGTAATCCTATGTATTTTATTTTATTTATTTTACACACTGATAAAAATTGCTCTAAGAAAGATTCCATTGACTTCCTCAGACTAACAAAAGTTCTCATGGCCCAGAAAAGGTTGCTTCTTCCTGGCAGTGGGCCTGCTGCCCCTGCTTCAGTGATTCTGGTGTCCTTCCACCCTGGGACCAGGTTTCATTCATAACAAACCTGTGCCTTTGTCAGCACAGGTTTGTAGCCCGGATGACATCTGCCATCCTCCACAACGGAGCTCAAATGCCACTAAAACATTAATTTCCAGACTTTGTCCATATTTCATTTTTACCTGTTGTTGTCATGTTCCTTTTTTCAGCAATAATGAGAAGTCCTGGGCCTTCTGTCCTGGGTCGTATCTAATTCATCTTTTCATCTCAGCCATTGTTTGACAGAAATGAAATCTTCAATCAAAATTTGATGAATGTTTGAATGATGATGAATCTTGTGGCACAAGAACCTACTTTCCTTTCTTCCTATCAGGGCACCAGTGGCCCTGCAGCTGCAGGTGCCACCTCCAGCCAAGCTGTTCTTCTGGGTACCCCTGGGAGTTCCTGGTGGGCTCAAGTAAGGTAAGACAGAGAAGAAAAAAATGACATGGGAGAAAAAGAAGAAGAAAGGAGGAGATAGAGAAACAGGAAAGAGAGCAGAGAGGAAGAAATTGTGGAGTGGAGGGCTGCCCTGTTCCCCACCTCAGGGACATAAGTAAGCTGCCTGTACAGGTTCACAGAAAAATGGATTTGATTCCAGAGACCTTCCTCATTGTGTATATTTGCACTATCATGTTGTGTAGTTTTTAAGAACCCATAAAAAAAGCAAAACCTCGTGGGCCTGTAATGATCTCTACAGAATGTCAGATAAAAAGATGAGTTCAATTCTACTATATTTAAAAAGCCAGCAGGATGCAATGGTTCACACCTGTATTCCCAACACTTTGAGAGTTCACTTGAGCCCAGGAGTTCAAGGCTGCTGTGAGCCATGATTTCACCACTGCACTCCAGTGCAGATGACAGAGAGAGACCTTCTTATCTCTTAAACAACAAAAAAGCCATCAACATAAATGTTAACAGTGTGCTGTGGTCCATACCATCCTCTCTCTCTCTCTCTGAGATGTCTCTACATTCCAGTGGAGAGGGAATATGAAATCTATTGTCAGCTAGGCCTGGGACTGGTCTTCCCCAGAGGCAGGATGGCTATTTTGGCATAATTTAGACATTGACAGAAAGCTGATTTGGCCCCCTGAATATCTAGAGTTTTCTCTCTAGTCTGATATTATGCCAATTATGGTATACTATGACAAGTTCTTTTGGGTCTCAGAGTCACCTGCTAGTACATGGAGGAACATATTAAGCCTCTGTCAGCCCATCTCATCACACCTAGTGCCTGGGTGTATGCCGGCGGGTCCTATAGAATAGGTATCAGCCCATCTCATCACACCTAGTGCCTGGGTGTATGCCGGCGGGTCCTATAGAATAGGTATAGAACAGGGTTTTGGTTTTTGTTTATTTTATGAGGGGCTCTGGAGCAGGAGAGCCAGAGCATGGGGGGAGGCTATCAAGGACAGCTCAGTGCCATAGGGTGAGAAAGCCTACGCCACCAAGTGATGCTGTGTGTCTCCTGAAGTCATAAGCGATAAGGTTTATGGGGAAACAGAGGAAATCACTCAACTAAATATCATCTTCAATTTCCCCTAATTTCTGAAGTTTGGGAAATGCTGAGACCCATGACTTTTCAAATTATGCATGGTCTTTTTAAGTTAAAAAAGAGAAGTGGGTCAATGAATTAGAAGGGAAAAATAAGACAGTCTTCTCCCTTCTTTTATGTGGCAGGCAGGGGTGGCAGGGAGTTACTTCTGTAACTCGAAAGGCTTCTGAGTTTTTAAAAGGAAATTGTTGTCATTGTTAATCAGGGCAGGGTCTTCTTGCCCTTTCTTGTAGAATAGCTTGGGTTTGAATTTTGGCTTTAGCCCAAAGTTTCTGGGTTACGATTGCACACAGCAGGCTTGTGAGTGCGGGTGTCAAGAAGGAGGTGGGATTTTCATAATTCTACTCTCTCAGCTCTCAACTTTGTGAAAGTGCCATTACCACCAGAAGTACTTCTCTATCTGCTCAGGTCTTCCTGCTCTACAAATCTCAACAGACAATGATGAATCATCCCTGAAGACTGCTCCGCATCATACATTTATCCGTGTTTCTCAGTCCTGGGTTGACATTTTCCTTCTCTCTCTCTGTCCCAGGATGTCTCAAGCTCAGCACTGTTGACATTTTTGGTTGCATAATTCCTGGTCACAGGGGGCTTTCCTGTGTCTTGTAGGATATTTTAACAGTATCTGGGCTTACATAAAGCACAAAAAGGGCCTGAAGCTCTGAAGGTTGGGGAAAGCACACTCAAAATCCAGAGCCTGGTCAGTGAGGCTCAGGCCTTCCCTGAGTCTTTGTCCACGATATCAAGAAACCGCAATGAAGACTCAAAAACTATGGAATATCTGCTGTGACATCTGCCTCTGAATTGTTAGATATTAGCAAAATAATATGGCTTTTGCTGGCACCTCAGATGCCGGTGGGCTGTCATGTGGAATGATTGTGAATTTCTGTAAAGAGCCAAGCCACCTGAGGCTTGGTGGGCGGACTGTTACGATGCGTGGCTGCGTCCATTAGCCGGGTGTTTCAGTAGACGAAGCTCTGGGATGTGACACTGAAGTCAGCAGGCCCAGGAAGCTCACCACACCTCTTGAAACTGCAGCCTGTGGCACAAAAGTAAAATGGGAATAGATTAGTCTTTTGGGAGCTAATCTCCCAGTTGAAATGCAATAGAACTTACAGCAAGTGACAACTTTCTAAATTATTTTCTTATGCCTCATGCCGTTCTTTTGTCTCAATTTTTAGTGTTTCCACCTACTAACTTCATTCTTTCTCCCGCTATTTCTAATACATCGCCAATGATGTATTTTCAATAAGAATTCAATTACCTAGAGAGGCAGATGTGCTAACTGGCAATCTGAGGGTTTTTCTACAAGTCGATTGCAAAGCTGACTCAAGGTTCTAGCCCTGCTACTGTCAGGAGAGACTCACTGTCAACAAGCTGTTAAAAGTGAAACTTCATAATGAGGGAGAATGTATGGAACATCAAGTAATCTCCTTGTTCTTACCAATTGCCTCATTTAATTGGCACTGTTTTATTGAATTTTTAATAAAATGAAGTGAGATTTTAATGTAATCCCATCTACTTTAGACCTAATTCAACATATTAATTTATTATGAGTCTTTATTTGTTTTTTATAAAGTTATGCATTGAAAAGTTTCCCAAATTGCCAGTTATTTGTAAACTTTAAAAAACTTCTCCAAAGTAGTTTTGTTATTTGTAATAGTGCAAAAAGCAACGCAAAACCACACAAGAGCATTTTGTTGACTGTCGCCGCAGTTAAGGTACTGAGTGTTGTTAAGGGAATGTATGTTTATATTTGCTAAATTTTCATGAACTTGGTAATTGAGCCATGATTATATTAACCCTTTAGATTGACAGAACTGTGGCAATAACTATGTAGTCCTGTGATAGGCCTGGACGTTGAAAAGGTGAGTGGCTGACTTCATTTAATTGTGTGATCTGAAGTGGGTCTCATTATAAACCATACACCTGATTTGAGTCATACAATGTAACTTTTAGTGAAAGTTGTACAGGTTTTCCTGAAAAAATGCTGAAGGTGCTTTTGCCTAGTAACTGTATTCTGATTATTGTATTTCAGGGCACTCAGGGAATTAGCAGCTTCTCAGATGGAGCACGTAACGAGCTACCAGTGTGTAAAGTCCCCACTATTTTAACAAGGAGACACTAAAACCAGAAAGACATTTCCAGTCGCCCAGATCCCGAAAAGTACATAAAAATCACCTCAGGACATTTAGTGGAACCCATGAATAGCTTTCGGTAAAATGCACAATTCATGTGTCTATAATTTTCTAAAAATTTGGTTCTAAATACCTCTTAAATTTCATAAATAATGTATGTTAATTTTTTAAAATATTAGACAATAAGCATAGAGAAATAAAAAGTTAACTTGTAATTTTATACCCAGAGGAAATTACTGTTGATATTTTGTTGTAGAATCAGAGACATTTCTATTTTGTACAATATTGTGAAAAAAAAACTGTTCATAATATTTTAAAATAAATTTTCTAGGTAATAATGTAACTAACAAGCACATTACTAGCAGCAGCACTGATTAATGGCTGCAGAGCATCTTTTGGTATGGGTCTACTGAAATGTATTTAACCAATCCTCAAAGTTGGTTATTTAATTTATTTTTAATATTTCTGCTACCATAAATAACGCTGTGCTGAGCACTTGCACTTCAGGTTTTCTGCGCTTCTTCACTGTGGTCTTACGATAAATATCTAGAGCGAAAGGGAATTTACACGGCTAAAAAACGACTCCTAGAGAACTTCAGAATCTCCCAGACAGCCTATTCAATTCTTTTTGTGGTTCAACAAATGGAATAATATTTCAACCGGCACTTCACAGAAGAGATGAACAAAATGGAATAAAGAAAGAGAATGAAGTATGCGCTCACTCCCGAATCCAGAGCAGCAGTCTCACTGGTGCAGACACGTCCCTGAGGGTAGATGTTACTTATGGGGGATCTGGCGTCAGCGGCTGTCCTGGACCCTGGCCACACTATGCCGTCCTCATCGTTCCTGCTCCAGGAAGAGAAACAACACTGCTGAGTTGCTGCTGGGCGCATGGCCCTGGCATCGTGGCCTCCATATGTCGGTTATTTACAGGGCTTTCCCTGCTGCACTGGTTTCCCGTGGTGGCACAACAAATACTACAAATTCAGCATCTAAAAAAAACAGCAGTTTCCCCTCTCCCGGTGCTGGGGGCTGGAAGTGTGGAGTCAGGTGCAGCAGGGCCGTGCTCGCTCTCGAGGCTCCAGAGGAGAGCCCTTCCTCGCCTCTTCCAGATTCTGGTGGCTCCGAGCTCTGTTGGGTTATTTTTTACAGTTTCTATTTCTCTGATGATATAGTCAATCTTTCCACTCGTGTGAAGGGCACTTACCTTCATCTCACTGAGCACAAGTATGCGAGCGTCGCTTCAGAGTCTTTTGGGGATAACTTTGACATTGGGTCTTTTCAGGCTTGGGATCTTCTCTCTTGAGAACTGGTCACATTTTCCTGGTGATTTATATGTCAATTAATTTTCAGTTGCATCATGGTCATTTTCGACATGATTTTGTGTAAGCTCTGGGTCTTCATTTTAAAGTGTAAGTTTTATTATTATCCAGGTATGGTGAGGCCACCAAAGGAAGTCACAATTGCCAGCTCTCAAGAGGTGGGGTGTGCCTCCACATGCAGGGACACCATGAAAGCACAAGGGTTGGTCATGGACAGAAGGAAGGGGAGGAGAAGGTGGCAGGCACCTTCATCATGGGATCTGCAGGAAGGAATGGGCGAGGCAGCGTATGCTGACTTAGGACTGGCCAGTTTGAATGCTTTCAGCAGGCTCTGGGTTGGGGGCCACCTGAGTTGTTGGGCACCTGGCCCTGAGACGATCAGGGAAGGGGCAAATGTGTTTGGTGCTCAAGGGCCAGACAGGGGAGGTGGGGGTGGGCTGACTCCAGCTTGGTTGGTTTCCCCTGAAGGCTGGTCTGACAGGTGAGTTGTTTGCTATCTCTAGGAATCAGTTAACCCTGGGAGGGGTAGTCTGTCCCAGGTCAGCAAGGCCCCAGATGCCAAGGCATCAAGAACACAGAATATAAGAAACTAGAAGGAATGCAGCCTTGTTAAAAACCCCTCGGGGAATGTTGTTTATTTTTTCCCCTCAGGCAAATCCATGTGGCTTGGCTCAGAGGGCAAGTTCTGTCTCCCTGTGCGTGGGCGGGCCCCAAGGCCTTTGCTAAGCTGCTCTGGTGGCTCTGATTTTGTCCTGTGCACAAACAGCTGGGGGGGGGAGGTGGGGACCAGGACTGTGGGGGTGCTACACACAGAGCCAGACAAGCCCATTCTGCAGCTCTCTCCTCTAAGGGCTCCCCCCACCTCCCTAGCTTACAGGGGCTCCTTCTCCTGATCCTTTGGCCAGAAGGAAGGGGTTTCTTTTAAAGTCCTTGCCCTGAGGCACCACACAGATGTGGCTCTATAACTGGTGCCACCTAAAGGGAAACGTGACAAGAAGAGAGAGAGAAGGAGGGAGAGGGAGAAGGAGGAAGATGGAGGGAAAGGAAGCTGGGGAGGGAGAGTAGGGAGAGAAAGGGGAGAGAAGAGAAAGGGAGGAGGGAAAAGAAGTGGGGAGGGAAAAAGAGAGGGACAGAAGAGCTGGGGAAAGAGGGGCGAGAGGAAGGAGACAGGAAAAGCGGAGCAGAGGAGGGAGGAAGAGGGGCGGGAGAGACGGGGATTGAGAGAACACACACAATTTCTTCCCCCCACGCTTTGAAGACAGGATCCTTTTTGCATCTGGCCACAGACACTGGATTTCTCCTGGGAATTAGCTGCTTGTGCCACCACAGCTGGCGCTCCACTGGGGAGAGCCAAAAAACAAAAAAACTAACCCCTCAAAGGAAGCACTTCCTTTATATGGACTGAATCGTGTCCCCCTTGAAACTCACAAAATGAAGCCCCAGCCCCAGTATCTGAGAGTGTGACTGTATTTGGAAACAGCAGCTTTAAAGACGTGATTGAGGTAACATGAGGGCATCAGGGGCCGCAATCTGGCCTGTGCCCTGATGGGAAGAGGAGACTGGAACACGACACACATACTGCAGGAGGCACAGAGCGAAGACGCCACCTGCAAGCCAGGGCCAGAAGCCTTGGAAGAAGCACCTGCACACCTGAATCTTGGACTCCAGTTTTCAACACCGTGAGAGAGTAGATTTCCATTGCCAGCCAGTCTGTGGCCATCTGCAATGACTCTAGCACGTTAGTATACCCCTCTATGGGTTGCCTCCCCGAGTTTTTATTCCCTTCCCAGTCTGTCTGCTTTTGTGGATGTCTGGAGCTCTTGAGCAGTTGCTTTCTGATTTTGCCCAGAGCTTTCAGTTGCAATCAGTGAGGAAGAAGCTGCAGGAACTTGTTTCATCTTGACCATCCATACATATTAAACTGATGTGTTTGTTACATTCTACCGTCTCTTGAGTGTAATCAAATAAAAGAGCATCTGATGTAATAGGAAAATAGAGCAGGCTTTGCTAACCAGCTCGTCCTCCCTCCGCAGACACCACACAGAACGTTGGTTCCTGGAGGCACCAATCCATGTTGAGGATTGGCATAATGGGAACGGAATGATCTTGGGTCATAGGTTTTGCTTTTTTTTTTTTTTTTTTTTGCTTCTATTCAGAAAAAAATTATACTTTAGAATTCTGATTAAAAATCTGAGAAATGAAATAAAGAGTATGCCTTTTAAAAAATGTTTCACAAGAACATTGCAGTTTTATTCTAGAAGTTGTAGCAGGGAGATTTTGGCTTCATGTAATAGAAAGTCCAATGAGAATAAGATTAAACACTAAGGGAAATGGGTTTGCTGCATGTAAGGAAATCTACAAGTGGGCATGGCCTGGACTGGCTAACCCAGGGGATTAGCCAACTCTCTTACCTGGGGAAAGTTGTGGATATTTTCCATGTAAATTCTCCTGAGTCCTGCAGCCTCAGTGAGAAAGTGTGCATGTGTGTACTCACGTGTGTGTGTGTGTGTGTGTGTGTGTAATGTGATGTGGGGGCTTTGGACAATCCATTCTCTTCTGTGCAGAGGTGAACTTTCACTTTGGAGAAACTGAACAACTGTCTGAGTGAGAGCATGCCCTTATCATCCTGTGTGATCAGTGGCACTTTGCTAATGATCCAAGAAGTGAGAGACAACAGGTGGAGCAGAAATTAGAGTCCACCAGTCCATATTACTCCCACTGGGGAGGGCTGCACCCAGTGATACACTGAAAAACCTGTAACACGTCACTCCCTGAAAAAGGCTGTGCTTTGTAGCATTTGTCAATTTCCGTGGTCTAAATATTGACCCACTTTTTGTTCCCAACACGATGTCCCTAAAAATGGCAATGGGAAGCTTCGCACAGCGGGCTCTCATGAGCCGGCACGAGCTGGCTCCAGCACACCACCGGTTTCCAGTTGAAATAGTGAGAATATCTAGTTTTTATTGAGAACGTGGCTGTGCACAGCCTAGGACAGGATTTCTCAGCCTCACTTCTACAGGCCTTCTGGGCTGGCACATCCTCTGTTATGAGGCCTCACTGTCCATGGTAAGATGTTTGGCAGCATCCTGGTCTTTACCCACCATGGGCCAGTAGTATTCTCCCAGTTGTGACAACTAAAATATCTTCAAGCTTTGTCAAATGTCCCCTGTGGGCAAAATTGTGCCCGTTGGAGAACCACTGGCCTAGAAGAAGGGTGAGTTGGCTCAGTATGGAAGCTGTGTATTTGTTTTGAGGTCCTGCTAACATTTGAAGGCAAAGAGAAGGCCTGACCTTTGCTGTGGGCTTGGGCTTCACAAATGCCCGTCAAAGAATGGTCTGTGCAAAGGCAGTGATTTCACATACGTCTGAATGGGGATTTATACTTTTTTTTCTAGTTGGTGTGTGTCAGGTGTAGAATCCCTACATTCTGTTTGCTCTATAAGGTAGTATTTTAAACAGTGATTTAAACATTTTAAACTATTGATTTTTCATCATAGTTTTTGCTCCAGTAGAAATTAGGAATTGATCAATTCTTCTTAACTTCAGGTGTGCAAAGCAATTGGCTGATTAAACCTACAAATATAGTAGAACCCTTATGTTATTTTCTGGATGAGAACTAAATGTTAAAATTTGAGAAAGGGGAGGAAAAAATTCTTTATGGATCTTGGTTAGGGGTTTCAAATGTCAATCAAGATATAAATGAGATGAATGCCTTGTGGAATTAATTATTTTTATGACTGTGTTATGATATGAAAATGTTATGATAGGGAAAAATGCAAGAAACTGTTACCCCTGTAGGAATATTGACTTTGTAGCCTTGGTTAGAAGACAGGCTCTGATGGAAAAATTTGCTATGATGGATTGTGCCATGGAGACTTGACTCTCTCTACATTTATGGCACTGAAGCCACCTCTGTGGTGTGCAGTGTGGACACACGCCACGTCTCTCAGACGAAGCACACCTGGCAGTGGGCAGGCCCTGGCTGTGCCCTGCTGCTGTGGCCTGCCCCTTCTTCCTCTAGTAGGGCGGGGACCCTCTAACCAGGCAGCTTTGGACTAGACCAGTGCTATTCAAAGAATGATCTGGAGACAGTGACCAGGAGTCCTTTGTGGATCTGGGGACCTAACATTAGGAATGATAAGTCCAGAAACTGACCATTTAGAAACTTGTAAAGAAATTTGATGTTGCCATGTGAAGTAAAAATGTGGTCTGTTTTAGCAATTCATTTATTTTGTAGTTTTTAATAGTGTTGGTCTACAATAGATTAGGAAAAACAAAACCAAACAAGAAACCAACCAACCTCCTCCAAATCTGGTTCTTTTCCTCCAAATACTCAGAGAAGCACAAGAATAGACTGTTTACACCCTAGAGAGTCTTGCACGGTCTGTTTCCAGCTCATACACCGTGAAGGCTGCTATGAGAGTAATAAACTGTGTTTCTTTCAAGGGAGGTGATGAAAATTGGAGAAGGTGGTGAGGATGCTTGATTGAAGTGAGTCCACAGCAGGCTTCACAGGGGCTGTGGAGGCCTCTGCCAGGTGCATGTCCAGCCCCCTCAGCTTCTTTGTGGACATCCTGGGCCCTTCAGGGCTCTCTCGGGGTAAGGTGTGAGACCAGATCCTCACATAACTTCCAAGAGAACTGAAACCAGGACAGGGATGCAACACACTCACCTATTCACTCTCCAGAACGATTTTCAGCATTTCAGGTGGAACTGAAATCTCTCGGACTCTGAGGCCTGCTCTCTTGTAACCTCTAACTTAAGTGCTAGAAGGTATACTAAATGCATTTTCAGTTTTGTTGCTATATTTGCCAGTGTCTGAAACTCTCCCTATAGTTCATAATTGTAGATAAAGAAGTAAAAAAAAAGAAAGCATTTGTTCTGTTGAAGGTAAAATATGCCCACATGTCATATGCAAAATGACATTGATGTGAGACCCATTTCCTCTCATTTACATAAGACAAAGTTCCTTCCATGCGAAACTTCTCTAGAAACAATATCTGGAAAAGCACAGGTGAAGGAGAGGTATGACAGAGGAATCCCAAATTGGATACTGAACGCAGAACTTGTTGCCCTTGTCTAGCAAGTTCAGATTGCCATAAGGAAGTCACCATGAGTGTTAGGTTAAATGGCCATTGCTACATTAAACTTTCTCTTAATATCACTTCAAACATTTAAAAATATATATTAGAAGAAATGCTACCATTTTCAATTAATTCTATTTTACTGGTTTCTCTTTCTGTTAATATAAATATGCATAGTTCTTTTCTTCAAATACAAAGCTGATTGGAAATTTCCAGGAACTAATTATCAAGAGGAAGAAGAATATTAACAATATACCTTGAAGTTTGTATTTCTTTTAGTCATAGCATTTTTAGGTATTCATTTAAACATGAAAAATATTGGAACAATCTTGTTTTACCAACAAAACAACAGATTCCTAGATATAATTTTTATTTAGTCAGGCTTCTCATTTTTTTCAGTCCTCAATTTTTTTCTTCTATTGTCTAAAGGAGGTCTTACCATGCTGCATCCCTGTTGTCTTCAGTAAGGATGGCACCAAGTTCAAGAGACTGAAGAAGAGACCTGGAGCCAGTGAATGAGACAGAGAGTTTACTGAGGGGACTTACATACAGGGCAGTCCACTGGTGGGAGGCTGGACATGGACAGCAGAACTGCTACCATTTATAAAAAGCATGCAGTCTATACAGACTAGGTGAGCCTGCATGCTCAGGGTATGCTTAAATTAAGTTATTCCTGTCAGGTGTGTCTACCGTACCCTCCTCCCCAGCAGACCCTGGAATGCCGCTCACATTCTCACCGTGTCATTCCTCCACGACCTCCCTGGGCCAGGTATGGGGAGGAACATTGCAGCCAGATCTCACAGCAGCAACACAAATTACAACAAAACAGAATAACAAATACAATAACAGTCATAACGTTTTCCCAAGTGCTTGGGAGTTGACCTTACATGCTCAGTGGCAGGCCTGCGGTGGAGAGGACAGCTCTTCGCACACCCAACAGTCTGGATTTTTTCTGGAGAGATGCCACCATCTGCACCCAGTCGGCAAAGAGGTTTGCTGCACACCATCCAACAAGATGACACCCAGGTATTTGATTGATAAGCCTGGCCCCTGGACTTTGTGTTGACCACCCATCCTCTGTTCTCCAAGTGAGACAGCAAGGTGATTGTTGCAGTTTGTAAGCTGGAAAAACACTCGAAGTTAATGGAACACATGTACCCTCCCCCTCTGGGATGATATTTCCAGGGGAAGATGGTAAAGGCCCGTTGTTCTTATGTTTGAGGGAGCGACAATATTTTGCATATTACCAAGTGACTAGTGTCACACCCAGTGGGTCACCCTGCTGGCCCTTTGGTTGCCCCCTTTCCTTTGGCGCCCTTGACTTTCATCCTTGTAGCATGCACCCCTTGCCCATGCAGTTTCTTCATGTCTCCTAAGCCAGTGGCTGCTCGGGCCACTGGAGACTCTGGCTGTCCTGCCTAAGGGTTCAGGAGAGACACTAGCACACCGTACCACTGACTGGATGCTGGCTCTAAGATGACATCTTTCATGCCACCAGTGAACAAAAGCTGATTTTTGGAAACTAGATAGTGCTCAGCATAGATAGCATGCTTCCTTCTTAATTCCCAGAGGATGTCTGGCACTTTCGTCATAGTCTGGTGTTGCAGAGGAGACGTGGGGATGTCTGCTCAGCACGGACAGCATGCTTCCTTCTTAATTCCCAGAGGATGTCTGGCATTTTCGTCACAGTCTGGCATTGCAGAGGAGACGTGGGGATGTCTGCTCAGCATAGACAGGATGCTTCCTTCTTAATTCCCAGAGGATGTCTGGCATTTTCGTCATAGTCTGGCGTTGCAGAGGAGACGTGGGGATGTCTGCTCAGCATAGACAATATGCTTCCTTCTTAATTCCCAGAGAATGTCTGGCATTTTCGTGGTAGGCTGGCATTGCAGAGGAGACGGGGTGGGGGTGGTGTCTTACTCATTTGGCCAATTCCCCTTGCAGCCACAACCACCCAGCTACCATGGGGATGGCTCAATCCTCATTACTGGAGCTGCAGCGGTGCTGCCTCAGGACCGGGTGGATTGTGGTGGACACCTTTCCACTCACCTCAAATGCAGAGATACAGCACCTCATGTCCCCTAGAGGTAGAAGCCACCCGTGATCAGCTCTCCCCCCTCCTCCTGAAACTATTTCCCAGCTCCACCAGTTCCACAGTGGTGCTGCCCTGCGCTGTGTCATGCTGCCATCTTTCAGGCAGGGGAGACAGTTCCACAGTGGTGCCGCCCTGTGCTGTGTTGTGCTGCCATCTTTCAGGCAGTGGAGACAGTTCCACAGTGGTGCTGCCTTGCACTGTCGTGCTGCCATCTTTCAGGCAGGGGAGAGTTTTGTGGGTCTACTCCCTGAGGGCGTGATTGGCCTGCCTTTATCTTGGTGGTGTCCACTAGATGTGCATCGGGGGCTGGTAACCTCTATGGGCTTATCTCAGTCCTTGTCCTCACTCTCCTCCCAGCGGGGCTCTCCATGGGGCCCTAGGACTTAGGGCCCCAGGATGATTGGGTCATGATAGTCCTGACTAGTAGATGTGGCAGTCAGCGACCCTTCAAATGGGCTACCCAATGATCCAGAGTCTCCATTTTGCCGCCCTGTTCTCGCAGGCAGGACAGTAAGTCTCTGATGTTTCAACCTGAGATAATCTTGTATCTCTTTCTGGTCATAAATTTTCTTGTACTTGATGCACCTTTGCCTGTGCTGTGAGCTGAGCCTCAGTGTCTGTTTGGAGTGTAGTCAGGAGCAGCCGCCCGTTGTGGCTGCCAAAACTTGGGCATCTAACCTTGCTTAGATAGATATGCCCCCTGCCACAGCTCTTCCAGACCTCTCAGCATTTTCAGGGGGTTATCATACTCACTCATTTGGCCTCATCCATTAAGGATAGTGGCTATAAGGCCCACATAGACATGGACAGCCAGCCCAGGGTCTCCCCTGTGGATGTCCCCTTCCCTGATCATAGGCATGGACAGCTGGCCCAGGGTTTCCTCCGTGGATCTCCATTCCCTGATCACAGGCATGGACAGCCAGCCCAGGGTCTCCCCCACGGATCTCCCCTTCCCTGATCATAGGCATGGACAGCCGGCCCAGGGTCTTCCCCATGGATCTCCCATTCCCTGATCATAGGCATGGACAGCCAGCCCAGTGTCTCCCCCGCGGATCTCACCTTCCCTGATCATAGGCATGGACAGCCGGCCCAGGGTCTCCCCCATGGATCTCCCCTTCCCTGATCATAGGCATGGACAGCCAGCCCAGGGTCTCCCCCACGGATCTCCCCTTCCCTGATGCTATCATCTTGGCATTCACGGGGTTTGCTCTGACTTACTGGCTTCCTCACCAGTTGTGCTGGATCCTTATTGGCTTTGGTGGGGATGGCAACAGGTTCAAGAGGCTGAAGAAAAGACCTGGAGCCAGTGAACAGGACACAGGGTTTATTAAGGAAACTTTCATACAGGGCCATTGAGCGGTGGCAGGCTGGACAGGAGGAGCACTGTCATTTGTCAAAAGCATGCAGTTTACACAGATCTGGTGCAGGTACATTCTCAGGCTTTGCTTAAGTGATTTCCACAGGTGCATCTGCTACACACATCTCCCCTTCACCATAAAAGCAGGATTGTGTTCCCCTGTCCTTTTCCCAGCTTTTTCATATGTGTAAGTCGTGACATAAAATGCAAACTCTGGTCATTTTTATCCTTTTTCTGCACTTTTCCACTTATGGCTGGCTTGTCTTCAAGTCTGTTGCTTCTTCTTTCTTATGTTCAGATATTTCCATTTACTTACTCTCTCATCGAAGTGCCCTAGAAATGGGGCCAGTAGTGGCTTCTGCACATAGCACTGAGATTATCTTTCTAAATTCTTCCTCTGTACTATCCTCCACAACAGCACATTAGCTTCCATTTGGGTCAAATTAACCTCAACTTATGAACTTCAATATCCACCATCATTACATCCTCTTGTTTCATTAGGCACCATCTAAACCAAGTACTTTCGAAGTAATAAACATAAAAAGTTCAAAAACTTGGAACACAGTCTTTACTATGACTATTTCGATTTAGATTCTGTTATTTATGCTCATGTGAATGCCTTCTAGTAAGTTTGGCCTTCTTGAATGCAGTCATAGTTTGCACACGTATGGAATTGCTGGGTTGTGTTTTATTTTGTGTGTGTTTTCCTTGCAGTTATCCAATGGGTTCTGAGAGAGTGTGTTGGAGTCTGAACTGCCATTCTCAGCAAGTGTCTGACCCTTAACCCTGAGCCAGGCAGAGTCCGGGGACTAAGGTTCCATGCAGGAATGGAGTGGGGTGGCCCATCTCATGGAGGAGGAGATGAGACATAGGCAACAAGATGTGGTTAAAGATGGACAGGGGGTCAGAAATCAAAGAAAAAGAGAAAATCAAGTATCATCATCTCTCAAGGGTCGGGGTACCAGAAAGAAAGCCAACTTGAAGCAATGAGTATTTATTGCCAGTTATAACTACAGATAGCTGAGTGGGGAGAGAAGCGTTGGAAGGAAAATAGAAGAAGAAACCCAGAAATGTCCAGGTATGTGAAAACAAGTGCCGGCAGTCGCATTAAGAGGTTACTGGGGCCTTGACCGTGGTCAGGGAGAGAAATGGCATCAAGGCAGCTTAGAGACGCGCTGCTGGGAACTTCATTTTGGTTTTGTGGTAATATAAGTACCTGGATTTTAACGAATACATGTGCACTTGGCACTGGGCTGATATTTATTCAAGGGCCTTAATTGATGCTAAGAAACATAATTTAAAAAACCACTGCTTTCTTTATATTTAATGATTTTAGTAGTAGTTATGATACCAGTAAAATATTAATGTTTATTCAGCTCTCCTTTGTGCTGGCATATCCAAGTTTTCATCCACTGTGGCTGACTGAAAAGCATGGCCATGCTATTTTGTAGCTTTCCTATCAGGGCATGATCTATTTCTCCACCCCTTCACTCTGGGCTGAACTTGTGATTCGCGTTGACTAACAGAATGCAGTGAAAGACCCCCAAGAGGTCTTGCCTCTTCTGCCTTCACTTTCCTGGGACGTCGCTGCCTTCATGAGAGGAAGTCAATGATCCTCTTTGAGATTGAAAGACGACCTGAAAAGGAGGAGCTCTTGCGGTTCAGCCAGCTGAGCTCAGGCCCAGCCAACCCTCTAGCTTAATCCAACACAGCTGAACCCATGCAAGATCAGCAAAAGCACCTCTTGGCCCACCCAGAGAGCTGTGAGAAATGTAAGTCAGTCCTATTTGGGGTAACTTGTCTGGCAGTATTGAATAACTAATGAACCTGCAATTTTAACGAGCCTGCCCTTTGGCACACACACTCACCCGCACACTGATTCAAACAACAAACTATGCGAGGCCCAGGACGTGACCAGGTGGCATGTCAGTAAATACCTGTTTCCAGGCCCTTTACGAACTTTTCAATACTCACTAGAGCTGCACAAAAATTGTGCTATTGCTGCATAAAGATTGGCTATGACCGTTTTTTGTGGAGAGACAATTTCACATCTTGAAAAGATATAGTTTTTACCCAAATCTGGGATTCCACACCCAAGACATGGCTGCTCAGAAACAATTGCACTGAAGAGATTGATTGCCTCTTGGTTGTTATAGGCTCAGGGGAGGAAAGATCTGGGTTTGAATCACTGGCCCTACGATTGACAAGATGTGTAACATGGGAAAAATGCCTGACTTTCTGAATCTTCATTGCACCTCTGTAAATGGAGGCGAATAACATTAACCAATCTGGGTTATTTTGAAATACATAGTAAAATCACTCAATCTAGTGCCTACCACATACCAATTTTCAAAAACTGTAGTTTTCCTCCACTGGTGCAGTGCTTCTGTAATTGTTGTACCATTACAATCTGCACCAAAAGCAATTGGAGTTTGTTTAAAATGTGGGTGTCCAGGTCCACCACAACAGTGGTCAGTTATATTACTTTTATCTCTTATAATCCATTTTTCTTGATTATATTCTTTTAAAATATATGTGACACCAACTAGAATGGCTAAGATGGAAAATACAGACAGTATTAAGTGTTGGCTAGGATGTAGAGCAGTTGGGACTCTCCTACTCTGCTCCTGGGGGTGTGCACTGCTGTATTTACTAAAGCTGGGCATAACTGAACCCAAGAATTCCAATCCTAGGCATATTCCCAATGGAAAGGTGTGCATGTGATCACCAAAAGATAGATATTATTAAAATGTTTATAGCAGCACTCTTTGCAATAGCTCCCAACTGGAAACTACCAAGTGCCCATCAACAGCAGAGTCGACTTTTTTTGAAGCTGGGATACAATGCAGCAATGAGCATGAACAAACGACTACACGCTACAGCACAGGTGCATCTCACAAATGCCATGTTGTAGACAAGAAGCACATACAACAGTACATACTGTACAATTACATTGACTTAAGTTTAAGAACTGGTAAAACTGGCTGGGTGTAGTGGCTCAGGCCTGTAATCCCAGCACTTTGGGAGGCCGAGGTGGGCAGATCACGAGGTCAGGAGCTCGAGACCAGCCTGGCCAACATAGAGAAACCCCGTCTCTACTAAAACTACAAAAAAATTAACCGAGTGTGGTGGTACGTGCCTGTAGTCCCAACTACTCGGGAGGCTGAGGTGGGAATTGCTTGAACTCGGGAGGCAGAGTTTGCAGTGAGCCGAGATCACGCCACTGAACTCCATCTTGTTGACAGAGTGAGACTCCATCTCAAAAAAAAAAAAAAAAAAGGAACTGGTAAAACATTACTATGGTCTTAGAGGCTCAGAGTAGAGGCTCAGGTAGTGACTGGAAGGGCACCAGGAAGGTTTTGGGGGCGCAGTAATGCTCTCTGTTTCTTGATCCAGGTGCTGACTAGATGGTTGTGATTGTTTTGTGCAAGTTTGTTGAGCTGTACCACTTGTAATCCATCCACATCTCTGGATGCATATTATACTAAATAAAAAGTTTACGTTCATAAAAGAAACCATGGGACATAAAGGATACGTTCTTGCAAACTTCCTTTATGTCTTTCTAAAATCTCCCCTGCGTTCCTCTCTAGGTCCTTCAACATGAATGTTTGGAGAACTAAGAGAAAGAAACACAAACCCTGACTAACTTGAATTTAGGATTTTTTGACTTACAATAGGTTTATTGGGACGTAACCCCATCGTAGGTCAAGGAGCATCTGGACTTACAATGGTTTACCTTAGGATATTTTGAGTTTATCATGGGTTTATCAAGGTATTAAATGCATTTTGATTTATGATATTTTAGACTTATCATTAGTTTATCAGGCTGTAACCCCACTGGAAGTCTAGGAGGACCTGTATTTTAATTTAAAAAACATGCAAGCCTGTTTACATATTTATTTTATATTTCTTCACCACATCTACAAAGCAGACCACAATTAACTTTGTAGAAAAGGAGATATGAAATCTAAATGTTCCAGGACATAGTTGTGAGAGCTGCAAAGATGAGTCGATTGATTTTGTTTGGGGTCCTCCTTCTTGCTGATGCTGGCTGACCTTGTTTACTCAGCCTCCATCCTTGGGCCTGGTCAAAGAGTATTGCCGACTAGCCTGCCTCTTCCTCATCTATACTGTCATAAGACTATCTCTTTTTTGTCCAGGTACCCCTGTTGCAGTCTTAAAGGTTGTCTTTCAAAAGTTGAAAGACACAAAACTTGATGTGATCTGGCTGCTCTAACTTGATTCCGTGGTTGTGCAGAAAAACCCTCCCCACCATTCTCGTCTCCCGAAAAGCATTCATTAAGGGTTTGAACGGGATGGAAATAATTAATCTCACCTATTTGCTCAATGTGTTGCCCAGGCTGCAACTCCAGTCTATGAATGTCTTATCTGCCCATTCACAGCGATTCGAAAACGAATTTTAAACAGTAGAACCATTAATTTGGTGACCTTTTAGGCACCCAACACCAGCCACCTGGAATCTCTCTGTCAGTTCACAGTGTGTATTTTTTTTTTTCTTTTTACTCACAAAGCAAAAAAGTTTGCATGAGCTGGCAGGGGTGAGTAGGGGTGAACGGAATCAACATTTGTTGAAGTGTTCATATGTGTTTTAATGACATTGTGTAAATTATTCTATGTAACCCTCACAGTATCCTGAAGGGAAGATAAAAGCATTTTCATTTTACAAATTAAAAGAATGACCTGTGAGGCAGGCTCACTGTGAGCGGTGACTGGCGTGCCTGAGTCTGTGGAGGGAGAGCACACTCCCAGGCATCAACTCACATGACGCAGATTTGATGCTTGTGGATAGGCAGCAAGGAACAACAGGAGTTTGTGGGAGCTGCTTCCTCGAGACTCAGAAAGCTGCCGGGGTGGATGGAGCTTTGACTGTGTGTGCCCCCGTTGTGCTGTAGATGAGGGACCCTGAAATGCAGCCCACACTGGGTTTTACACCACGGGGGAACATGATGCAAGGAGCTCCAGAATTGAAGGACGTCCCGTTTCTAGGGGAGGGTGGGAACAGAGCCTGAGAATTCCAGCCTGCTCACCCTTATCTCAGAGTGTTGCATTCCCAGGACATCTTCCAAGGCCACCTGGAGAGCTGTCCTGCAGTGACACACCTCAGCTTACCCAGCGTAGAAGTGAGGGGCTCAGATTCAGCATCTGCAGCTATCCCCAAATGCCGTGATTATTATTCCACCATCCAAGGCTCACAGTGAGTTAACTGTTTTCTTTCTCCTGTCATTCAGGAGCCCAAGGGTGGTGCTTCAGCACCCTAGGAAATGTGCCAGCAAGGTCTACAGTATCAGCAACTTTACCTCTCCCTCCCAGAGCTTTCTGGAGTGCTTAGCAGAAGACAGAGGACTCTAAAGTGTGAATGTGGAATGGAAATTGAGGCCACCGGCAACGGCTGCGTCGAAGAGTAACTTGCGAACGCATAGGGATTCACAGGATAGATATTGTCTGGATATCAGGGCGAAATGTTAATTAGGGATCAAAATGTCCTTTTAAATTAGCTATGTTGAAGAGAAAGGAGAAGACCAGGAAACAGAAGAAAGATATCGTTATGTGGTATTTTGGAATAAATATTTATAGAAAACAATGATCTGTTTGTTTAAAAACTACCGATCTAAAATGCTGCCCCGTCTCATCCCTTCTTCCTGCTTTATTTTCCTTCTCACTGTTTATTCCCTGACATGTTGTAAACTAACTTATTTATCTTGCAAATGTTTCCTACTAGAATGTAAGGCCCATGAGGGCGGACGTTTTGCCTCATTCTCTTTGGAACAGTGGACACACAGGGACTTACACAAAAATCTGTTGAATGAATGAATGTACGCTTCCATACATTGTATTGGAACCTTTTCATATCTTTACAAACTTGTAGCAAATCAACCAAACGTTATTAGAAGGCCTATTGTTTCTGTACACATTCAAAGTAGTTCCTTAAAGTGTTCAGTGTTTTTTACCAGTTTATTTTCATGAAACTTTTTTAAAACACACGTCTTAAGGATCATACCGTGTTTTTTGATGCTGCAGTTTTCCGTGTATCTAATTACAGGACTGTTTCCAATACTCTCCCTGGTTCTGCATTTCCTCAGCCACCATGAGCACATTCTATTCTATGGTCATTGGATCGGCATTTTAAATCCTGTTTGGCAGAAAGAGAGTCTCATGTTTAGGTCCAAGATGTAATGGATCTCTCTAAAGGACAGCATGACATTTCCTGTGTAAAACAACTAAAATCCAGAATCCACTTCCTGGTCAATATCGTGGGGACTACCTAAGCAGCATGTGAGAACACACACACACACACACACACACACACACCACACACAACAGAAAAGTGAGTGATAATCGATTTTAAGGACTAACTCTGGAGCCAGACTAACTGGGCTCTGATTACAGCTCTGATTACAGCTCTGGTGGTAACTAGCTTTACGATCTTGGGCACATTATTTAACCTCTTGTCCCTCAGTTGCTTCATCTGTAAAACCGAGATAACAATTGCAATTATCTCATAAAATTATTGGAAGGAGTTAATGAATTAGTATCAGTAAAGTGATTGGAACAATTCCTGGCATATAATAAGCTCCACATATATGCTATATAAATGCTAGTTAAATAACTAGTTAAACACACAATGAAATGTAATAAAAGAAAATAAAATTAAAGATAATATATTACCAATTGGGTAGATGGCAACAGAGAGAATGAAGACAAAGATGAATAATCAGAGATCTCTTCTACCTGGAGAGATATTCCATTATATGACATGGTGGCAACTTGAGTGTGTATATATATATATATATAATTCCCACATTTAAGAAAAAAAGGTATTCAAACAAAAATCTGTACCCATTCGAATTTTGCATAAAGAGAACCATGATGAGAAGGAATTACTGTACTTTGGTGTGCTCATAAAATTATTATATATTTATAATGATTTTTAAAAATATGGACTTTAGATGACTAATTTCTTAATATTGTACCTGTACAGAGACATTTGGAGAAACAAATTAAACCTTTATAGATAACCTTAAATATCTGAATATGTATAGAGTTGAATGATGGGACAATTGAGGGAAGGGGTAGACAGACATTAGGAAAAACAAATTAAACCTTTATAGATAACCTTAAATATCTGAACACATGTCTAGTTGAATGATGGGACAATGGAGGAAAGGGTGTAGTGAGCATAGTTTGAATGATGGACAATGGAAGGAAGGGGTGTAGTGAGCATAGTCAGTTGGAATGATAGATAATGGAAGGAAGGGTGTAGTAAGCATAGTCAGTTTGAATGATGGACAATGATAGGAAAGGTGTAGTGAGCATAGTCAGTTTGAATGATGGACAATGGAAGGAAGGGTGTAGTGAGCATAGTCAGTTTGAATGATGGACAATGATAGGAAGGGTGTAGTGAGCATAGTCAGTTTGAATGATGGACAATGGAGGGAAGGGGTGTAGTGAGCATAGTCAGTTATGGAAGGAAGGGGTGTAGCGAGCATAGTCGGTTTGAATGATGGACAATGGAGGGAAGGGGTGTAGTGAGCATAGTTTGAATGATGGACAACGGAGGGAAGGGGTGTAGTGAGCATAGTTTGAATGATGGACAATGGAAGGAAGGGTGTAGTGAGCATAGTCAGTTTGGATGATGGACAATGGAAGGAAGGGTGTAGTAAGCATAGTCAGTTTGCATTTGAAAGTGATGCTGAAGTCCTCGTCATTGGGATGCCAGAGGGATCTGGGTCACAAAACATACAGAAACATTTGTTTGTGAGTGTTGCGTGCATTTGCACATTTTTCATGGGGAAAAGTCCATCTGATGATCAAAAAAGTGTGTGTCCCAGCAAAGGTGCAGAAATTATTATCATTTGATTTTCTGGTTAATAGTATGTGAAAGTATTTTAAAGACAATCTACTACTCATCATTTCAATAAGAGATAATCTAAAAATTACCCATCTTGTATGAAACAAAGAAAAGAATCAGAGAAATTATATATTTATTATTCCTTAAATGTTATTTTTCTTCCTTTTACTTCTCTTCTATATTCACTGTTGCGGCATTATATTGATTTTTGTTTTCTTTTTGTAATTTGGAAAGCAGCTATGTTCACTATTATATAAACAATGCTTGAGAGTTTTCTTATGTTGTTATTAAAGTTGGTGTTCAGGTAAATTACATTATCTAATGATTTCATTTCAAGGTAAAACACAAACAGTTTTATGTCTTAAAGAGGGCCTTGGTCTGATAGGAATGAGAACCACTCTGCCATGCCCTATGCGAACAATTCTAATTGAGTAAAATCTAATACTTTGCAAACTGTCCCAAGAGAGCTTACTGATTTTACGGCAGAAGAAAAAGTTTCTATGTAGAACTCTATGTTTGAGAGGAGGAGAGGGGCTACAGCTAAGTATAGAGAAAAAACAAGGTTCCATAATCAAGAAAGAAAAAGGTGGAATCTGAGTCTGTCTTTTTCGTCTTTACCTCTGTGTGTGTATGTTCTATACCATCATGTCTCATTTTTCTTTATCTCTTAAAGGGCAATGTGTGCACACAGCAGGCATATATGTGTTAATTGATTCATACTCCACACAATCCCCATTTCTCTTGTTCTTATCCCGACCACAATGGAGTTCAATAGAGCTAACAATGGAAAAGATAATGAGTGGGTCTAAATTCAATCCCCTTTTGTTTAAGCTAATCTCCCTCTCTAATTAATGGCTGTTCATACCATTATTGCTCACGAATCTGGCGACAGTTCTCTGCATCGGCGCAGGAAGCACTCTGTGAAATCATGTTGTCAAAGGGGACAGCATAGTCCAGCTCCCATTGCACCCTTGGTGACTTTTGGCCTAATGAAAAAGGTGTGTGGAACATGGAAACCAGAAGGAGCCCTCTCCTGTTAGTGCAGAGCTCCTGCTCCTGGGTTGCATTCTAGCTTTCGTCACACATTTTAAAATCCAAATGTAAGAATGATGTACCTTTGAAAAGACAGTGGGTTACAATGAGGGACTGAAGGAGTGGGCAGGGTCAAGTAGGGAGGGAAGAGAGAGAAGGCACAAGAGGAGCTGTGAGGAAATATCTCCCAGCCTCCATCCTCACCCTCCCTGAGCTTCCGCAGGGCTGAGGCTTCCTCTGCTGAGCTTGCGCACTTGGAGAAGCCCCCTCTGGGTGGTGATTTCTGTGCTGCAGTTGACTCCCACAGTTTGACACACACACGCACACACACACTCAAAGTCTGCAAAGGCACCAGCAGCAGTACATACATGCTTTCCTAATAGAATGCTGCTTTTAATAAACAGGCAGCCTCTTACTCTTTTAGTTTTTGTGGACTTCATTGTTTAAAACTGTAAATAAACAAAGAACTCTGGATTCCTCATCCATACTATTAAGTGTTAGTGTTTCCTTTACTGGAAGCCTTCAACGTATCAGAAACTGTGCAGGGCGATAGGGTACACAGAGGCCAAAGCCAAGGCTACTGCTTTGCGGGAACTCTCAAGCCAGGTGCTTAGAGACGGCTGTGTATTGCGGACCTCAGCCACGGAGGGCTGAATTTCACAGAAATCTTGGTATATATTTGTCACATGTGTTGCTTAATTAACATTTCCAAATAGTAATTTTAGTCACCTCTAGAATAATCCAATTATACGTACAGTCACGTGTCACTTAATGAAGGGAATACGTTCTGAGAAATGCATCCTTAGGTGATTTTGCCACTGTGTGAACATCATAGAGTGCACTCATACAAACCCAGACGGCGCAGCCTCCTCCACACCCGGGCCACATGGTACAGCCTGTTGCTCCCGGGATACACACCTGCCCAGCAGGGGACGCTACTGAACACTGCAGGCAGCTGGAACACAATGGTACGTATTTATGTATCTAAACATAATAAACAGAGAAAAGGTACAGTAAAAACATGGTATAAAAAGTGGAAAATGGTACACTTCTATAGGGCGCTTAACCACGAATGGAGCTAGCAGGACTGGAAGTTGCTGGGGTGAGTCTCTGAGTGAATGGCGAGTGGATGTGGAGGCCTGGGACGCTATTGTACACCCCTTTATAAACACTAGACACTCATGCTACACTAAATTTATAAGAAATACTTTTTCTTTCTTCAATAATGATTAACCTTTGCTTACTGTAATGTCAAACTTTTTAATTACAAAAATGACTCGTAATTACACTTAGCTTAAAATGCAAACACATTGTACAGCTGTACAAAAATATTTTCTTTCTTTATATCTTTATTCTTTCAGCCTTTTTGTATTTAATTTTTTTTTTGACTCTGTAAACTAGCTCATCATAAACAAAGTCACAAACACCTACACTAGCCTAGGCCTACACAGGGTCGGGACCATCAATAGCACTGCCTTCCACCTCCACATATTGTCCCACTGGAAGGTCTTCAGGGTGATAACATGCATGGAGCTGTCACAGTGCATGTGAATATGCACCACTCATACTGTGGGTGAAAATGCTTTCCTAGGGCTATACACTAACCTTTACACTCAAATGCAGTAAGTTGTGTTAGCTGTATTGTTGAGCGCAGGGCTTGGGGACAGGGTTACAAAGCACAGACACTTGTGGGTTTTGATCATATGCATCCGGAAAAATACAATCACTTATTTGGGTAGACAGGTATTATTTGTGTATTTTCCTTTTATAAACACTTATCAAATGCCTACTCTTTGCTATTATGTTGGTTTTGGTGATAGAAACCATATGGTCCCATCTTCGAAGAGTTTTCAGTCTAGGAGGGGAGGCAGCTTCACGAACAGTGATTGCCGCAGAATGTGGTCAGTACATCGTCACGCATCCAGGCACCACCACGGCGTGATGCGGGGAGCGAGGAGCCATGAAGTCAGGCAAAAGCATGGAAAGAAAGATCTTCGAAAAGGAGGGGGCCTGCAAAAGAACTGAAACATGAAAAGCCGTTGAAACAAAACTGACAGGCAATATGGTCAAGTTCCTGATGACCCAAATGATCACTCATTCAGGCAGCTTGGCTCACCAAGAACAGACCTGGGGGCGGCCTGGGAGCGGGTATCAGACTGCCACAGGTTAACATAGAGAAGCGAGGTGATGCTGGATGCAGTGGGTCACGCCTGTAATTCCAGCATGTTGGGAAGCCAAGGCAGGAGGATCACTTGAGGCCAGGAATTGCAGACCAGCCTGGGCAACACAGTGTGATGTCGTCACTCCAAAAAATAAATAAAAGATTAGCTGGATGTGGTGGTACGTGCCTGTGGTCCCACCTGCTTGGGAGGCTGAGGTGGGAGGATCATTTCAGCCCAGGAGTCCCAGGCTGCA
Organism: Homo sapiens; assembly: GCF_000001405.40. Taxonomy (NCBI): domain Eukaryota; kingdom Metazoa; phylum Chordata; class Mammalia; order Primates; family Hominidae; genus Homo; species Homo sapiens. The sequence continues at coordinate 189,587,912 of NC_000004.12, read as the reverse complement.
GTGAGCCATCATCACGCTACTGCACCCCAGCCTGGGCGGCAAAACAAGACCCCCTACCTACAAAAAAAGAAAGAAGAGAAAAGTGAGGTCATGCAGTGCAGGGGGCTTCCTGCAATCCTAGATCTTCATGACTCCTGGCGCTTCTGTTGTCAGGACACTCATTAAAACCCACCCCATGAGCCTCTTTTTCTACCACCGTCGCCCCCTATGAGTTTCCTTTTATGCTACCATCTGCCACGATAAGCCTCTTCTTTCCACCATCACACCCGTGAGCTTCTTGAGCTCAGGGACATGTCTCATTTGACTTGGCACCTATGTTTGCTATTACGATACTGTGTATTTATAAGGCACCACAATGTATGATTGTTACATCAATAAATCATCAGCAAACCTTGAAGATTTAATTGGGAAAAAAATCAGCTTTTGTGGCAAGTCAAGAGTCCACAGGAGGCAGCTACTGGGGTCGGTGCTGTTGAGACTGCAAGGCCTGAGGAGCTGGAACCGTGACAGATTGGAAACAGCACCTCCTCCTACCACAGGCTTTATTCACAAGTATAATTTATTTTTTCTGTGTAGGAGCTTGAGGGATTTCAGAGCATGACATCGAGTAAATGTATTTTACATGTTATTCCTTCCTTGGCATCATGGTTTGAGCCATTCAAATATCTTCATAATCAAAAGCATAATAAATTATGACTAAAACGGTGTACCTGTGAAAACGTCCCTCGCACTCTCCCCAGTTGGAGGCTGTGCTTTTACGGTCGCAGACAGCAGGGCTGTTTGTGAGAGCAGCAGGGCTCTGCGGCTGGAGCTGAGTCAGAAGACGCCTGGCCTGCACTGCGGAGGTGCGGAGACCACAGAGGTCGGCGTGGCTCCATCACAGCTAGAGGATTCTGGGACATAATATCCGCTCTGGACTGAATGGTTAAGTCCCTCCCAAATTCATGTTAAAACTCTAATCCCCAGGAAGACAGTATTAGGAGGCACGGCCTTTGGAAGGCGATTAGGCCAGGAAGGGCTTATTGCCCTTATAAAGGAGAGGGCTCCTGTCCCCTTCAGCCACGGGAGGCCACAGTGAGAAGGCGCCATCCAGAAGCCCGGACAGTAGCCCTCACCAGATGCCAAATCTCCCTGCACCTTGACCTTGGACTCCTTCACCTCCACAACTGTGAGAAATAAATCCTTCATTGCTTATAAGCCACTTTGTCTATTGCATTCTGAGATAGAAATCCAAACAGACACAGACCATATTGGTTGTATAAAGTGGAATCCAGCTGGCCCCATTGTCTTGGTCCTGCAGGGGCAACTACATGCCCGCCTCAGAGGCATCCTCTTCTGAGACAAGGTAGCATAAATTGAGTCAGGAAGTGACCCACTCTTAGCTCCATCCTTTATTTCCTGGGTGATCTTGGAAAGCTGCATCTTTCTGGCCATTGGTTTCCTCTCCTGTAAAATGGGGATATTGGGAGTTCTTAGGGGATTAAGATATGCGACTGAAGCGGCTACATTGTCTGGGGTATATACCCTGGGGTTCCTTGTTGCGTGCCAGGAAAATTTGGGACATGGACACACACGAGGAGTTTAGGAGTGGAGCTTTAAAAGGCAGAAGAAAAGAGAAAGAGAAAACAGCTCTCTCCACAGAGAGAGGGGCCTTTGAGGGGACGGGTGGCTGATGCGCCCAATTTTATCATCAGGTTTGAGGAGGCAGGGTCTGATTTCCATAGGGCTCAGGGATTGGTTCCATCACGTATAACGTGTACATAGTGAGCGGGAAGGCTGGTTGCCCTACCCCAATCTTATTATGCAAATGGCCTTTCCAGTTGATCAGTGCCATTTTGTTTGCTCCTTACAGTACAGGTGGTTGACAAAGAGAAGGGAAGATGGAGCCCATCTTGAACATGTCTAGTCCCTAGTTCCTGCCAGTATTCACCATGCAAGCTCCCAGGTGGCTAGTCTATGTCTGCAGCTCAACTTTACAGGCTGCTCCTTGATAGAATATGATGTGGGGCTGCTTTTCATTGAAAACAAAGGCCTTACCAAGGACTCCCCTACCCTTTCTGTCCGCCTAAGTGATTTTTTCTTAACTCCTAGATCACTATGTAGCTAAAACAAATGATACCTGGAAACAGTTGACCAGTCGTTGTCATCTTTGGATGTGCCTACTAGAAATGCACAGCGCTCTGCCCACCATATGATCTTTGTAGTTGTTCCCACCGGGCCTGAACCTCTCTCCCCATCGCCAGGCTGCCCTGCTGTCTGCATGGCCGACTCTCATTCATTCCCTCTCAAGCACTGCTTCCCAGAGAGTTTCCCAGCCGCCCTCCCAAATGTGCGGTCCCTATCACATTACCCTTTTTATTTTCTCCACCACACTTCCCACCATCTACAATTATCCTGACTGAGTATTTGCTGGCCTGTCCATTGTCTCTCTACTCATAGTAGAATAAAAGGTGATTGAAGGCAACAAACATCCCATCTGTCATCCTCACTGCCATATTTCCAAGCCCTAGAAAAGTACCCGAAAAAATGAAGCACTCCATAAATGCTTTTTGAATGAGTAAGTAAATGAACCCAAATGCATTTTTCTTACTACTCCTTTGAATTATTTTTACACATTTCCAATTACTTATTTCTCTTTTTCTCTACTTCCAAACAAACCGCAGTGGATACTGTGCACGACTTAGAAGCTCCAGGCAAGGATAATAAACATGCCACATCTGTATCTGTGGATGTTCCTTCAGCCTGGGCAGAAAAGATACAGTCAGGAAGATACAGAGAAAGAAACAACAGTCCATACGTGTTTAATATTTATCAGTGTAGCAAATTTCTCCAATAGAAAAAGAAAAGACAAAGTTAGTTTAATTGGATCCAGTTTCTTTAAGTACCTTTATTTTCCCTTGAAGAAAATAAAGGAGGAGAAGGGACTTAGCCAAATAATGATTTAAATTTATTCTAGTATTTCTGAGGGTGCCAAGTCAGGAGGTTGCTGAGGTTTCTTTCTCTTTCCTTTGCTGAGGTAAATTTCCAGCTCAGGCATATGGACTGACGTGGAAGAGCAATCAGTTATAAAGAAAAAATACATTTGGGGTCTGTCTCTGTTGGAAACATAATTGAAAGCATGAGTGTTGTGTGGTTTCTCTCAAACTTCAAAAGTGTGCGCAGGCACATGAAGGGGAATGCCATCTGTTTGTTGTTAGGGTCATGTTTTACTTTCCTGCTTATACTTTCAATATAGTCAATGAGCTCAGCTTTTTATAAAGAAAATTAATTACTACTTATGTTACATTTACATTAGTGGCAAATTTACTCATTTTCCCTTTTCCATTAGAAGAATGTTGTTAGATAATAGATTAGAACCATTTGGCAATTAATCACAGTCACCCACTCTCAGAAATTGCTCATTGGCCAAAATAATCCGTACAAACACTACTTAGAAAAGAAATGATCCATCTTTTGTAAACCTAAGAACATGTTGGCAGATTTGCAATGCTTGATAATAATAGCTTTTGTGCTGCAATGTACAGGAGGTGCCTTGAAATTTATAGGCTGTTGGCTACCAGCACCCATCATCCACCTTAGCACCTGCAGGAGCCCTGATGGTCAATAGGAAGGCACAGAGGGAAAAATACTGAGCTTCGGAACTTGAACCTCAGACTCAGGGGTATGCAGAAACTAGCCCAAAGTAACACTATTGCTTAGTGGCAGAATCGAGCCTGGAATCCAGTTTTCCCGATTCCTGGCTCAGTGACCCCACAGCTGCACGTGAGGGTCCCGTGGAGTTAGTGTCCTCCCGTGCTAAAGTGACACAGCTTGCGTTAATCCATAGGAACGTTCCATGATGATCCCACGACATGTATTGAAGGCAGACTATGTTCTAGGCTGTGTTAGCAAAGCCTCCATATAGTCACAGTATTCATTTCCTAGCTTAATTGTTGTTTGACTATTTTCAAGGTAGGTCAGGCCTAACCTACTAATTCCTCATTATCTGCAAACTTATTTAAAGACACTGTGTCAATTGAGTGTTTGTGATATGAGCATCAATTTTGAGATAACAGGGATACAAAAGAAGAAGGAGCCCCTGCCTCTAAAGAGCTCGCCAACTTGTTATGTGGAAATAATGGACCGAATGCCACTGATGCAAACGCACCTTCCCTCTAGGACGTGGCTCCTTTTTTCCTTTTTTAGTTGTTCTTTCACCACGTCAGCTCCTCTTTCCTGGTCTGCTTTGAAGTCTTCTTCTCTCCTCTTCCCTCTGCTGGTTCCTTTAGCCCTGGGCTTCCCTGGGGCTCAGTCCTACGTTCTCTCTTCTATTCTCTCCCAGGATCATCTCATCCAGTCGTACGGCTTCTATTATCATCCATAGCAGAAATTATGAACCCAGAGTCCATGGATAAACTTCTGGGCCTGTGAGTTCCTTGAAATTATATGCAAATTTGGTGTATATGGTCATAGCTTCTGCCAGCTTGGCAGAGGGGACCTAGACTCCACAGCTCTATTGAAGTGGGTGATGCCCAGGTCTGCATGTTCCTGAGTGTTAGGGGCCAGCTCTGACTGGCCCTGGGCACCGTGGCTTGGAGATCTCACAGCTGCATGAAGCTTAAAGCAATCTTATCTAATTGCAGTTCCCCATCCCCTGCCCCCATCTCTACCTTCCGCTTTTGTGTCCCTGTCATAGTAAATAGCATCATCACCAGGTTGTCCAACTAGAAACCAGGGACTTTCCAGACTCTTCTCTCTCCCTCATTCCATACAGCCGTCTCATGTGCTATGGGATCTTTCTCCAAAACCTCTCAAACCTATTCCCTCCCCTCCATTTCCCCTGCCCGGCCCTCTCAGCTCTCCTCAGCCTTCACTGGACACAGCAGCCTCCTGGCTGGTCTTCCCTCAGTCTCACTTCCATCTCTTCTCTCTATGGAGGCAACTGAGCATGCATTTTCTTTTTCTTTTCTTTCTTCTTCTTTTTTTTTTTTTTTTTTTTGAAACAGAGTCTCGCTCTGTCACCATGTTGGGATGCAGTGGCCTGATCTCGACTCACTGCAATCTCTGACTTCCTGGTTCAAGTGATTCTCCTGCCTCAGCCTCCTGAGTAGCTGGGATTACAGGCACCCATCATCATGCCCAACTAATTTTTGTATTTTTAGTAGAGAAAGGGTTTCACCATGTTGGCCAGGATGGTCTCAATCTCCTGACCTTGTGATCTGCCCGCTTTGGCCTCCCAAAGTGCTGGGATTACAGGAATGAGACACCTCACCCGGCCCTGAGTGTGCATTTTCTAACATAAAATCTGATCATATCAACTGGGCGCGGTGGCTGACGCCTGTAATCCCAGCACTTTGGGAGGCTGAGGCAGGCGGATCACTTGAGGTCAGGAGTTCAAGACCAGCCTGGCAAACATGGTGAAACCCTGTCTCTACTACAAATACAAAAATTAGCCAGACATGTTGGTGGGTGCCTGTAGTCCCAGCTACTCAGGAGACTGAGGCAGGAGAATCGCTTGAACTCCCAAGCAGAGGTTGCAGTGAGCTGAGATTGCACCACTGCACTCCAGCCTGGGTGACATACAGAGACTGTGTCTCAAAAATAAATGAATAAATAAATTAAAAAAATCTGATCCCATCATTGCCTGGCTCAGAATCCATTCCAGCGTACTCCAGAGATGAAAACCACAAGGATTGCATAGCCTTCCGTAAACTGTTTCGCACTCTGTCCCCAAGATCGTGACACTCACTGTAACCTATCACTTAGCTTCTCAAACATGCCATACTCCCTCCCATATCGTGTCCTTGAAATATGCTCCTCTCCTATGCTACCAACCTCCCCTTCCTCGTCCAGCCCTCCCCACAGCACCCCCAGCCCCTACTTCTTTCATTCATCAGCTAACTGCTCCTCATTCTTCAGTTTCTACTTCTCCCTGAGGGCAGATCTGATTTCCTCAAAGAGGGAAGATGTCCCTGCTGTTGGTTCCTCCATAGCAACTCCTCTTTTGTAATATCTGGAATTCACTACCTTGTGGTGACGTGGTTGTGCCTCTTCCTCCAACAAACGTCCACCCACTGAGGGCAGGGCTCACATCTAGATGCTTGCTTTCGTATTCCTAGGATCTAGAATAAGGCTCAGTACTCAGTAGGTGCTGTGCAAATACTTAGTGAGGAGTCAAGAGCCCACGTGCATGGGACAGACAGTGAAGCACAGTTAGAGATTTGAAAGGAAGTCACACCGTTGGTTACAGCTGTCATCCAGCAAGTAGGGCTTAAGTTTGTTCAGAAAAACAGATAGGGTGTGGCTTAGGCAGGATAAGAAAGCATAAAAAACAAAAGATGGAAAAACATTTTGGGAAAAGTGAGCTAATTAAAGATATGATCAGTGAGTAGAGGAGCCTCAAGTTTTAAGCAAAGCAGACCATTTCCTACACATAAAAATAACAGTAGAAAAATTAAAAAATAATTTATTGCTCACATTTTTGGCTTTGAAGGCCATATAGTTAAGTCGTTGCAACTACTTCACTCTGCTTTTGTGTTGTGAAAGCAGCCACAGACAAACACATAATCGAATAGATGTGGCTGGGCTCTAAGAAAACTTTACTTCTAAAAACAGACCTGGAGTCTGCCATTTCTTGAGAAATTCTTTAATTCCTTGCTTTTACAGGCTAGGCATTAATAAGGTAGAGATGGCAGTTGTCTGGAAGCTTTTTCTAAAAGCATTTATGAGTTATAATTTAATGGCAATGTTATCTCTATTAGTTGATCTGTGCTCTATCCGTTTGTCTATCTACTGAATACATACTCCATTTATTTATAAAACTTGATTCGAGATGCTGTTATATAATGATTACAAATTGTACTATTGATATTTACAAATAATCATTAATTTACTCTGAATAGTCTTAAAAACTAGAAAATATCAATCTAAATGACAAATTTTCATCATTTTGGTCATTAAAATATACAGTAAGAGATTCCTTGATGAAACCCACCATTGACAAGGGAGAGGACAAGGACAGGCTTTGCTCTGGGCTAACCAAATGGGAACATGGAATTTTGCCCACTGATGGTAAGACAGCCAGCAGAAGAGGCCAGAAGAGATGAGGTCCACAGTGCAAAAACATGGGCTTGAGAATGACATCAGCGACTGGCTCCAGACTTCAAATACAGGCAGGGGAAGAAAAAGAAGGCTTTTGGCTAACAGTTCAGCATCTATCCCAGCATGAACACAGAAAGAAAAAAATTCTTCTAAAAGAGTAATACAAAATAGATAGGATCAGAGAAGACAGAGGGTGGAACGAATTCGAACATGAGGAATTCACCAGTGGCCTGCTGAGGACCATGTGGATTTTAATGCCACTTCAGGACAATAAAAATGAAATGTCCCACCATCTTAAAGGTTTGGGACTTCTAATAGAATAAGCATTTGATTAATGAAAAAACATGTACTATAAGGAACAAGGGATCATAAAAGTCTGGTTTTTAACAGCCTAAGTACCTTTGGCATCTTGAGGTCTTTTATCACCTTGTAAATCACCCCTGGAGAGAAATAACCGCAGTGACAAGGCAGACTTCCATTACCAGCCTGTCCACCTTGGCTCTAGATTCTCAAGTATATTGTCCTGGCTAGCACCCTGTGGTGTCATGCCTTTATTATGGGGAAAGAAGGGCTGGGGCATTGTAGTGGACCTAGTTTTAGTAAATGTCTCTGGACAAATACGCCCCCTCCAAAGGCATTTTCCTTTCCTTCGCTGTCTCTGTTCTGTTCTGTGGTCCAGCATGCCCCTGTGGGTGGAATTTAACAGCCAGGGTGTCAGCCTGCCAGGGCTCCGCATCTTGTGACTTACAATAACAAATGTTCTGTTCTCCCGGGTTGCTGTGCGGGCTGCCTGTGGTTGACTTAGGACTCTTCCATGTGCCTTTCATTTCCAGACCCAGGTTGGAGAGCAGGCCCAGGGGCATGTTCCTCTCATGGCATGGAAGGCAAGCTGCACCTGATGAGCTCTTTGGGAGCCACTGGTTGGACACGGTGTACTGGAAGTCTGCTCATGGGTCATTGCCCAAAGCAAGTCAGAAGGCTAAGCTCAGAGTCAGTGAGGGAGGAGGTGCGTTCACCCATAGGTAATCTGAGTCAGGATGAGGAAGGCAGGATGAATTGGAGTCAGTCATTCCATTGACCACACCGAAGATTATGCTTGTAACTACAGAGCCTGAATACCTCATTAACAATCTCTCAGGTCAAAGTGAGCTGTTCTACTCCTGGAAGACATGTACTCACATGTGGTAAGTTTTACTAAAATGTCAGGAAAGAACCCCAACTTTAAACATTTGAATCATTTAGATTTATAGCCTTCACCTCAAGCAAATTCTTGGTGAAATAGCTCTTGACTCTTGAGGTATAGTGAAGGAACTGTGCTCAGAAGCTTCTGCACATGGTCTCATGTAGTTCCCACAACAGCCGTGAAAGGTGGTCGTTACCCCATTTTCCATATGAAGGAACTAAAGTTTAGAGACCACGTTGTATAAAGGCCATCAAGCTAGGGAGTTGGAACTGGGATTTGAACCCAGGTCTGCCTGACTCTAAATAACTCTGCTGTGTTAGAGGAATGTCTCAGGGCTTAGCATTAGTGAGAAACTGAAACCCAACATCGGCCTGTACATTCCAATCCCATGTTCACATCCTTTCATCACCAGTGCCACTTCAGAGACTGATCTTAGGGGAAATCTCTTTGATATTTACAAAAGCGTATTCATGTAAGGTGCTCATGGTGGTCCTATTTGTAATGGAGAAAATTGGAAATGATATAAAAGATTAAACCTAAGGATGTAATAAGTAATTTGATATATCTGTTAGGCAACTTTAGAATTGTTATTTATACAAATATTTGATGTCATTGGAAGTGTTCACAGTACAAAGGAGAGACTCTAAAGCAGTGTGCACAGTATGACCTCACACTGGTAGAAGGAATACTCCAATGTTAATAGAGAACAATTCTGTATAATATGCTTTTAGGTAACCCACTCCCATGCATACCAAAAGTTTATCAAGTTACATATATATGTAAAATATTGTACAGAAATAATATATATTTGTTAATATATATGTGTGTAATGTATTTATGTAATATATATATATTTATTTATAAGTATAGACTAAGACTTTGCCCTCTCACCAACCCACACACCCCCAAAACCGGCCTTTCAGCCAAACTCAAGCTGAGAAAAATTTCATTGATCTGAGCCCTTGTGGCAAACTAACCTTTAGCAAAAATGCCTTCTCTAGGCTCCAATTTGAGATCCAGGGAAAACAGGTTTGGAAGAGTTAATGATCTTGGGGAAATTACCATTGCTGTAGAATGAAGATTATTACTTGTTCTTTCTTCATAGGCTAGACACACTATTTTTTAAAGCTAGTTGTTTATACTGTTTATAAAGAAATAAATATTCCTCATAGGAAATTTAGAAAACAAAAGTTTTTAATGATAAAAAGAATATATGATCTCATCCCATCTCTTAGACAATAACACTTTTTAATTTTTTTTTAAGACAAGATCTAGCTCTGTTGCCCAGGCTAGAGTGCACTGGCATTATCATAGCTCGCTGTAACCTCCAACTTTTGGGCTCAAGCGATCCTCCCTCCTCAGCCTCCCAAGTCACTAGGACTGCAGGTGCACACCACTGTACCAGCCTAAATTTTTTATTTTTTATTTCTTGTAGAGACAAGGTCTTACTATTACTATGTTGCCCAGGCTGGTCTTGAACTCCTGCATAAGGGATTCTCTCACCTCAGCCTCACAAATTGCTGGGGTTACAGGCATGAGCCACTGTGACCTGCCTCTAACATTTGAATTGACATCCTGCGTGTAGAGATATGCACTTATAGATGACAGCTGTACACCCATGCATATCTATATCCATGCATGCATACACATGCTTTATCAGGCCTTCACTCCTTAACAGCCTACAGAGAGAAAACTTAGAGGAGCAGCAGGGACGTACTTCCAACATGCAGGTACCAAGCTACCTAGCATACAACTTTTAACGGTTTTTGATTTTAAATGGAAAGAATCTTTCAGCGGGAAACATTAAAGGGCCTAAGAAAAAAATGGCTTTGGTATTAAGTGGCTAGTATGCTTGTCAAAAAATGACAAGAAATAATAAAAACTAAACTGAAACAACCACCACCACTACAAAATCCAGAACAATGCACCTCATTTAAAGTGTTTGTGAGGAAGTAGAATTGAGTATCTTTCTCACAAGTAAGTTCTTCTTGAGGCAGAACAGACAAGAAACAAGAACTAGAAGTATTTACAAATCTATGTCAGTGGTAGAAATTTCTCCAGCAGGAAAACAGAGCCTCAGGCTGTGTAATGAAAATTGTACTGTGAGAGCTAACATTTATTTAGTGGATATTATGTAAAGTCAGCATTCCCCTATGCAAAGCATATTTTGGGGCCATGTTGCAAACAGCAATTTCTGCATTGAGTTGGTCGAATGTGTTCACTAAGGTGCCTACAAGCATTGGATTGCTCCAGATCGGGTGTTTCTTCTCCTATTGAAAGGCTGTTTCCTACCTTAATGTCATCTGTTGAGCTCTTTTTGTTTTATAAACGTATGGCTTATTGGATGATCCTAAAGTCATTGAGCCCTTATTATTGTAATTAAGATGGTAATAAGATTATTTTTACCTCAGGACTGAAATTACTTTCAATGAACAATTTAGGTCACTGTTACATAGACAAGAATTTAACTTAAAGAGTGAGTAGGTAATAAATGATCTCTAGAATGCTTACAAATATCTACTAACTTTTTAATACAATGCTAAAGCCAAATAACAAGGCAAGGTGCTTCTGTAAGTGTTCTCGGGACTAACCCATTTACCAGTCTGAGTGCAGGCAACCACCATCTCATTTAAACCACAGAAGTTTCGGGAAAATCTTATCCAGTATTATGGGGCTGTACTAGTAAACTGCACACAAAGGAGGCCACACAAATTTGACAAAGATTTAGAGATGGGATTCTGACAGTCACGTTTTATATTAACCAGAAAAAGAGCCACCAAATTCAACCAGAGATGCAATTTTTTTGATCTTTTCAACAAAGTTGAATAAAAGTTGTTGATCAAAGAGTGAAGAAATTTGAAGATAGAATTTGCCTTAATTTACAGATGAGCCACCAGAGGCTCAGAGGGATGAAGCGTTTTGTTGAAATTACACAGTGGCTGCCATTCCAATGACTTGTGACTCCACACATTGCCTTCTGATATTCATTAGGAAGTCATTTGAAGGAGGAATTCTAAACTTTTTGGAAACATCACTGCTCTCTACTCTTCACCCTTATTGGAAATGCTTTTATTTGGAGAACCTTCACCACCTTCATGGAAACCAAAATGAGGATCTTCAAAGTTCATGTTCCATGTAGCATTAACCCTACCATGTGCTTCCCTTGAGCAGGGAACTCCTCTGTAAGGAATGGGGAAAAAGAAAAGTATTAAGAAACAATCATTATTCTCAAAGGAAAATGAGAGGCTCTGTTTCTCTTGCCTGAAGTAAAATCAGTGTTATTAGTAGCTGCATTCACAGTGTGAAGAATCACACAGAAAGCCAGTCATTTTGTTTGATGATGGAGAATTCATGTGGTCCTGCTTCTGACTGATTGTGTCACAGATAATCAACGTGCTGTATCTCCAGCCACCTCACTCTCTAAACTTAAGGAAAATGAAAGTCATGGTTTCAGACCACTTCAGTTTCTTTTCATTTTTCCTGTCTTTGATAATGAAAAAGTGGGCAACTTTATAAAAAATGTCCTAAGTGAGTAGTTGAAATCACTGATTATTTTTCAGGTATCTAGTTTCATTCTCTCAGTAAAGAACACATGAGTGATAGGAATGTGACTCATATATAATTCCCTCTTTTTTCTGTTATGTAAACATTCCAAAAAAGGGAAACATTAAAAATCGAACCCAGGGAAGACGCATCTATCATTATGAATTATGATTTCGTGGCAGTCACTGCAGCAGAGAACCTGTCTCTCTTATCCTGATGGTACTTGTGATAAAATACAAGAGTATGTGGCACCACTGTCCTTGATAAATTGAGCACTAGAAAAGCCATGAATGTGAAATTATCTAGCACATGATAAATCTGCTGTAATAAATAAAAAACGAATAGTCAGAAGAAGTAAACTTTGCTTCAAATGCTGCCTGTCTAACTTTGGGCAGGAATCCTGGCTCTCTGAAGACTGCAGAATCGGGCTCTTTAGGTCATGATTACCACCACAGAAGCCCTTGCCTAAAAAGAAAACGTTATGGAGTCACACGTTTCACCTTAAAAATGTGCCAAAGGGATGTGTCAGGATGAATGTGGAGTTGGTTGAAAATTCGTTATTACCTTCTAATTGTCAGGAACGGCATGATCTTCCAGTTGACATCCTGGGAGGATGTTAAACCTAGGCACAAGATGAATCTTTTAAACATGCTCTCAATTTGCCTCTGCAAAACCTACTTTGGTCTTCAGGCAGAAATGAATGTCATATTTTAAAGTGTGTCGAAAATTTCTAGAAAGCATCATCAGAAAGCCCTAATGCTCCCCTTCATCATTAAGCTTATCAACAAAGATCTAGTAAACACCCCAAAACTAGCAGGTCTCTAAATGCTGTTATGGCAACAAATGGAAAATTTAAATTTATTTAAAATAATTGTAATAATTCTCAGATAAACCACAGGATTCAGAAGTCTGTTCATAATATTTTCCAGTTGTTGAGAATGTAACCCTCTTGTAGATTGAGTAAGAGTTAAATTAAGTGATAGCCCGTCCTGTTCTAACAGGACCTCCAGCGCCTCCATAGGCCATAACTGGGCAGATCAATACTGAGGTGCTTCCCGCTCAGCTTGGGCTTTTCAAAGGTTGAGCTGGCAGGAATGGCTAAGCCTGCAGGCAAGGCACACCAGACACAGGAATGAGGTGTGGAAGGTCAGCAAAGAAGAAGGAGAAATAAAATGATTCTCTGATATTAAAGGTAAGCTGCTTATATTTGTTTAAAATCTTGGCCGGGCACAGTTCCTCACACCTATAATCCCAGCATTTTGGGAGGGCGACACAGGCAGATCACCTGAGGTCAGGAGTTTGAGACCAGCCTGGCCAACATGGCAAAACCCCGTCTCTGCTAAAAATACAAAAATTAGCCAGGCACGGTGGCGGGCACCTGTAATCCCAGCTACTTGGGAGGCTGAGGCAGGAGAATCACTTGAACCCAGGAGGCCGAGGTTGCAGTGAGCCGAGATTGCGCCACTGCACTCCAGCCTGGGAGACAGAGCCAGACTCTGTCTCAAACAAAAACAAAAACAAAAACAAGAAAATCTTTCTCTCCATCATGTTATTCAATATGTTTTTAAAAGCACCATTTCTTATAGCCTGATACATTTCAAATTGCCCCCCTCCCCAAGGGATCTCTGTTGCTCTCTCCTCATTTTCCATTGGCTTTGGTCTTTGTGATAAACCACAGCAGAAGTAAGTACATGGAATCATTTATTTGTAGCCCTTCTGCTCCCGCCTAATCCAAGCCTGCGGAATCCAAGCCTGTGGACCATTCTGTGTTCCTTGCTTCAGTGGCAAGATATGACAGTGTGGAAAATCTAGAAAAGTCCGGCTTCCTTGAGTTTATTATAAACATCAATGCTGTTAGGGAATCAGAAGAGGACTCCAGGAAGCAAAGAGAAGAAAAGGGTTCCTTCTCTCCCATTTCCAAGACTGGAAGAGCCCCTCTGTGTGGAGCAGGGCACGCTAGTGTTAGGTAGGGGTTCCTAGAGAGGAAAGGCCTGCTTTTTGTCTATCAGCCACAGCTCTGGGTTTTCTGCAAATCCTGAGAAAGCTTTGTGAGATCTGAGAGCAGAGATGACCTCTGTCTGGAAAGAGTGGTGAGGAGGTGGAGGGAGAGGGCTGCAGAGAGCCTGGGCATAAATGCCATAGAAACAGTCATGAAGTCTCCCATAATGTTGGGTGACACAGAAATGTAAGGCCAGATCCTGTGTCTCCATCTATGGTATAGAAGCAGTCAAGAGATCCACCAATCAGAAAGAGAACACATGTACAGAAGTGTGTGAGCATAGGTGGCGTGTGTGTGTGTGGATGAGGGAGCACCCCAAGAGGATGGCAGCATCTCATTGGATGCTGAAGTGAACAGATGACATCTAGGACCAGGTGCTCCCCCAAACCATGGTGCCCTGGAACTTAGATACAACTTCTAGAAAGGTAGGGAGGAAATACTGACATTGATTTTTCTTTATTCCAATAGAATCACAAGCTAATTATTTAAAAAAAATAAGAAACACAACTTATTCACATTAATTTCTGGACTGAGGCTTATATCCACAAATGCATTTTAACTTTAAAGAGCTTAATGAAGAGCTTACTTTCTTAGGGTCTAGTGACGTACATATCTGATTGCTCATGTGGGAGGCTGCATGGTGCATTGGAAAGACGTTAAGTCAGAGAAGCACAAGAAGACATTGGGTTCTGTTCTGCTACTTATCTTCTCTTGGTCTCAGGTTTTTCCTTTTTTTTTTTTTTTGAGATGGAGTCTTGCTCTTTCACCAGGCTGGAGTGCTGTGACACGATCTCGGCTCACTGCAACATCTGCCTCCCGGGTTCAAAAGATTCTCCTGCCTCAGCCTCCTGAGTAGCTGGGATGCCCAGCTAATTTTTGTGTTTTTAGGAAAGATGGGGTTTCACCACATTGGTCAGGCTGGTCTTGAACTCCTGACCTCATGATCCGCCCTCCTGGCCTCCCAAAGTGCTGGGATTACAGGTGTGAGCCACTGTGTCCTGCCATGGTCTCAGGTTTTTCACATGCAAATGAACAGTTTGGACTTGATGATCTCTGAGGACCCTTCCAGCTCTGACAGTGTGATTCTTTGAGCTGAATTGTTGGTAGTGTTACCAACAGATGAGATGTTGGATACAAAGCACCTAGCTCGAAGCTTGGCACTTATGTGGTCAAAAAAATACTAATTCCTGGTATCCTCCAAGTGGTATTATCTAGTGAGCCTTTTTTCAAATTCGAAGGTTTTATTTCTCAGATATAATTTACATGAAAGGCTGTGATTTTCTCCTTTCTCTGAGTTCCAAGTGCAGGTTTTGTTCTGAAGAAGTCACACAATGGACTGATTTGTCAGTGTATTTGTTTCCAGGGATTTCCCTTCTACAGTTCTTTTCATAAAAGTGGCACTGGTTGACCTGAATTCATGACCAGGCTGAGACAGGGCTTTCTGCAACTCTGTTGAGGCCAATCTCGCTGTCTGCTTCTATTGCATTCTTCAATAGGACACTTAGTCCATTGGGCCAGTGCACCATGCCAAAAGGAGTTACTAAATTGTTAAAGTGGGCCCTCAGCGAGTTCACGTAGCTAGAGGGAAATGCCAGGTCATCCCAGAGGCTGAGGGTCTATCGAAGTTAGTGCTTGAAGGTGCTGTTGCATTGGCAGTGCATCACACGATACAGGGTTTTCATGTCTGCTTTGAATACAACTGTTTCCTGCAGGACTGCTAGTGTCCGAGCCTTGTCTTTTTCTGTTAGAAACCTTCAACAAACTACTCTCTAAGGGGACAGAGTTTCTAATAGGGGATACTTTTGACGGAGCTGGCTGAAGAAAGCAAATTGTGTGATGGCTGAGAGAGGATCCTATCACCCTTTATTGCACCATGCTCTTTATCTCTTCATTTACAACCACCTTCTCATTGGCCTCTTCATCACTGTATTTTGAACACATAACTAGTCTTTTACCCACATACAGCGTCCTGCACCTGCTGGGGCTGAGCTGTAGTATGTAGGGGCTCACAACGATGGTGTTTTGCTTTGCTTTTCAGACTCAAAATACCTCAGCCAGGAGCCGCAGCTGGTTTCTTTCAAAGTGGTTTGCAGATCCCCTGCATCCTAATATGCCTGGGGTGCCCAGTGAATGCAGGTTTTGAAGATCCCATTCCAGATCCCCTGATTCTCCAGATCCCCTGATTCAGAATCTCTGCACTTTCACCTAACACCTTGATGCTGGAGACACCACTCACACATTCCCTTCTACACCTCTGTCTCACTGCTAGGAGCCACCTCAGCTAACTCATGCATCTCTTTGTAGATGACTCTTTTAGTTGTTTTCTTTGCCAGCAGAAGCTGGGATAGATTTTCTGAGAAGTTCACACGTCTCATTTCAGTAGGCTCATACCTCTAGCACACTGTGGTTTTACCATAAGCACTTAGACAATGGCCACGGATTTAACATAACCGAGCGTGCAGTTCTAGTTCTCATCATACATACGCTTCCACCAAAGTTGTAATCTGTGTAACCATAGCATTTCTTGTGCTTTTTCACCTGTTACTTTCTATTACTTAACAGCCCATGTGAGGAAATGATTGTCAATGAGTGCTGGGAGTACCACACTGTTGTACTTTTTGACAGAGTAGGCTGCTCTGGAACCTGTATCGGTCTGGCTGCCTAGTGCATTTGCTGGCCGAGCATTTCTCTTTTTGTTTTCTTTTTTTCTTTCTTTTTTGTTTTTGAGATGGAGTCTCATTCTGTGGCCCAGGCTGGAGTGCAGTGGCATGATCTCAGCTCACTGCAACCTCTGCCTCCCGGGTTCAACTTTTGTATGTTTAGTAGAGATGGAGTTTGACCATATTGGCCAGGCTGGTCTTGAACTCCTGACCTCAAATGATCCGCATGCCTCGACGTCCCAAAGTGCTGGGATTACAGGCATGAGCCACCACACCTGGCCCTGGCCAGGCATTTCTTACTGATGATCTGAGTTGTTCCATCTTACTCTGTTCCCTCTTAGTATTTCCTAGTTACTAACATGCCCTGAGGCTGCATTTGGATCAATTTAATACCACTGTTGTTTCCAGTTGTCACCTCCCACCATTCGGCAGTTACTCCAGTCTCCTGCTCTTGCTTATCCTTGAAATGCATCCCAGCCAGTTAGGCATCTCTGCTTCTGAGACAGGAGGCTGAGAATTCCACCATGTTCAAGGAAATGGCCCTTAGGCACTGTCTAAGGGGACCATATAGGCAGTCTGATAAAGTCACATCTAAGAAAAACATTTCAGAAAGCGTCAGCTAGCACACGTTTGATTATAGAGGAAGCCAATTATGCTCAAACACTAATCAATACTTTTTAAGGATGTTTTGATACAGTCATGCATGTGCTTCTTTCCCAATGCATTAAGTAAAGGGAAACAGCTGTGACTGAGATGATCTTTGTAAATTTGAAGAGCTAGTGATCATAAATGATATTCTGAGATAACTAAAAATTATACTAATGTGAAAATATCTGTAATTTGTATTGGAACAATATAACATGTATGGTTAGTAGTATTGTGGTTTATGACTTACATTCATAATTGGAGGAAGTGCTATACATTTTAGTTAAAGATTATAGGAAATAAAGATTCATTCTTTCATTAAGTTCATGATCCCCCTCAACTGTTTTCTAAGAACCCCTGATCTAGCTCAGTCTCCCAGTTCTACCTGGGAACAAAGACTCTGAGACACAAACTGGATGCCAGGATCACACTCCTATTTGCCAGGTAGGATTGACTCTCGGATCCCTTCACCCATGCTTCTTTCTGCTGTGCTCCCCTGCTCCTGCTGCTGAATCATGAGATGGACTTCAGTGGTGATTCTGCTTCGTGATCCTATTATAGTTCCGATGATTTTGTGTTACATTTGATCCCAGCAATTCTATACAATTCCTTTTCTCTGACGTGCTTTAATTCTGATTGAAGGTCAGTGCTGGGTGCATGCCATACTCCATTTCTCCTGGAATATGATGGCAAGTTCCCTAATAATTTTTTTCATTCTTATCGATCAAAGTACCATGCTCCTACTTATTTAGAGGGAAATAAACAAAATGATAGCAGGAAGCATGTTTTTCTTTTGGGTAGTGTGGATCTGAAGATTGTATTACAAAATTTGATCAATATATGAAATATAGAGAAAAACCAGAAGCGATCAACCAAATTAACAGAGCTTTCTGAGGCAAGAGTCATTGGGAGACTATGGAAGAGCTAGAATACACTTCGCAGAATGGATTTAGTCTCTCAGAGGCTCCAATTAGAAAAAGTATTTCCTGAAGCAGACTGGATTCTGTGGGATCAACCACATTTTATAGTACTCCAATTGTTTGCATTTGGAATTCTCCCAATCATTTCACCATTTTTGGAATATGTTTAGATTGGAGTCAAAGATACTATATTAATCTTCAGATCTTGTGTTGTTACTTAATTTTTCTTATATGTAATTTTATCTCCTTAACTAGGCTACCTGCATTTTGAGATTAGGAAACTAATAAGAAGTGTTGCATTTCTCTGCATCTTTCACAGCCTTTATAACGGTGTTTGGCTGCAAGTTTATGTACACAGTGCACTGCGGAAAGAACCTTTGCTTTCCACCCAGACACACAAGGAGCAAATCCCATCTTCACTTCCTATTTCTTGCCAGGTATTAATCCAGCTAGCTATGCCCCAGTTTCCTTACTAAGTAATACCTACTTATGCAGGTGCTTTAGTAGAATGATACAGGGCAGAAGGTGGTTAAGACAATACATGGCTCACAGCAGGGGTTTGAAGAGACAACTATTATTATTATTAACTAGGGTTCCATAAATATGTGTGATTTGGTGCTCTTACTAGCTAGTGTCCAGGGGGCCTCTCTTGTACATTTTCTTGTAGTAGTCTTAGAAAATTGGAGCTAAATAAGGTGAAAGCCTGCAGAGAGGCGCAGCACGGAGCATTCCCATACATTTTAACGACTGTTTATTGTGGATGTGTCATGTCTATTTGTCTCCTTCCTCTTTCAAAGAATTGATGCCATCCAGCATTGGCGTGTTTTCTCTTCAGTTCTTAGAGCCCTGCTTACTAAGTCAGTAAAATTGTTTATATTGCTTTCAAAGGGCCAAGAAGTGAAACCATTTGAAAAGAGATAGGATTATGTTGGGGTT
The DNA here is from genome assembly GCF_000001405.40 of Homo sapiens. Classification (NCBI taxonomy): domain Eukaryota; kingdom Metazoa; phylum Chordata; class Mammalia; order Primates; family Hominidae; genus Homo; species Homo sapiens. The sequence goes on along the minus strand of NC_000004.12, from coordinate 189,568,946 downwards.
TTAGAAAGCTGACATGTAACACTAATTTTTTCCATCTTGCATTCACAATATATTGAGAGAGGACCCAGAAGACAGATAAATGGAGATCAAAATTTTAAAATATTTGTTATGTATTTTGAAAATTCTAATCATGCCAAAGAAGATGACTTTAGCTCTATGGTCTAACACTTCCCCTAGGTCTATGCTAAGGCTTCTCAAAGCAAAGAAGAGCAAAGCAAAACAAAACAAAGGAAAACAGAACAAAATTGGAGGTTGTACCCCTGCACATGCAGACAGAGCTTGCCCTGAAAAGCCATCCTCACAGTGGATAAAAAAGCATCCTCTCTCCAGGCTCACACATTGAAAAGAACTCTCTCCAGGCTCACACATTGAAGAGAACTCTCTCCAGGCTCACACACTGAAGAGAACTCTCTCCAGGCTCACACATTTGAAAAGAGAGAGGGGATGGCATTCTGCTAATCATGCTGTTTCTTCTCCCACACTCAGTGGTAAGATCAGTCTCTCTTCCCAGAAGAAGGAATTTTAAAAAGAGGCAGAGAAGTGCTAAGCATCTTCTAGCTGAGTGGTCCTCGACGTGTGGTCCCAGGCCAGCAGCATCACCTCAGCTGGGGATTCATCTGTGGCCTCATCCTGGATCTGTGACTGCTATGATGGTCCAGAGTCCAGGGATCTGAGTTCCGCCAAGCCTTCTGGGCATTCTCCCTCAGTGGCCCTTAACCCAGGGTCCAGGGATCTGAGTTCCGCCAAGCCTTCTGGGCATTCTTGCTCTGTGGTCCTTAACCCAGGGCCCAAGGATCCGAGTTCCGCCAAGCCTTCTGGGCATTCTCGCTCTGTGGTCCTTAACCCTGGTTGCACATCAGCATTTCTTAAGAAGATTTTAAAATTATCCATGTTCGAGACCCACAGGCAGAAATAATTCATAAATTGAAATTCCTTAGGCTAAGGGCAAGGGATTCACACATTTTGCAGGTGCTTTGGGTAATTCTCAGGTGCAGGCAGCGCCCAGGGCTACAGCATGGTCCAGCCCAGGCCATGGAAACAGGAGTCCTGGGCACAGTGCAATGGGCAGACGCTGGCGGTGACTTCAAACTCACAGTCCTGCCTCTGGGGTGTGTCCTTTCCTCCTGCCTCAGCACCTGGCCTTGAGAACATTATGAAGTCACCTGAGACACAATTAGATCTGGTGACAATGAACAGTGTGAGATGGTGAGTTTTTGAGGCACAGAAAGCTCAAATACCACTGACACCTCTAAACTTGTCAGTTAAAATGTGGACTGCATTGTTTCAAGCCGTCACAAAATCCAAAGTAGGCAGACATTGCCTAATGTATTTTGAAGAGATAATTTTCACATCCTTGAAAGGAATCCAGACTGAAGACTGCCTTCATTGGCACCTGAGATGACCCCTTAGAGAGCCAGTGAAAATGTAGAAAAGACACAGAAGCCTTAAAGTTTTTACATAAGTTATACTTAAAAAAAAAAAGATGGAAAGATAGGCTGTGTAGCCAAAGAGAAGAATGTTCTTTAGAAAGAGTGAATTACAAAAGGGACATGAACGCATGGGGTATTAGAGTAAGTGCTGACAGTATTCTGATGATGGGAAAATTGAGACTAAGATTAGTGATATGGTTTGGCTCTGTGTCCCCATCCAAATCTCATCTTGAATTGTAGTTCCCACAATCCCCAGGTGTTGTGGAAGTGACCTGGTGGGAGGTAATTGAATCATGGGTGTGGTCACCCCCATGCTACTCTTCTTGTGATAGTGAGTACGTTTTCTGAGATCTGATGGTTTCGTAAGGGGCTTTTCCCCTTTTGCTCAGCACTTCCCCTTCCTGCCACCATGTGAAGAAGGAAGTGTTTGCTTCCCCTTTTGTCATGATAGTAAGTTTCCGGAATCCTCCCCAGTCCTGAGGAACTATGAGTCAATTAAATCTCTTTTCTTTCTAAATTACCCTGTCTCTAGTGTGTGTTTATTAGCAGCATGAGAATGGACTAATACAACTAGTCTTGACTTTCTGGGGGCCCTGAATGAAAAGCAGCTTTGTATTTGTGCTTCCTCATAAAGTGCCCATTGACTGTAAAGAAAAGCATCATAGGCCACATGAAAAACTGCTTAATTTTTCAGACATGGGCAAACCTTTTCATTTGCTCCAATTTTCAGAAGAGTAGGACACTAAAACATGGTGAATACAACATCTGGACTTAATTCTATATTATGTGAAAAGTAGTAAAAAGAATGAAGGATAGAAAAAAAGAAGTGCTAAGGGCCAAAGAAATGGAAGAAAAGAGAAAAGGAGAGAGAAAAAAGAATAGAGCGTGATAACAGATCAATAGAGAAAAACACAAAGACAGAAGAAGAGAAAAAGGAAGGTACAAGACAGATGTGGGAATCGGTATAAGATGATGAGTAGTCAGTATGAGGTGTTAGGAAATGGCCTCTTGGGTTGACTTGGTCCCTGGCCTTCAGTCCATTACAAATCCTCCCAACACACATTGAAATGAGTAACTCTTTGGCTTGTATTCAGAGATATTTCACTCTTCTTCATTTTTAGCTTTCAGAGATGCTGCACTGAAAGGGATGTCATCATAACCCCACAGAGTGTAAATTACTCCATGAACTGCAGTGTCAGTGATGAGAGCAATATTAATTTCAGGCCCAAATGAAATCAAACAAAGGGTTAGGTCTACCTATGTACTGAAAGTTTCCTTGTCTGACTCCAAGACTCTGGTGTTGAAATTCATTGATCATTTGGAAAAGAGGACTTCTGCAAATTCAATACACATCTGAAAAGCAAAAATGACATGGTATTCCTGCAGACTGCTGCCAGTAAAATGCTGAGTGAACACTGATAAAATTAATGTGCCTTCAAACTTGCACAGTGCACCTCTCACTGTCTTGAGGATCAGCCCTAAATAGGGGTTATTTTAGCAGCATGTCTGCTGGTTGTGGAACTTGAGTCATGGCTCCTTGCTAAGCCCCTGCCACTGGAGATATTCCAGCAGCATGCTTTGGAGTGGCAGGTGGAATCCAATCCATCCATCATGCAGCTAGGCCCAATTTTCTTTTCTGATTTCCTTGGCTGACTTTGGGGATTCCTTAAGGAAACTGTGTGGCACTTGCTGTACTTGGGAGATTATTAGAGGCCGATTATCAATCTAGGTATCTCAGAGAAATCTGATTTATGTACTTGAAATTTTCTATTTCCTGGACCTCATGATTTGGTGAAATAAGATCAAAGTGACAAGTCAGTCGGGAGATAACTTTTAAATCAGTGGTAATTTTTAGTGTTCCCGTGTTTACTTTATGACATTAGGTAAATAAATTCTAAACATCCTTAGTTTACCATTTGAATCCCCTGTCGTATACTGTGCTTCCAGTAATCACAGGGTCATGTACTGGCCTTGGGATTGCCTACGTAAATAACAGAGCCTGGGCAGCCTGTTCACAGGTGTAGTTCTCGGGAGCAACACAGCCGTGATTTTTAACCAGAGATGTCTGTGTTCAAAGCTGGTACTTTAAAACACTTTACCAGCTGGGCATGGTGGCTCACTCCTGTAATCCCAGCACTTTGGGAGGCCGACGCAGGTGGATCGCGAGGTCAAGAGATCAAGACCATCCTGGCCAACATGGTAAAACCCCGTCTCTACTAAAAATACAAAAATTAGCTGGGCATGGTGGTGTGCACCTGTAGTCCCAGCTACTTGGGAGGTTGAGGCAGGAGAATCGCTTGAACCAGGAAGGTGGAGGTTGCAGTGAGCTGAGATCATGCCGCTACACTCCGGCCTGGTGGCAGAGTGAGACTCCATCTCAAAAAACAAAAAAAGAAAAAAAAAACACTTTATCATTCTGTCTCTTTATATACACATTATATACTCTGGAAGTAGAATCTAGAGTCCATGAAAAAGATTACAAATAATAAATGAAATATTTAGAATAATGACTAACACACAGTGGCCATTCAGTATGTAATAGTTTTCCTTATAATAATTGTTATATCACATTTTTCAGAATATAGATTGGGAAAAAGCTTCTGAGTGACTAAGTATATCACACAAAATCTATGGATTACAATTTATGGGGCTATTTTAACTTATTCGCATTTCGAATACATGTTCTTATCTGGTTTCTAGGGCCACTGATTATAAGCAGCAAATTAGGACAGAAAAGAGGGACTGTTACAGAAAAGGAGAGTGGTAAGTGTGAGAAATGGTGGCTAAAGGCTATTAGTGGTTTTGTGAAAACTACAAAATTATAACATTGGGAACATAAACTGAAACATTAAGAAAAACAGCCCACTGGAACCACTTCGTTTAGGAGTAAGATAAACACTAGTTCAATAATCCCTGAGGACAATTCAGTCCTAACTGTGTTCCTGGATCCACCATCTGCAACATTTCTTGTGGTGTGTTCTGCTGGTAACGAATTATTTCTTCGTTTATATGTCTGAAAAACTCGATTTTACCTTGATCTTTGAAAGATATTTTCTCTGGTAGAGAATTTTAGGTTGACTTTTTTCCTTTCAATCCTGGAGAGATTTTGCTCCTCTGTCTCCTCCCTTCCCTTGTTTGAGATGAGAGCTAGACGGCCATCCTTATCTTCATTCCTCTGTGTAGAATCTGACTAGGCAGGTGCGGTGGCTCCCACCTGTAATCCCAATACTTTGGGAAGCCGAGGCGGGCAGATCACAAGGTCAGGAGCTCGAGACTAGCCTGTCCAACATAATGAAACCCCGTCTCCACTAAAAATACAAAAAAAAAAAAAAAAAAATCAGCTGGGCGTGGTGGCAGGTGCCTGTAGTGCTAGCTACTTGGGAGGCTGAGGCAGGAGAATTGCTTCAACCTGGGAGGCAGAGGTTGCAGTGAGAGGAGATTGCACCACTGCACTCCCATCTTGGCGACAGAGCAAGACTCCTCAAAAAAAAAAAAAAAAAAAAAAAAAAAAAAATATATATATATATATATATACACACATGACTTCCCCTCTCCCACGTCTCCTGGCTTTCAGCATCTTCTTTTTATTTCTGGTTTGGGCAATTTGGTTTTCACATGTCTTGGTGTCGTTTTCTTCTTGGTTCTTGTGCTTGGGGCTAAACTTCTGGGATCTGTGGGTTTAATACTTCTGCTTTTTCCATCTTTGAGGATTTTAATTCCATGTATATTGGACTACTTGGAGTAGTCTCACATTCTGTGATTAGCCCCACTAATGCTCTCAGTTTTTTTAACTATTATTTTTTCTATGCACTTTCAAATTTACAATTTTTTTCCTGCAATGTCTAATCTGCTGTAATTTCCACTTTGTGTATTTTTTGACCTTAGGAAACTGTAGTTTTCTTCCCTAAAAGTTCAGTTTGGGCCTTTTTAATCTCCCATGCCTCTACTTAACCTTTTGAAGATGCGGGATATAGCAATAATTGCTTCGTAAATGTTCCTTTTTGACCATTCTGGCATCTGTGTCAGCTCTGCTGTTGGCTCGCACTGTGTGGCCCCTGCAGACTTCAGGCTGGTTTCCTTTGTGCCCTTTCTCACAAAGCTCATGCATGGATTTCCAGCACGTGTGTGAGTAAAACCCAAATCAGACGTACTTCTGGTTAGCTCCGGAATCCTGTTAATGGATAAACCTGTGTCCGTATCAAGTGGAGGGAGAGAAAATTATTTGTGTCTTGAGGGTCATCTCCTGGTGTTACTGAGAAATACTTCCAGAGAGTCTTTGGGCCGCTGTGAACCGCTGTAGCTACATCCACCCAACTCCACCATCATCAACTAGATAGTGAATCATTCTGTTCTTTTCCATGATACAAAATGCCTGATATGACCTGAGTTTTAGACATCGTCCCAACCTCCACGCATGTAGAATAATGGGTACAATGTGTCTGTTAGTGCATGAATAAATTCATATAAAATTGTGACTATGCATTCAGGAAGAGTATTCATGGGGAAAATTTAATGCATGCCATCTGATACAGAGACACAAAGTTCCTCCAATATGTTTGCAATGCTTTGGGGGCAAGGATTACATCTTTATTCCCTTCTTTAGTTCAGTGGTTGGCAATAGCATAGGTACAAAGGACAAATGCGTTAGTGCATTACGGCCACACCGAGCAGTGTATTCACACTGGTAATGTTTACTGAAAGAAACATTAAATATCACACCTCGATATTATTAAGGAAACTAACTGGATACACTATTTTCAAGGCTCGATGAAAATGTGAGGTACCTTGTTCAAAAATTATTAAGAACCCTAGGACTTGGAAGTAGAGCATTAAACCAAGTGCCTGTCTCTGCAGCCACACTGATCATGTAGCTGTGGAGCTGGTCTCGCCCAGAAATCATAGTTTACAACAAGCCACTGTACAGTTCAGAATAGTTAGAAGATAATCATTCAGGTGTTTCTCGCATAAAAAACAGACAAATATTTAAGGTGTTGGATACTCAATTACATTAGTTTCATTTTTACAAATTATATGAATGCATTAAATTATCACATGTACTACCAAAATATCTACATCCATTATGTATCAGTAGAAAATTAAAATTTTTATTAATGGAGAAAAAAATGAAGTCCCTGATTAAAAGTGCTAGAAATGAGAATTTAGACCTTAAAAAGCAGCTAAAAATTTAAAAGGAAAGTTTTGGCAACAAGCCAACCTCAGAAAGCATGAGACCCAAATTCAAAGAACGAACTGTGCAAATTTCTGGCTCACAGCAAAATTGCACATGTGCAAGGGAGATCTATGAAGCCTAGTGAAAAAGCAGAAAGAAAAAATTTAAAAACTGTAGAAAGTAAAACCCAATTTCAAGTACAAAAAACAAAACAAAACAAAACAAAACAATACCTCACAGATTTCTAAGTTGCTGAATACAATGTAATATTTCCTCCCAAGACCCAGAAGAAGTTGATTTGAAAAGAGCAATTACTATACAGACTAGAGTTATATACCATTGGTCTAGTTAGATTTGCTGCGCTTAATGTTACTATTACGTAAAGTTAGTAGTTAGGGTCTCAGACTTTTAAAATAAAAAAAATGTAGGTACTATGATGGCAAATATTGGGGTTCATATTGCAGAACAGTTGAAGTCATATTTCACTGTTGATTGAACATGCCATGGATATGTGAGCATCTTGAGTTGGTTGCACGACTTTTACACTTCCATTCTGAATGCAAAAACTTAAAGCTTTATGCTTAAATTAAATAATGTGGCTAAGATTGTTAACACGAGCATATGAAACTCAGCTCCTTGAAATAGCCCACCTAAAAAGATGCTTGCTTTGGGGGAGCTGAATAATTTTCTGGGGACACATCTTTTCTTTGTTTGATTTGTTTGGTTCAAAAAAAAAGCATTCATATTATGGCTTGATATGCCATAAAATTTTGATTTAAAATCTCTAAAAGCCAGAGAAAGACTATCTACAAAACTGTCAAGATGCATTTTGGATTGTCTCCCTACTTCCATTTTCTTCAAAAGATTTAAATGCAATTTGGATTATAAAAATCGCATTAAGATAGAAAGACTGTGGGATGCATTTCACCTGGGGTGCTTGTTAAAAAACGCAATTTCTGGGATTTCATTCCAGATCTACTCAATGAGACTCTGCAGGTGGGCCCCTAGAATCTGCATTTTTTATGCTTTCCAGATGTTTCTTATGCACAGTCAAGTTTGCAAACCACTGCTCTCGAGTTTTAACTGCCATTAAGTAGAACTTTTAATGGATGCAGCCTTAATTTCTGAATTATTACTGATTAATAGAATCTGCTTTTACTATACACTCACTAAAATACATAGCTGCTTGGGCTGAAATATACAGATGTGTTGCCTTGCTGAAAAGGGAAGGAAAATCAAATCTCCGACTGAGTCATGTTTGAAGTTTAGCCATGAAATTTGATGGCTTTTAGCTGAATTAAATGGCAGGCAAAATGTGTGTCTGTTCTCCACCTCTCTCCTCTAACAGCGTTTCCCTGTCTTGAGCTAATCCTTATGCAGGGATGTCTTATCACTGCTCACTGAATATCTATAGAAAGACACGAGTTACAAAGTCAAGAGCTGCAGACTCCTCTAGGTTTTTCCTCGGAACACTCAGTGACACAGAGCTGTGTCAGGCAGAGCCTGCTGCTGATTTAATTTGATCTTTCTAGGGAGGATTAAGACTATTGTCCTCAACCCAGTTAGAATGTTGCTGCTAAGTTATAATGTGTCAGAGGCTTTTTCATTTTCCCAGAGCCAGTGCTGGCTGGCGTGGCAAGTGACAACATCCCAGCATTTGCAAAGTGACTACATCGCAGTATTTGCATTATCTTCCTTGGCGTGCACATCTTTCAACCACGTCAGGGAAGCGGTTGGAAGGAAAAATCACAGAGCACATAAGAAGGACTTCTGGGCCTGCTCTGGAGGCTTGCAGAGGACATGCCCGAAGGGGTGCATGAAGCCTTCTGTCCCACACCTGTCCCTTGCCTCGATGGGATTTTGTACACCACAGGTTTCTGTCACCACTTTGCCTTGAAATTGCAGGCCTCAGTTATGAATTTTATAACAACATCCTCAAATAAGGCCTCACTTTGCAGTGTATGCCTAACTTAAGGATGATTTTTAAATGACTGTGTCATGTTTGTAAAGACACTTTGTACTTATCGAAGTGCTTGCATATATACCATCTCATTTAATGCTTGCCAAGATTCTGTTAGGTATGCGAGGCAGGTACTGTTACCTTCACCTTATGAATGAGGAAAAGGCACACAGAAGCTAATAACAAGTGAAGTCAACACTGGGTCTGAAATTTGTAAACTCTGATATAAAAAAGAAATCGTATCTCTGGAAAGAAAACTGTTGCAAACTATACACCTGCTTTCCAAAACGTGTGGCTCTTCAGTAGCTATTTTGCTGCCTTCTACCTACTCCAGTGTGCTGTTGGCTACGTCCAGTGCTGAGGACTGGGGAGGAGGCTTTTCTTCCCGCTTTAGGATCATGGTGATGTCCTTGCTGAGGACTGGGGAGGAGGATTTTCCTCCCACTTTAGGATCATGGTGATGTCCTTCCAGAATTTGAACTGTGCTTTGGTCCTGAGCATGTCCTGGGGTGCAACATTCATTGTTCTCATTTGTTAGAGAATACAAGATCAGAATTTAAATAGTCACTGTTTTCCAAGATGCAAAGTGATACGTTCTTGGTGTTTTAAAATCCTATCTGTTGATCTGATTGGCTGGTATTCCAGTCTTCCCTGTTTATCACTCTGTGACTGGTGGGATTTGCCAATAGGTCCAATAATTTCTCTTTCCAGAAACATACCGTAATATTGGTGTAGGATTTGTGGCCAGAACTTACTGGGCATCACCCCAGTTACTGTCCTAATACCTCATATTGTGTCAGAAGCTGACAATAGGAGTTGAAAATGCCATAATATGAATCTGTTCTCATAGTGAAGATCGTAATGAGAACGGGAAAGGCTGCAGACCGAACCAGTTCTCATTATGTTCTGAAGCCACATTTCCTCCCCACAACATGAATTGTATGGTCCAGGCTCTTTAATCAAGAATGTTCCATTTGAAAGCATTCCTCATCCCACAGAAAACACAAATTTCACTTTGGAGCACCTGTCTAGTGGGAGAATTTGTTTTCTCATTCAATTAACCAGATTGAAAACGTAAGAACACTATTATGGAAGCTTCAATGTCAATGTGTGTGTGTATGATGATTGTTGCTAATTAAAAATAAGCTGATTTAGGACATTTGAAGCAAAGAAGCACTCACGTTCCCTTATCTCGGCATTTAAACCGTGCCTGGACTCTGTGCTCTCTGCCCACATTATCTGGCTGTGCGTGGCATTGCTTCCGGCTGCAATAGTGGGAAAGAATTTAGTAGATGTTCAAACACAAATATATTGTTAGCTTTTTTTGTTGTTGTTAAGGCTGCTTCACGTATTTTAAATTTTTCTTTTCCTTCTGGGAGAGGAGTTACTACTATTAACAATTCTGCACATTGCTTGAGGCAATGATAAACCATATTACCCTATTTATTTTACTCTCATTGCTATTTGAGAAAATGGTGGGCCATATATGCTTGTAGATTAGCTGGTGTCTTTTTGAAGCTACTGGCAAGGCTATGTTTAAAGTTTCAATTCTAATAAAAATGTGTTTAAAGCAACCAATGGCACCGTACAGGGAATGGCAGAGGAAAGGTCATTCTGTGTGTCCTGCGGCCTCAGAAGTGGGATCTTCCCCACACTTTTCTGTGAAGACAATGCAGTTCAGAGCAGAGACATCTTCGAAGCTGCTTTGCACATGATGGTAATGAAGGATTGCAGTGTGAGGTCACTGGGATTCCCAATACCACAAACACTGGTGTTATGAAAGGATGCTTAGTCCCAGCATGCCTAAGAAAACTAAATCTGATTCCTAGTCTTGGAAATCTCATCTCATGCATGATGCCATGTTTCCAAAACTGGAACATTTCTACTGACATATTTCCATGACTTCCTTTGCTCCAGCCACTGAACACTCACTCCCAGTGTGTCCTTCCTAAAATGTTAGTTAATGTGTTATCTGTTCATGATAGTGCACCTGTCTGCATAACTTCTGTGTATTTGTTTATTTATTTAATTTATTTTTTTGAGATGCATTCTTGCTCTGTTGTCCAGGCTGAAGTGAAGTGGCGCGATCTTGGCTCACTGCAAACTCCACCTCCTGGGTTCAAACGATTCTCATGTCAGCCTTCTGAGTAGCTGGGATTACAGGAACACACCACCATGCCAAGCTAATTTTTGTATTTTTAGTAGAGACAGGGTTTCACCGTGTTGGCCAGGCTGGTCTTGAGCTCCTGACCTCAAGTGATCTGCCTGCCTCTGCCTCCCAATGTGCTGGGATTACATGGGTGAGCTGCCACGCCTGGCCAACTTCTGTGTATTTATTGAGGGAGGTGATTTGGGTGGGGATGGTGGAAGGATTGGGTCATGTGAAAGAGAAGGAGTCCTGGTTTGTAAGTTAGATCATGTGAGGGATAGGGATAGGGAGTGGAGCACAGGGTGAATGAGACCACACACATGTAAGAGGGAATGATGAGCAGGCAGGAAGAGAGGGTTGGTGTAGGCAAGGGTTGGTGTAGGAAAGGGGTGGTGTAGGGAAGGGGTAGTATAGGAAAAGTTTGGTGTAGGAAAGGGGTAGCGTAGGAAAGGTTTGGTGTAGGAAACAGGTGTTGTAGGAAAGGGGTGGTGTAGGAAAGGGTTGATGTAGGAAAGATTTGGTGTACGAAGGGGTTGGTGTAGGAAAGGGGTGGTGTAGGAAAGGGTTGGTGTAGGAAAGGTTTGGTGTAGGGTGCTGACATTTGCATAAGTTGCACTGGGGTAGGAGTGGATGATGATGGAAAGTTGGAAGAATGTGATATTTGGGTGGAAATAACAACTTAGAAATTGAGTCATCTTTTAGCTACAGAGAAGGGTATTCCCTTCACCATATAGTGAGCGGGTGCTGTATCCATGGCTCTTGACAAAGTTGTTTACTTTGTGCCTTTTCCTGCATTATTGGCATCTGGAGTTCTAACAGCCAAGAGAGACAGAGGTCATAGTGGAATCAATATTTCTATTACAGATAAGAAAATCCCAGAAGGAGGGCCTACATAGATTAACCTGTACACAACCAAACTAAGATTTAAGAATTTTTCTGAAGATAATCCTGGGATTATGTCTCACATTTCATTTTAAGCTTCTTTCTTCATTTCCCTTTGCTTAATATTTCTCTCCCCTATTTTATTCCTCCTTGAAATAAAATGGGACAATAATGTGTTTTAAATGTAGAATCAAGGAATAACAAGAAATCGTCATTTCAACTGCTATCATGTCCAGTGAAATTAAATGCTTGGATAATTACTTTGTTAATTACTAACAACTCCAAAATTCTGATTCTCAATCCACAGTCTATTGAATCATATAAATGGCTTGCTTTTATTGAATGGAAAAAGACAAAGAAGAAAAAGAGTGTCCAGTAGAGAGGAGGAGAAAGCACTACAGGGAACACCAGGGTCCCCATGATAAGTTCACTTTATTCCACTCCATACTTCCTGTTAATTAGGAGCTTCCAATCATTGCAGCAACATGGGGTCCTACACTTTAACCCAACCCCTCCTCTTCTACTATCCCTAACTTTGACTAGTATGAGATGAATACTTGAGTTCAGCAACTTCCCATGGCTTTCGAATCTCAGGAGTTGTTCTTACTCTTTTTGATATAACAACCCTCAATTAATGTTTGGTATTCTTACGCAACCAGTGGGAAAACAAGTATGCATCTGGAAAGCTTAGAAAATATAGAGATAGTCATATACCTAGGCTTGTTTTTATTTTAATTGAGCAATTTGCAAAGGTATCTTCTATATTAATAAATGTACATTCAATTCAAACAGATTGATATTGAATTAATAGGAAGTAATAAATTGGTTTATTTATGCTAGTGGAATTAAAAAATCTTGCTACTCTATACATTCAATTTCTAGTCCCTGCTTTGAAAAGAGCATTTTCTTCCTTTTGAAATATATTTGAGCATAGTAACTTTCAAGGTCCTAAGTTTATTGGCATAATTTAATGGAAAAATTTATGCTCTAAAGCATTCATTTTTTTCCCCAAGCTTTGTGGTTTTCAATTTCTCATCTACTGGGTGGCTTTTAGTTTACATGGCAGAACAGAATCTTCTCAACTTTTTGATTCCCCTGATAAAATATTCAATAGAGAACTAAGCCAAAGTTTGCTTCACCCAAGGACATGATCTCATCCTTATTCTTGTCTTCATGCCTATTGAAATACAGCTATTCTTGTATGTATTTAGCTAAGTGATAGGCTTAAGCATCAGTTGTCTTTTTTGGCTAATTTGTTTCAAAAGTAATTGAGCCCATGTACACATGAAATAATATGTAAAACAGTAAAGATCCCTGTACACAACAGTATTGAAGCCACTGTAATATCTCAAGACTAAATTAGACACTCTCTTCCTAGGCCCCTTTCACTCCTCCACCCTCCACCACATAGGACACTTTCTGGAAAAGAAGTCCAGGCAAAGAGACGTTAGTTTAATTGTTGCTAACGTCACATAGAAATGATCACCATCTTGGAATTTCTGAATTCACATGAAAGGGTGATACTGAGTTTAAACGTAAAGTTTCATATTCCATTGGTGTCAAAATTGGTGGACAGAAAGAGTACAGGATTGTAAAGCAATTTCAGAGCAAGCTTCTAATGGCAACTTTAGTCCATAGTTTGGATCCTGTGCCCACCTGACATCTATTCTTTTTTTGAGATGGAGTCTTGCTCTCTCTCCCAGTCTTGAGTGCAGTGGCGAGATCTGGGCTCACTGCAAGCTCCGCCTCCCGGGTTCACGCCATTCTCCTGCCTCAGCCTCCCGAGTAGCTGGGACTACAGGCGCCCACCACCAAGCCAGCTAATTTTTTATATTTTTAGTAGAGACGGGGTTTCACGGTGTTAGCCAGGATGGTCTCGATCTCATGACCTCGTGATCCACCTGCCTCGGCCTCTGAAATCTATTCTTAGCTGTAGGTGGGGACCAGGACCAGAATCTTCAGAGCAGGCCCTAGAAAGCTGGGAAGTCAGGGGATTCCACTACAGGTTTCTCTATTCTGTCGGCATTTTAAGTGGTTCTGTTTAGATCTAGTCACATTAGAGCTACCCCTCAAACAGACGACGACTCTTAAGAGCCCTGGAATTTCTTTATTACCCAGGGAGTCACTGGGGACTGGCAGTAGGTGCCAGGTTTGGTGATGGCGTTTTGTGAATCGCTGAGCTCATCTCAGGGCAGAGCAGCTTCCTAATGTGACTGTCGTCTCCTCTTCCTTTCCCTCCAACACCAGCCACACTTCACTGCACTGGCCAGGTGTTTACCAACCTACCCCTTCGTACAAAGTTCAACCTGACATTGTTTCGTAGTCAATGATATAAAGCTTGTTGTCTAAGTCAGCATCTGCAGTTTTACCGACTGATAGAAAGGTACAAGATAGAATATGATTCGGGACAGGAGTCATCAACGTGTTGCCTTTCTGTTGCATGGAATGATACGTTTTGAAGTTGCAAGTGTCCTGAAATTTCAGGACTTCATCTTAAAGATGAAAAAAAGATGACGTGTCATGCACAGCTATTTAGTGGCAGAATTTGAATTCAACCCCAAGTCAGGTTATGATATCTCCTGTGTCAGAGGAAAGTACTTTTGATAATCCCAGAAATATCAAGACTCCAGTGGCAGTGAATATTTGGTTTCCACTTTGAAATGTAGATCACATTAGCAGGATATTCCCTAAAGGAGCTTTATACACAGTTGGTCCTCTCTCTGTCAACCTCATCTCCGACTCAAGTGGATCGAGTTCAAAACAGCCACACTTGTTCCAGAAGCCAATTTTGTTTGGGCCATAATATAGAGATGGTCCCATACAGCCTTAAAGCATGCTAAGCATAGGTAGCTGTGTTTGTTACAATAGTTGAAAGGAGAAAGCCATAAAAACAAAGTCTCCCACTATTTCATCCAATTTAAAATTGCGGAAGGTGACAGAAAATATAACTGAAAGCTTTCCCTAACCTCTCTTAAAAGAAGTCCTAGAAAAAAAAAAAGAAAGCATTTCTTTCCTTGATGATTTCTAAGTAATAACTAAATATGGATGCAATTTTGAACCGTGTATGGATGTTCCCAGTGTAATGTTCCTCTTTTGGAGACATCGCATCATATTTATTTATCTCACTCCCTGTCCTTTACCCCATTAAAGTGGACCTGTGCATAGTTGATGCTTGTACCAAGATACACACCTTCTTCCTGTTTCCAGGACGGTACGATGGGAGGCAGGAGTGAGTGTCCGGAAAGAGGGAAGAAAAAAAACCAAATCTCATCGTTGCTTATTTGTCTACTGCTTTTGGCTCTGCTGAGATGTGAAGTCATTCTCATTTCTTTGTGTTCGGAAGTATAGCCTGCGACTTGTTGAAAGCTTAGCGCTAGACCTGCCTCTCAGAGACTTGCTCCCTCTGGAAATGCCCAGCTGAGGATGCGCGTGGTGCGTGTTGAAGAACACTGCCTTAGAGGTGGACACTTGTGGACAGGTGCGCTGCGGCCGGACTCGGGGACAGGTGCGCTGCGGCCAGACTCGTGGACAGGTGCGCTGCGGCTGGAGCTGGCCTCGCATTTCTTCACTTTCTGAAACATAATGCCCTCAGTGAGTTGCAATTTCATATTGCTACATTTGTTTTTACTGGTGTTAAATTCCGGCAGTTAAATCTTTAAAGGGTTACTAAAAAATGCGAATATTTGTGTATTTACATGTCTAAGGAGAAGACCCTTTGGCAGTCCAGGAGGAGACCAGGACTCAGGCTTTTTCTTCCAGTTAACTGTGGAGGACACGCCGTTGCTGCTGCGGCTGCTGAAGGAGGAGAAATCTCCTTGTTCTCCTGTCTTCCTGCTCTCCAGTCCCCTGTCTGGGCTTCCCATTTGCTGAACACAGCCAGATGCCAGCCGAGCTCAGGAAGCGTCGTTTGCAGGGGGTGTATCCAGAGACACAGCTCGGAGCAAGGGAAGCGAGAGGAAGAGATCCAACCTTAGGACAAAGGGCCAAGAACTTGGAGAGGACTTGGCCTAGGAGACAATCTAGGGCAAGCACGTTATCCAGGGTGACTGGGCAGGCAGAGAAACCCCAAGAGGCATAGAGCTCATGTCCGTTCGAAGTAGGAGAGTCTGGGCTCTGCTCTCGGAGTCGGAGCTGGGGGCCTTCAGGGTACTTCCTATGGAGAGAGCCTAGTTTATCAGAAAAAAAGGAACTTTCCTTTTTACCGTCTAGCCTTCACCTTGGCAGGGAGACAGCTGTTTGGAGTAAAACACTTCAACTCGACATGTCAAACCAGTGCTTCAGCAGAGCTGTGCCTGGCCCGCCCACCTCTCCCCTGCCCTCGGTTTTGGTCCAGAGTCTATTTTAAACGTCTGATGTCTCTCTTGGTTAGTGTGATTGAAATACGGCAGAAAGCCAATTGCATCGTGTGGGGAAGTTGAAATCAATGCAACCAACAATTATATTAACGGTCTAGTTAAGAATAAAAAAGTAATAGAGCAGACGTGCCTTGGTGAACGTTTATTTTCTATGGAGAAATAAACATAGTTGCTGCTTTTGGACTCCACCCTGGGCAACAAGGTAATGAATGTGGAGTTAGGTGGTGACTAAAGAATTTGGATTCTTTCCTCCAGGTTACAATGCTCGTTAAGGGGCGGCCTGTAATGAAATCTGCGCCATGTGCTAAAACCAACTAAGTGATTATTTTAAAAGTCACAGTCTGCGTGGGGCTTCATAAATTCACACGAGGGAGAGCTGTCTAATGGGATTGCCACCTTCCACCCCCAACGCAGACTTCAGCTCCTTCCTAGGTCTCCACTCAAAGGCTTATCCCATGGCCCGAGCAGGGAAGGCCTTTTTGTGTGAAAACACCTGGCCACCCAGCTTCAGGAGCACTGAGCGCTTTCGGCATGGCCGTCCCCACTGGCCCACGCGGCATTTCTTACAGTGAGCTTGGTTTTTAACTGCATTGTTTTGCTTAACAAGCTGTTTTTCTTTCTACAGATGTAACCTTTTCCTGTGTTTCCTGACTGGGACACCAGCCGGGTATTCCAGCCAACTTTGGTAGATATATATCATTGTTTTTTTCGCCAGGCTTGTTTTAAAAAATCTACCTATTGCTTGCCCTGATCAATCCATCACTACCCTTGAAAAGGTCATGGTTCTCTCATCAGGAAACTTTTCAAAAATCCTTGGCTGTGATTTATCTTATGTTACGGGCTCTGACAGTGATTCTCAGGAAGCGAGGCCCATTAGTTTCTCGTAAGGTCACTCCCCTGCTGTCGCATGCAGAGTGAGTATCAGTTGTGCTTGCCTGAGTTTGAAGCATCCTCTTGGGTGATTTCAAGGGGGGCAAAGGCAGGGCCATGACTGGTTTCTGTGTGGAGACTCACACGGGTGAGACAGGTGATCCACGGTGGAGAGGGAGGGTGTCTCTTGTAGGTGCTAGAGCCTCAAAGATAGCTCTTATTTTCAATCCTGCTTCTCCAAGATTCAGTTCACAAAGATAAGCATGCCTGGAAATATTTAATATTTTATCTTATTATATTCATATTCTGTGGTTGTTTAAAAATTCTTCAGTATGTTATAAACAAATGTTTCTGATTCCCCATAAGCTTTGTAGGGACATTAATTATTACTGACATGAGAAATTAAAGGCAGCCTAGATATTATTTTTAGGAATTACAGCATTTGAAAATCATATTCAGTGAATTTCAGAGAAATTATATCTATACTATTTAATACCGAGTAATGTTTAGTGAAAGGGTCAGACACTTTGGGGTAAAAAGCTGCATTATGAAGTCAAATAATTTGTTTTCATGTTTAGGAAGACATTTTTAGGGAGATAGTTTTGGTTATATGAATTCTTTGTGATAAGGGCAAAATCAGATATTATACAGGAAGCATTTATGATACCCATTCAATTGTAAGATCTCACTATTTTCCCATTCAATAATCTCAGCCACCTAAAATACGTCCAGTGTATATTTTCTGTTCTTTCTAGATATATCGTCATTTCAGATGCTCATTTCAGCCATGATCATTTATTCCAGAAGCACTTGTTAGGACGTTATACTTATTTCCTTTAAGTATAAGGTCCTGTGTTGACTACTGAGAATGAAAAACTGAACAAGACAGAAAGTCCCACCTTGAAGAGCTTCCAAGTGTAGCGAGTCTCCTGGCATCAGGTATGGCTGGTATCATGGAAACACTCGGCTGACTGTCCAGGAGATGCTGGTTAAGAGGCGGAAGGTGATGGCGTGAAATCAAGTTCAGGTGCAGGGGACACTCCTGAGAGCATTCCTGCCCTGTCCCCGTGGCCTGAGCGGCCTTCTCAGTTGCACAGGTAGGTTTTCTCTGCTCTGCACTCCCTCTGTCCCAAGGTACCCTTTAGCAAAGTGTAAACTTGTAAGAGTGGTTAGCCTTGGACTTTATCTCAAGTCTGTAATAAGGGCACCTACACTAAGACTGAAACTGGAACTTGCTATTGGTGATCAAACCATCAGTGTTAATAAGTCACTTAAGTTACATTTATGGACTGGAGAAAGAAATGGAAGAAAATCAGAGTACAAATAATAAATGGTTACCAGGTCCCTAGACCTGAAAGGGTGAATACATTCATGCAGTAGGTGTCCAGGATCCTCATGTGGTCCTCCTTCATGCTTAGGAACAGACACTCATCTTCACTACGCAAACCAGAGCCTGCATGCCTTTCGTGGTCCTTCATGCTTAGGGACACAGTCGCTCATCCACACTATGCAAACCAGAGCCTGCATGCCTTTCGTGGTCCTTCATGCTTAGGAACACGGTCGCTCATCTTCACTATGCAAACCAGAGCCTGCGTGCCTTTCATGGTCCTTCATGCTTAGGAACACGGTCGCTCATCTTCACTATGCAAACCAGAGCCTGCGTGCCTTTTGTGGTCCTTCATATTTGCAGTGTGTGGGTTGGAGTTGCTTTCTTAGCCATGACAGTGACTGAAGGGAATATCAGAGTCTGTTAATGAATGATGCTTGGAGATTTCATTTTCAAAATGTATTTTTAAATTACCTAATTATATGATATTGTATTGGAAAGTTCTTAGATTAGGTTTCACTTTAGAAATGTGATTTGGCCCTAAGTGTGATAGGAAAGAAATGTGTTCCTAATTATTCCCAGATAATTAAAATTTATGCTGTTATTTATGCTTGTTGAATTAAACGTAAAGGGAAGACATCTTATTGCTTAATAATTCAAATAATTTGAATTAGATTTTAAATTGGCCTCAGGAAGATCACCTTGGTTCCTTTACTGATAATACATTCCAAAACTGATGATTCTAACTACTTACCTTTGAAGGAAAAAATTTGGCTTTTTTTCCTCATTTCTCCTCTCCCTCCTCCTTGAGAGTAATGTGGTGTGGTGGAAGAAAGATTTGCTGAGTGTTTGGAAGCTTACGTGTTAGCTTGGCCTCCAATATTTCCTCATAGTAAATCTCTAAAGCCCTTTGAATTCAATTTCCTCAGTGGCAAAATGGAGCTAGTAAGGCAACCTCATGCAAACAACAGAGAATTAAATGAGAGAACTGATATGAAGACATTAATACAGCTGCAAAACATTATGTAAATGCAAGGTATTATAATTACTAGTTCTGGTTCAATACAAGGCACTCCATGCATGTGGAAAATAACTACCTATGGCCAAAAGGCGCATCATGAGTGTCTCCTCCTGCCACTGCTCCCCAGGTCTTCCGTCATCCCATTTCATTCCTAGAGGCAACCACTGTTCCTGGTGAGTGCTAAGGACCTTCTGGAAATACCGACACAGCAAGAGATTTTGCTAAGTATGTTTAATAGACATAGGGCCCACTTCCCAGGAGAATACCTTTTTATTTTTAGTACGACATAGTTTTCTCAAGATTTGCTCAAGATTTAAGGAATCGTAGTTGCTCAAGATTTAAGGAATACCACTTAGGAATTTTTTTGGTTAAAATAGAAAAGAGTAGGATCTGTATGCTGTTAGCTTGCTGAACCAGCCATTTCTCAGATGTGGGGTGAAATTCATGGAGTACCACCGAAGGGGTGGAAATAACACAAGGAGCATGAGCTATCAGCCACATAGCTGCCTTCACTCCCCACCATGTAGCATTTCTTTTCAAAGCTGTTGCTCCCCTTTCTCGTTTCTAGATCACTGGGTGACAGCTCTGACGGAAACGAATAGCAGGTGGGATGACATGCGTTTGTGGGATTTAGATTATAGTTTGGCTGTAACATATTGCTGTGTCTCTTTTTCCAGACATGCCTTCATTTCGTAGGCTCAACACCTCTTTTCAACACAATGATTAGATTCAAGGCCTGCATTTCAGTCAAGACGTAGTCACGGGTCACTGTGGTCTTGTTATCACAGCTGGGGCTTCAAGCCCACATCAGCTCTTCCAGAACAGCAGGTGTATTCATTTCCGCCGTGCCATCCCAGGCAATGTCAAACACTCCTCACATTCTTGCCCAGGAAGCTTGTCTCTTAGGATTCTTTGTTTTTTATTATTTCAGGGCCCGTGGGGGATGTGTCAAATGTCTCCCAGATCTTTTACCCTTTAATTTGTTCATATTTACCTTAGAGGTCAGTTCCAACTGGATCTGATCCTAATATCCCCTAGTATCTAAAAATAGAACATGAGGGGGTCAGAATTATGGGCACATGGAGTGAAAATTTGAAAGGTCAGCATAATCAGCTAGGTTTTCCCTGCTCAGAGGCAAAAGCAGACTATCTTTGCCATTACTACTCATAAAACTCTACCTTAGACAATGAAGAAAGCCTCTCTTTAGAATGCTTATGTCTCCAAAGCTAAGAAATATATTGCTCAGGGTGGCCATTGAAAACCAGTTCACCCTAGCAAAAAGATTTTTACTGATTAGTAGAGTCAAAGAGAAGGAAAATCAGGTCCATTATTTCAACATAAATAATGGGGAATTACAAACAGTCTGGAGACCTTTATGTGGACTTAGAAATCTCAGCATTGCAAATATTGGCTCAAAATGATGTTTTGCTAAAGTATCATGTCCCAATTTTTGAGGATCAACATTCTAAAATAATTCTGTCATAGGAGAATTCCCAGGAAAGAAACATAAGGCTTTATGGGCACAGTGGAGGGCTGAGAACCCAAGGTCTTCAGTGAAGCTATGAATATTTTTTGGTTGTTTATGAAAACTAGTAAAATAGCACAGTGGTTAGACTACAGAAACATTTCACAGGTCTTAAATTAGTGAATACAGGAGTGTTGATTTTCATTTATTACCTAATAATCACTAGAAAATTTTCAGGATCTTCTTCCACAGTTTAAAAAATATGACTAGAATTAATTTGGTTTGATACAGGCTTTATGTGCACTGTATCAAATCTTAATCTCTTTAATCAGATATTGAAATATGTATTGCCATAGTGATTTCACAGCTCTGCAATGATGACTCCTCTCCTCTCTACTTGTCTGATACCATCTCCGGGTCAGAGACGCAGAGTAAGCTGAACTCTTGAGGTGAATAATGCTGGTCCAGCTGAATTGCCATTTCTCAGCTCTCTCCTCTGCTGGGGCTGGATTGCTTCAGTTCCGCCGTGGTGGCGGCAGGCTCTTCTGCCCACAGACACTGGAGTGCGCATTAAGGAGTGGGGATGGTGTGCATCTGCGTTTCTCCCTCTTTCAAGGCTGTGCTGCAAACACCTTCACTCTGACTCACCCACATCCATTCAATGCCACCTGCCTTTTCTCTTCTCCACTTCCTTCTGGTTTCCTGGTTTTGCACTGATCTCAATCAGTGACAAAAATTGTGTCTATGCTGAAAATGACATTCCTGTGGTTGCATAAATTGTTTATAAAAGCCTAGTCATGTTTACTAGAGATTTGTGGAAGAGAAATGATAATACTAATAAAGACAAAATATAACATTTATTTAGCTCTCACTCTCTGCTAGGCATACATGACACCTTTAATTTTTTCAACAATCTGGTAAGGTAGGGTGACATTTTTATCTTGGTTTTAAAAGAGGTGAGGTAACTTCTCAGGGTTATGCAAACAATAAATAGTGCAGTAAGAACCCAAACTCACGGTTTAGGAACCGTGGTATGTTATGCTTATTAAACAAACTGTATGTGAAGAAACATCACATTGCAGGACATGTAAATATGGACAATTTCTGTAAATAACTGCCACTAACTGCCCTACGTTGAATGCCTTTGCACTTAGTTTGGTCAGATTAAATAATAGTGTAGTCACTTAAATTTAGAATTGTCTTATTATATTAATTAAAACTCAGTTCTGGTTATTTATTTATTGAGATATAATATAAATACAGGCCAGGCATGGTGGCTCACACCTGTAATCCCAGCACTTTGGGAGGCTGAGGCAGGCGGATCACCTGAGGTAAGGAATTCCAGACCAGCCTGGCCAACATGGTGAAACCTCATCTCTACTAAAATACAAAAATTAGCCGGGCATCGTGGCAGGCGCTTGTAGTCCCAGCTACTTGGGAGGCTGAGGCAGAGAATGGCATGAACCCAGGAGGCGGAGGTTGCCGTGAACTGAGATTGCGCCACTGCACTCCAGCCTGGGCGACAGAGCAAGACTCCATCTCAAAAAAGTAATAATAGAAAAAATAAAAGTAAATAAATACAGAAAAGCACATAAAATGACAATTCTAAATTTTTGCTTATGTACAAAATAAGTACCTACCTAGATCAAGCTTTCCTACTCTCTTCCACACTAGTTTTTGCACAGTGCTTGCTTTTTTGATAGTCACCACTGAACACCTAATTTTGCTAAGGCATGAGCAGAATAAAAAGTGGCGCAATGCGATGTTGAACGTGTGAATTAGCTTAGCTGATATTTCGTGAGGAATCTGACAGAAGTTTGTATTGCCCCGTTTCCCTCCAAAATGCAGAATATCCGAGGGCACCCTCTGAGTTTGCTGCAGTTGCTGCTGAGTTTGCTGCAGTTGTTCTCCCAAGCAGCGTGGCACACAGTTGAACTTAGCAGATTTATGGTTGAATATCTCACGTTTTGTTTATAGTCCACCTCAAGTAAATTTTGTGCATAATGTGAGATGAGTGTCAAGGTTAATTTTTTCATCATATGGATATTCCATTGCTCCAATACCATTATTTGTGGTCAGTCAGGGGACCACATATGTGGGTCTATTTCAGAACTCCCTTTTCATTATTCCACAGTAATAAGACAATGTGGTGCTTACTGTCTATTACACCAGTACCACACTGTCCTAATTACTATGGTTTTATGAAAAGTCTTGAAACCTAGTAGTGTACATGGTTTCCTCCTTGTTCTTTAAGATTGTTGTGACTATTTTTTATCCTTTGCATTTGCACATAAGTTTTAGGATTTGTTGTGATGCTCTACCAAAGAAATCCCCTGTTCTTTCTAATGTGGTTAGACTAGCCTGGTGCTGGTGCGGCTAAGATTGTGTGTGTGAGGTGGCGGTGGGGGAAAGGATGGAGTTTATCAGCTCTTTAATAGGCCCTTTTCTCTTTTGCTAGGTGATAGCTCCTTCAGTGTGTTTGAGGGGAATGTAAGAAGAAGAAAAATAAAATTTAAAAAATCTCAGTTAAACAGGAAATTGCAAAGTTCTCTGTAGCTGGCTGTTGCTCTTTCTCATTTCTCATTTAAATGCCAGTTCTCTCATCGGGGCTTGTGTGTGGGCTCTTCAGAAGACCACAGAAGAGAGGGATCTCCCACTGCCCAGCTCAGACTTGGCCTTTTCTACACTCCCTGCCACCTCCACCTCTACAACCTGCCTCCAACGCCTCTATACCCCCTGCCATGACGTTCTTGCTGCTGGGATCCTTTATCTACATGGGCATCTTGAGTAGAATGCTGGCAAGAAGCTTCAAACTCAACTACGTTGCATGGCTCTACCATACCCACAGAGCACTCACACTTTCTCACCATCCCCACCTGCTCTCCCAGACTCTCCTGGGCCATGCCTGGTAACACAGGAGATAACTGGCTAAGCAGACATGCCACCCATCTCCTCTGCACGCAGGCATCGCTGTGTTTACCTCACCATCTCCACATCTTTACTCTTGGACTCTCTGTGATGGAAGAGAGTGAAGAGAGTCTCTGCATAACTTTGTTCTAACAATCCCTCTAGCTACAAGCTCATCTCCTCATCTTTATTGGTGATAAGTGGTATTGCTTTGGGGGTTAATCTAATCTGGCCCTTCTCCATAACTTACTGTTTCTGGCCAACTCTGGCCCCAACTGTGGGCAAATTGTTGGCAGAATGCAAACTTGGATGTGTGGTCATCAGTGGCTTTGGTTCTCAGTTTTGGACCATAAATGTAATTTCCTCCCTCCAAACAACAGCAGCAGGAATAACAACAATTAATTCCACGTTCTTTTTAAGGCCAGTTTTACTTTAAAATCTAAAATAACTAAAGACCTTTCCTGTCCTTGCCTCTAAGAGCAGCTAATCTATTTTTCATAAGAAATGATTCTTTTTACCCCCCCGTTTTGATATATGGTGAGTGTAGTTACTAATGAGACAAAGACTTTCACATTCAACAAATGCAGGTCTGCATTTACTGTATGGTGTGCTCTGTTTTAATGTCTAGGTCTATACATTCACAAATCTGATTTAACCCAAATAAAATCTGCAAGTTAGGTGTCATTATTTGAGTTTTAGCTAAAAAAAAATGCTGAGAATGTTCATCTTCCAGAGGGCCAGTACATTTGCTGCTTTAGCCACAGCCATCTCCCAAAGTCAGTCAGTTTTCCCAGGAACAACCGCAAGGAAGATGTTCGATGTGCATCCACCTGGAAAAGCAGCCCAGAAACAGACGACCTATGGATGAGGCCATTGTCATCTCCTTACACAAAAGAAGGCATTTTAAATTGCGGAAGTCTGAAATGATCGAACTTGCACCATAGGTGATTTTTTTAATTGGGTGCTCTAGAGACTACTATTATGAGGTCAGCACTAGGCCAATAATTCACTTTTATGTCTTAGAGTTACTTACTTGTTTCTTTGAACCAGAGAAAGAAAGAAGCAGCATTTAAGATAAATGGGGAACAAAAGACAGAACAAAGACACTAAGTGAACCTTATTTAGCTTGTTGACTTCCAAAAGTTAAATGGATTTTTTAAATGTATATTTCTCATTATTTGATCATACAAAATCTTTGCAGGCATTTGGAAAATCTGACAACATAAAAACACGTCAAAGGCACAACCTCATAGTTTCCTTAGATCTCCAGAAAAGAGCAAAGCAATCTCTGTCTTCAAATGAAGTTTTTTATCCTTTTTTTTCTTTGAGAGCAGCACCTAACATTTTCATTGGATGTTCCAGTTCATCTTTCCACATTATTTGAAACTTTTAAAATAGGACTTTTGTTTGATTACTGGCATACAATTTTAACTTAATGGATGTAGCACCGAATGACAAATATTTTATTCTTTTGGAGAATCTCATTAAGATTTTCACTTTTTTTGTTTTATTTTCATATAAGTTTTAAAAACCCTAATCAATCTGAGCTGTGTCTGATTTTTACTGTAATCAGTTAAGAACTGCTGTTTCTCTCTTAGGATGTTGAAAAGTTTGTGTTTGTATTTATCTCACTGTGAAATTAATTTGGTTTTGTTCTTTGATGGAAATCTGAGTTGTGTTTTCTTCATATGAAAGAGATGCAGCAGTAAACCCCCATCTTTATTTCAACGTGTGGAGCAGGTGGTCCACGTCACTGGAATGCAGAACGTAAGTCAAGGCTTTCCTTTCACTTTTGCTGTTTCTTAATTTGATGACTTGAAGATAATGCAAACCTGTATGAGCACTAGACTTTTATTGAGATTTCTGAATAGCATTATTTTTAAGTTTCCATTTTTAGAATTTCAATAACTACTCATATAGGAGATTTGCAACAGAAATCTCATCAATGCTGTTTTGTGTTTACTTTTGAGATTCCAGGCTACACGTACAAGTTTGTTATCTAGGTACTTGGTGGGTCGTGGGGGTTTGGTGTACAGATTATTTTGTCACCCAGGTAATAAGCATAGTACCTGATAGGTCA
This sequence comes from Homo sapiens, assembly GCF_000001405.40. Classification (NCBI taxonomy): domain Eukaryota; kingdom Metazoa; phylum Chordata; class Mammalia; order Primates; family Hominidae; genus Homo; species Homo sapiens. Next base: position 189,543,330 of record NC_000004.12, on the reverse strand, counting down.
TTCTGTCCTCACTCTCTTTCCACCCTCCACCCTCAGACAGGCCCCAGCATCTATTGTTTCTTTCTCCGTGTCCATTTGTTCTCGATGTTTAATGCCCACTTATAAGTAAGAACATGCAATGCTTGGTTTTCTGTCCTTGTGTTAATTTGTGTAGGATGATGGTGTCCAGCTCCATCCACGCTGCTGCAAAGGACATGATCTCATTCTATTTTATGGCTACGTGGTAGTCCATAGTGTGTATGTACCATATTTTAGTTATCCAGCCTATCATTGATAGGCATTTAGTTTGATATTATGTCTTTGATATTGTGAATAGTGCTGAGATAAACATACACATGCATGTGTCCTTATGGTAGAACAATTTATATTCCCTTGGGTATATACCCAATAATGGGATTGCTGGGTTGAATGCTAGTTCTATTTGAAGTTTTTTGAGAAATTACCAAACTGCTTTTCACAATGGTTAAACTAAATTACATTCCGACAAGCAGCACATAAGTGTTCCCTTTTCTCTACAAGCTTGCCAGCATCTGTTATTTTTTGACTTTTTAATAACAGCCATTCTGACTACTGTGAGATGGGATCTCATTGTAGCTGTGAATGACATTTCCCTAATGATGAACAATGTGAGCATTTTTTACATACCTTTTGGTCACGTGTATGACTTCTTCTTAATGGGGTTGTTTGATTTTTGCTTGTAAATATGTTTTGCTTGTAAATATAGTTCCTTATAGGTGCTGGATATTAGACCTTTGTCAGATGCATAGTTTGAAAATATTTTCTCCCATTCGGTAGATTGTCTGCTTACTCTGTTGATAGTTGCTCTGCTGTGCAGAAGCTTTCTAATTAGGTCTCATTTGTCAATTTCGGTTTTTATTGTTTTTGACATCTTCATCATGAAATATGCCCAGAATGATATTTGCTAGGTTTTCTTGCAGGGTTTTTATAGTTTTAGGTTTTACATTTAAGTTTTTAATCATCCTGAGTTAATTTTATATATGGAGAAAAGAAGGGGGTCCAGCTTCAATCTTCTACATATGGCTAGCCAGGTATCTCAGCACCGTTTAATAAATAGAGAGTTATTTTCCCATTGTTTTTGTAGAATTTATTAAAGATTCGATGATCGAAGGTGTGTGGCTCATTTCTGGGCTCTCTGTTTTGTTTCACTGACCTGTGTGTCTGCTTTTGTTCCAGATCTTGCTGTTTTGGTTTCTGCAAACTCGTACCATTTTGAAGCCGGGTTATATGATGCCTCCAGCTTGGTGCATTTTGAAGTTGGGTTATATGATGCCTGCGGCTTGGTGCATTTTGAAGTCGGACTGTATGATGCCTGCGGCTTGGTGCATTTTGAAGTCGGACTGTATGATGCCTGCGGCTTGGTGCATTTTGAAGTCGGACTGTATGATGCCTGCGGCTTGGTGCATTTTGACATCGGGTTATATGGTGCCTGCGGCTTATTGCATTTTGACGTCGGGTTATATGATGCCTGCGGCTTGGTGCATTTTGATGTCGGGTTATATGATGCCTGCGGCTTGGTGCATTTTGATGTCGGGTTATATGATGCCTCTGGCTTGGTGCATTTTGAAGTCGGGTTATATGGTGCCTGCGGCTTGGTGCATGTTGCCGTCGGGTTGTATGATGCCTGCGGCTTGGTGCATTTTGAAGTCGGATTATATGATGCCTCCGGCTTGGTGCATGTTGAAGTTGGGTTACATGATGCCTCCGGCTTGGTGCATTTTGAAGTCGAGTGATAGGATGCCTCTGGCATGGTGCATTTTGAAGTCGGGTTATATGATGCCTCCGGCTTGGTGCATTTTGAAGTCGGGTTGTATGATGCCTGCAGCTTGGTGCATGTTGAAGTCGGGTTATATGAAGCCTGCAGCTTGGTGCATTTTGAAGTCGGGTTATATGATGCCTCCGGCTTGGTGCATGTTGAAGTCGGGTTATATGATGCCTCCGGCTTGGTGCATTTTGAAGTCGGGTTGTATGATGCCTCGGCTTGGTGCATTTTGCTTAGGATTGCTTTGGCTCTTTGGACTCGTTTTTGGTTCCCTATGAATTTTAAAATAGTTTTTTTCTCATTCTGTAGAAAATGTAATTGATAGTTTAATAAGAATAGTATTAAACCTATAAATTGCTTGGACAGTGTGGCCATTTTAGTGATGTCAATTCTTCCTATCCATGAACATGGAATACTTTTTAATTTTTCTGATTTCTTTCAGCATTATTTTGTATTTCTCATTGTAGAGGTCATTCACCTCCCTGATTAGCTGTATTCTAGATAATTGGTATGTGTGTGTCTGTTATGAGTGGAATTGTGTTCTTGATTTGGTTCCCAGTTTGCAGATTGTTGGTGTATAAAAATGCTACTGATTTTTGTACATTAACTTTATATTCTGAAACTTTGCTGATGTTGTTTATCAGATCTATAAGCTTTTAAATAGAGACTCTGGGGTATTATATGTATAAAATTATATCACCTGCAGAGATAGGTTGACTTCCTCTCTTCCTATTTGGATGCCTTTTATTTTTTTTCCTTTTGCCTGATTGCTCTTGCTAGGACTTCTACTACCATGTTGAATAGGAGTGGTAAAAGTGGGCATCCTTGTCTTGTTTCCTGTTCTCAAGGGGAATGTTTCCAGAGTTTGCTAGTTCAGTATAATGTTGGCTCTGGGTTTATCATATCTGACTCATTACTTTCAAGTATATTCCTTCAATACCTAGTTTGTTGAGTGTTTTTAACATAAAAAGGATGTTGAATTTTATTGAAAGATTTTTCTGCATCTATTGAGATGATCTTGTGGTTTTGCTTTTAGCTCTGTTTATGTGATGAATCACATTTATTCATCTGTGCGTGCTGAACCTGCCTTGCATTCCAGAGATAAAGCCTACTTGATCACAGTGGATCAGCTTTTGGATGTGCTGCTGGGTTCAGTTTGCTAGTATTTTGTTCAGGATTTTTGTATTTCTGTTCTTCAAGGATATTGACCTGGTTCTTTCTTTTTTGTCATATCTCTGCCAGGTTTTGCTATCAGAATGATGCTGGCCTCAGAGAATGAGTTTGAATTTCTCTTTTATTAAGAATGCTAAATATAGGCATCGAATATCTTCTGCCCTGTCAGGTTTCTGTTGAAAATTTCGCTGGTAGCCTGATGGGGTTTCCTTTGTAGGTGACCTGTCTGTCCCTTCTCTCTAGCTCCCTTTGATATTTTTTTCATGTTGACTTTGGTGAATCTGATGTCTATGTGTCTTGGGGATGTACATCTTATATAGTATCTCACAGGTTTTGTCTGCATATTCTGAATTTAAATGTTGGCCTCTAGTGAGGTTGGATAAAATTTCATGGACAATATCCTCAAATATGTTTTCCAAGTTGCTTGTTTTTTTCTCTCTCTCTTGCAGGGATACCAACGTGTCATAGGTATGGTCTCTTTACACAATCCCATATTTCTTGGAGATTTTGTTCATTCTTTTTCTTTTCCTTTTCTTTATTTTTGTCTGACTGAATTGATTTGAGGTACTGGTCTTCAAGCTCTGAGATTCTTTCCTCAGCTTGCTCTATTCTGCTGTTAATATTTGTGATTGCACTATTAAATTTTGTAGTGAATTTTCTAGCTCTATCTGATCAGTTTGATTCTTTCTTAAAATGCCTAATTTGTCTTCCAGTGCTTGTATTGTTTTATTGGATACCTTAGTCTCCTTGGATTGGGTTTTTACTTTCTCCTGAATCTTGATGATCTTCATTTTTATCCAGATTCTGAAATCTATGTATGTTATTCGAGCCATTTCAGCCAGGTTAAAAATGCTTGCTGGGGAATGAGTGCGATTGTTTGGAGGTAAGATGACATTCTGGCTTTTTGAGTTGCCAGAATTCTTGTGCTGATTTTTTCTCTTCTGTGTAGTCTGATGTTTCTTTAAACTTTCAAGTTACCAAAACTAAGCTCATCACTCCTGAGCTGCAAGCTCTAAACCTGGGAAGCTGGTACTGGGCCCTGGCTTTTCTCCCTGGTCCCTTGAAGTTAGAAGCCTGCTGCACTGGAGGAGTGGGTGTTCCCTGTTTGTTGGCAACAACACTCCAATCAGAGGTGCCAACCAAAGTGCTTCTTTGGGACAGTGGCAGTGGGATCTGTTCTCACACACATGTGTGCAAGCAGCAGTGGCACAACAGTGTCCCTGTGCATCAGTGGGGATGGGGCACCCATATACCAGCATCCATGCACACATGCTCACGCTGACAGTGGTGGGATGACAGGGTGTGTGCACTTGCATGCTGGCAAAGGAGAAAAGGTGGAATCCATCTGAGTGCATGTGTTGGCAAAGCAATGGAGGGTAAGGAAGCCATGACCAAGTGTGCATTGGCAATGCTGTGGGGCAGGCTGCTGTGGAGAAAGGCTGTAGGTAGGCTGGTATCTGTCAGTGGTTGCCAGTCTGCTGAAGTTCTCCAATGGTCAGGTGTGGTCTGCTGGTGAAAGAGCTATAATGAGGCCCCCCAGGAAGCACCCTGGTTGGACATTCAAGGCAGGACTGCAAGTGTGTGCCGCCAGCCTGGGGCCCTAGGAGAAGATGGCAAACAGGGGTGTCCTCAGATCAGACGGTCCTGTCTCATGGGCAGGACTCCCCTGCTCTGTCCATGTTTGACAGTCACCGAAGCAAAGCCACCTAGAGTAGCATGGCAAGTCTTGGAGCATAGGTGTCCCTGGCCATGCTCTAATGCAGCTGTTCTCATGCTTAACACCCTGGGCTCCACAGAGTGGCCTCTGCCACCTCTCCAAACAGCTCTCCCTGACATTTAAGTGATGGTGAGGTCATGAGGTCTCCTGAAGCTAGGATTCTAGAGGTCTGTGGTGAGAGCAGGCTACTTTTTTCCTGTTCAACTCACTCCTTCCCCAGGAGCTGTTGGGGGCCAGGAGCAGGTCCTGGTGCTCAGCAGTCCTGTGCAGGGTTCCCAGCTTTCTCTTCCTTCATCCCAAGGTCTTCGTTCTTTTTCCATGCACTCTCAATGCCTTCCCCTCAAAGATCTGCTTGGAGTGTGCCGGTCTTCCTGATATCCTGGTCTCTAGGTGGGAGATGTTGTCTTTGGCTGCATCTCGTCAGCCATATTGCCTCCCACTCCTTTTATGTTTTTAATTTCCTAAATAGACCCCCTTGTATTATATTTTACATTGAATATAATGTTTACGTGTCCCTGTTGTAGATTATTTCCGTCAGGATGTTTAGCAGCTGTGAGAACAGAGCACTTTTGTGAGAAAGCTCTCAAATAGGTTCCCCCACCTCATCCTTTTAGTTATGAACTGCTTGAGAATTTCACATGTGGGAGACCCTTACCCACTTGCAGGGAAGATTTTTTTCTCCAAAGACGAATTACAATAATTTACAAATTAGATTTGAGGAGGAATTATTACTTTTAATGACTAAACAGAGATAATTAATGTGAATAACTATTGAAAATATTAATCTGGAGTCCAAATTCAAACCCATTTTATCAAATTTTAATTTTACTTCCAAATTGAAACAAATTTTTTATTCCATGCAGGAGCACAGATTTTTAAATCCAGACGTGTCATCTATGGAATTATTTCTTCTTTCCACTTAACCTCATGACTTTTTTATAATCTCAAATAATCATAACAATAATTTTCAATAAGATATACTTTTCCATATCTAATGAAGGCAAAAGAATGGCTTAGGATTAATTTTTACTTGGACTATAAGATGACTGGAAATGAGATTTAGAGCTGATGTGATTTAAGACTGGTCCTGGAAATAGGGCTGTTATTCTCTGGTAACTTAAATGTAGAAAACCTTCACATAAAGTGAGTTTTTCAGCTTGTGCTCAGAATAAATGAGCAAATTAAGGGAATGAGGAATATAATCCCTTGAAATAGCAATCATTCTGGAATGTGAGAGGAAAGAAGAGAGACAGAGATAGAAGTGACAGAAAGTGAGAGAGAGAGCACCAGCTTTAAGCTAGTTTTGTCCTCTTTTTAATTTTTGACATCTGTGGTGTTGTTACACACACACACAACATGCACGTTTTCTTTTATGGCTCATAACTCCCATAACCCCCATTACAGGCATTTGTTATAATGTTGGGCATGTTGTGCCTCAAGAACAGGCCTCAGGAAACAGAATCTTTCTGGCTTCCTCCTTCCTTTTTTTTCCTGCCCCAGGGAAGGACTCTGATCTCCCACCTTGCCTTCTGATTGTGAGTCATAAGACCCTCGCCAGAGGTGGCCCTGCCCTACACCCGAGGGGAAGGAATGCTGGCATCATGAAGCTTCCATAAAAATTCAAGAGGATTGATTCTGGGAGCTTCTAGAGAGCTGGCCACATGGAGGTTCCTGGAGGGTGTTGCACCAGGGAGGGTATGGAAACTCTGTGCCCCTTTCACCACACCTTACCCTACACGCCTCTTCATCTGGATCCTTTGCAATATCCTTCATGATACATTGACAAACGTAAGTGTTTTTCTGAGTTCTGTGAACTACTCCAGCAAGTTAATTGAACCCAAAGAGGGGATCTTGGGAACCCCAAATAGAAGTCAGTCAATCAGAAGTTCTGGATGCCTGGATTTGTGAATAGTATGTGGTAACGGGGGCAGTCTTGGGGACTGAACCCTCTATCTGTACAATCTGACATTATCCCCAGGTATTTAATTTCAGAATTGAATTGAAGGACATCCAGCTAGGCCAGCTGCAGAACTAATTACTTGCCTGGTGGTGGAGTGAACCCCCCCCCCACATTTATACACGGAAATCTTGGATGTTTATGAATCTTGTTGTGGTGGTGTGAGAGCAGAGGAAAAACACTGTTTGACAGGTTTTCTGAAACGGCAACATAATATAATTGTGGATAAAATTTAATATTTATGCATACGAAATGAAGCTTGCAGATTAAAAATTAAATTTTCTTTTTTGTCTCTCTCTCTCTCTCTCTTCCTCTCTGTCATTTATGAACATTGTTTCCAAAATTTTGAATGTGAGTGAAAAGTGGAATATAAGAGATTGTGATAATCTCCTATGCCATGTTAAGGTTTCTATTAAAAAATGCACCTCACTTTTACTATTTAAAGGAACATTAACTGTAATGGGTATATTAGAGCATGATGTTGAATTAGCATTTCTACGTACAAACTCTTGCATTTGAGCTGATATGTGGTGATATTTAAGAACTAAAACATAATAAAGAGAAAAAGAGCTCCATATGATCAACTAACCTAAGGACTTTGATACATCATATTTTACCTGCTGGCATCTACTACCAATATAACTGAACTCACAGAACTACAATGCTTCTTCAGGAAAAAAAACAACTAGACTAATTACTATTTTTAGGCTAACTTTCTGTTACAAAATTAGAAATAAACCAAAATTATAATTCTTAAATTAGATATTCATGTTAATGTTGTTATCTCTATTCTTAGTGAAGTGATTAAACTTATAACCTTTAATTTACTATAGCTTCAGAAAAAGCCCCAATGTATACTAAAACACTAAATATTTTCTTACTTAGAAACTCAATCAGAAGTTTCAACACTAAATGTCTATTTAGATCTGAGCACGAGTTTATTTTTTAAGAAAACTTCAAGTAAATAATAGCTAATTTATTTGTTCATAAGTCAACAATTGATTTCCAGAGAATGAGTTTTGATATTTACAAAATATATGTATGACCTTTAAAATATAAATAATATTATTTTTCTCTATCAGTAAAAGTCAGCTTTTCTGATTGTCTTTTTGGTCTTTATTATTATTATTATTATTATTAAATATACTTTCTAGATAAAAGTTTTACAGCTATTAAAAATTGATAATATAATATAGAGATTTCCTGTATATCAGCATCCTCATACCCAGCCCAATTTTCACTATTATTAACATTATACATGAATATGATAGTTAATTTTTCATAATTAGTGAACTAAACTTCATTATTATTTTCTGAAGTCTATACTTTTTTCAGAATTCCTTGTTTTTTACATAATTTTTTTGTATTCTAGATTCTATTTGGGTCACCACATTATATTTCATTTTTATGTCTCCTTAGACTCCTGTTGGCTGTGACAGTTTCATATACTTTCCTTGTTTTTCCTGACCTTAACAGTTTTGAAGGCTTTGGTAAACTATTACATAATACTCTTCTATTAAAATCTGTCTGTTTGTCTCATGACTAAACTGGATTTATGTGTTTTGGAGAGGAAGATCATAGACTATGTTGCCATGTTCATATCAAGGGTATATTCCACTAGCATGATTCACAACCACTGATCTTCACCTTAGTCACTTGGTGAAAGTAGTGTTTGCCAGAACTTTGTATTTCCCCCTTTCCACATTATATTCTTTGGAAAGAAGTAACTGTATGCAGCTCACACTTATAGAGAGTGTATATGTGGGAGAGTTCTTATTTTTTTCTTACAAAATTAACTCTCAGATTTGCAGGTTTGGAAAATAATGTTGACAGACTGATTCTGAATCTCCCACACATCCTCTCCAAAAATCCATAAAGTTCACATTGAGAGCAAACGAAACCATATAGAATCCATGGAGACAGAGAATGTCAACACTGAAATCTTCAATTTACCACAAGCGAGAATAAAATAGACAAACGCCAACAGAGCTCACATAAACCGTATTAGACATCCGAGGATGCAGGCTGGAGGAGTTTAAAGAACTCTGCAATAAAAATGTAGATGAATGTGAAAGATGTGCAGAAGACAGGAAAAATCACGCCTCAGTAAGAAAATATGCACTAATAAATGCAAAAATATGGAACGTGGATTGAGACACAATTCAGAGAAATGCTGTAAGAAAGGTACTCAAACAAGTGCTAAATTGCAGCATTAGATAGTCATTTCAGATACATGGGGTGACACTTACTGGAGACAAAAAGGTGAGGAGGAATAATGAATCAGACAGAAAAATGAAGGATTTTGTGAAGCTTCAGTCTTTTCCTTTTTCCTATACTACCATCACCACCACCACCATCGTCCACAAAAAGTCCTGCCTAGCAGAATGCCAGCCTGCCAGAAGAAACTCTCAAACTAGGAACTCTGTCCACAAAATGAATAGGAATAGAAGAAAGCAGATTGTACACAGGCCAATGTAAAAAAAAATAAAAGCTTTTGTGTTGGTTAAATATCACCCCAAAAACTGTAACACAGTGCTTCAAGATGAATTACATATTTTTAAACAAGTACTGGGGAATATGAACAACAATAACAATAAAACAAAACAAAACAAAACAAAAAAACAAAAAACAACAACAACAAAAAAAACAAGAAAACAGTATGAACCAGGGAAAAATTCTATGACCTCAAATTATAAAAACACAGTAGGAAATTAAACAAGAGTTGATTGAACTTGAAAAAAGAAATAGAAGGCATAATTATATAATAAAGACTAAATTAGAGACCCCCAAAAATACATTAAAAATTTAATAATTAGCATTACAGAAAACCAGAAAAACAATCAAGAGAATAAAAATGATATAAAGAAGTAAATAAAGAGGAATTACAGACAGAAAAGAAGGTCCAACATACATATAATCGATGTTTCTGAAGTAGAAAACCAAAATGATGAACAAAATTAATACTTCGAACTATATCCAAAAATACACAATGAAAATGTATTTTCAAGGAAAATGACTTGGAACAATTATCTTTCAGCCATATGCTAGTAAAACTGTTAGACTTCAACAATAAAAACAAATTTATTATTTTCAAGCAGAAAGATAAAATAACTTATAAATCAGAAAACAACCTAGATGGAGTTTGATTCCTTGAAAACAACAAGGAAAGAAAGCCACCAATGCAGTAACATTTTCAGAAAGCTTAAAGAAAGAAAGAATGAGTCAAAGATAATATGTCTGTTCAAACTGTCTGTCAAGTGTCAAGGCACATTTCTTTTTTCTTTTTTTTTGAGATGGAAGAGACTTGCCCTGTCTCCCAGGCTGGAGTGCAATGGCACCATCTCGGCTCACTGCAACTTTTGCCTCCCAGGTTCAAGAGATTCTCCTGTCTCAGCCTCCTGAGTATCTGGGATTACAGGCGTGAGCCACCACGCCCAGCTAATTTTTGTAATTTTGCTAGAGACAGGATTTTGCCACATAAGCCAGGCTGGTCTCAAACTTCTGACCTCAGGTGATCCACCTGCCTTGGCCTCCCAAAGCACTGGGATAACAGGTGTGAGCCACTGCACCTGGCCCAAGGCACATATCTGAATGTTCCAGAACTCAGTACTGCATAAATTTCCCTTCCTGAGGTATCTACTAGAGGATGAGCTTCATCTAAAAAAACATGACTTGGAAATCATTGGCAAAAAGCCTGAGGAGTTTATTAGTTCATTGCAGGTATAAGAGTAACACAAGTATGGGGTCATGGGTAGATTTATATTTAAAAATTATCCATTATGTGTCCACACAACGTAGAAGAAATAAAACCAATGAATGAGAGAAGGAAGAGAAGAAAAAGTAGAATATAATTTTTAATTGTTTCATCCTAGAATATTGGAATTAATAAATACTATTAGAAACCAACATATCATTCGTGACACTGCACTCCAGCCTGGGTGACAGGGTGAGACTCTGTCTCAAAAAAAATAATAATAAAAGAAATGAACATATCAAATAATAATATGTTAAATGAGAAAAAAGGAATTGAAAGCTTAGTAAAATATTAATTCAAAGTTAACCACCAACATATAAATAAAGGTATAAATTTTCTCAAACACTGAAAGAAATTTTAAGAAGGTCCAAGAGGTCACACTAAATCTAGTATGCACTGTAATTGTAATATAATATAACATGAGAGGCAGAATTGAGAATAAACATAACTGTCATATCAATAAATGTGAATGACCCTAACTTGCTTACTAAAGAAAAAATATGTTCAAATTAACTCATAAAACAAAACTATATAAAAGGGAACACTAAAAATTCAGTGGTTAGAAATGATATAACTGAAAGACAAACTAAAGATCTAATTCAAATGAGACAAGAAAGAAAATGTTAAGCCTCTGATACTACATAAAATAGAATTTAAGCAGCATTTAGTAAGATAAAAAAGAATATTTTGTAATGGTAAACACCGTAATCTTGAATGAAAATACAACAGTAATGGGCATCCACATACCAAATAATGTGGCAAATACCTATATTAAATAAGAACTGTAAAAGCTGCAGAGAAAAATACATAGGTGCACACTAATATAGACAGTATTTAACATACCGCTCTCTGCAAAAGACAAATAAGTGAACAAAATATATATTAAAATAGAAAAAAACTAAACAAACAACACAATAAGGTAGAACTTTTAGATGTATATTGAGTAATACACCATAAAAGTAGAAAATTTTTTTCTTAAGTATGTATGGAAAATTCACAAAGATTTATCGTATACTAGGGCATATAGAAAACATCAGTACATTCCATAAAATGTAAATATTACAGTTTCTGATCATAATACAGTATCCCTAGAAATTAAAAATGAGACAAAATGACTTTTTACCTGGAAATTATAAGTTCTATTATACAACGCTCAAATAAAAAGGGAAATACTTACAAATTATAGAATTTCTGGAAATTAACAAGAATAAAAATACTATAGATGAAAGTTGGTGTGATATATATTAAATGCAGTCATTAGAAAAATACTCACTGGGGGTGAGTGAAAAGTGTGCTGCTCCCATGGTCACAGGACCTGGGTGCCCTAGCTTTGCAGGTGAACAGGGAAGGGAATGGCCTGAAACCCAAGATTCCCGTCTCAGCCTGGAAAAGGCTTACAGCCTGGGGCAGTTTTGAGTTCTAAGCATAGACTGCTTGGAATTTAGCTAGTTGCTGCTAGCAAATACTGAGGGTTACAGACCTGCTGTGCCAAGTGTGTGGGAGCTAGGTGAGGCTTACTTTTGCCTGCTATTCCCCACTCCCTGTGTGAACCCTTCTGTGAAGCAGAGGCAGTTATGTTCCTTTCTGGAACATTACCCCAGTGGCCAGAGAACTGCCCCCTGACCCCCTCAGGGACTTCTGCTTGCCCTGCAAGTGGAGAACAAGAACTTGAAGCTGCCTGACCCATCCCCCACCTGCCTTTGCTTCTCCACCTACTCTGGTAGCTTAACACAAAGGATAGAAACTTTTGGAAGCCCTATGGCCCATCCCATCACCTTAGAAACCAGAATACTTTCTCTGGGTAACATAAGGCAAACACAAATCTTACCACTACTACCGCAGCTGGTTCTCCTTTGCAAGTTCCACCTCTTGGCTGGAAGCCAACTGACACAGTCCATTACAGCATCTCCAGGAAAACTAACACTGCATCCAGGAAGGAGAAAACTTGTGTGTGACCTCAGCTATCACCACTGCCTGCACAAACCCGGCCAACAAGGAACTCTTGAGTGTGACCCTATGACCAGTTCATTACTACTGCAATCAGCATTTGAGAAAGCCTACACACTAAGGCTATTTATACCCAAGGAACTTTACAGACTCTGTCACTTCCCCGCCACCCTCATCAGAGTGAGTGCTGGTACCCACTGCTAGGAGACTTGAGGGTAGTTTATATCACTGGCTCCCTTGAAGACATTCCCCAACACCAGCTTGGGTTGTGGCAGCCCCACTGGGCAGCTAGACCGAGAGGACCAGCAACATTCACACTAGTCTGGTTATCAGGAACTCCTAATCCTAAGGTAAAAGGAAGTGAACCGCATCAAGCGAACATCCCATAGGACAAAAGATGATAGATGGCAGGCCTTGAGTCTCAGGTTTTTCCACTAGTGGGAAGTTTACTTCAACAGAGACCCAGTTGCAGTGCTGGGCTCAGCAGGGATAGTCTACAGCTCAACAGACAGGCAGCTCTGGTGCTCATAAAGGGTCTTAGAGAAGGAGACTTCCCCCTTTTCCACAGAGCAGAACCAACTGGGGCTTCTTCCATGGGAGCTCAGCATGGTAGAACTACACATAGCCTTTCTGAAGCACTTCAAGACACTTCAGGGTGACTGCATTCCCACAGGTGGAGCACCCTGTAGGTTCAGGCTTGCATGAGAAGTAGTCACAGTTTCTCTCTACCTGGAACATCAACATTCCTGTGGATAAAAAGAGGTGCCTGTCTGATCTGAATAGCTAGAACACTGGGTCAGAAGTGTGTCTGGGAGGTGGATGACTTTCCTGCTGGCCTGCCAGGGGAGCTAAAGTGTATCTTGCCCTTCCCCCTGATAATACATCAGTGTGTTTTACTGACAGTTCTGCCAGCCATCTCTGTCAAGGCTGGGACCTCTACCCACCTCTGGAAATAGCATTTACCTACCTGCTTTCACCACAGCTGGTTTCTACTCAGGGACACCCCCTCTACTGGCCTGAAGCCTAAACTATTCAACTCAGCAAATAAAATACTGAGGAAAAAAATAAATAAAAGCATGCACACCATGGGGAAATGAGGTGAGCTTCAAGAGGTCTCTGTCATTCCAACCCCATAGGTGACAGTAAACTTGCACACACACCAAGCATATTGCTACTACAACCAGTATCTGAGAAAGCCATCATACAAAGACTTTCTATAATCAAGAAACTTACAGTCTTACTCCTGAAAGCATGAAGAGTCAAATTGACTATGATAAACTATAAACATTAAAGTCACATCCTTAAGGGGAAAAAAGAAATTTTAAAAAGCCAGTCAAATAAAAAATTTAAGAATAATTAGAAGAAATAGTCTACCCAAATGAGAAGAAACCAGAAAAATAATCTGGTAATATGGCAAAACAGGATTCTGTAATACCCCCAAAAGATTACATTAGCTCTCCAGGAATGGATCCAAACCAAAATGAAATCTTTGAAATACTAGGTAAAAAATTCAAAAGTTTGATTGTTACGCTACTCAAGATGATACCAGAGAAAGTTTAAAACCAACATAAAGAAATTAAAAATCAATTCGGGATATGAATAAAACATTTTCTAAAAAGATATTTTTTTAAAAAGCCAATCAGAATTTCTGAAAATGAAAGACACATTTAGGGAGTTATAAAATGCAATGGAAAATTTAACAAAAGACTAGAACAAGTAGAATAATGAATTTCAGAGCTCAAAAACAAAGCATTCAAATTAACCCAATCAGACAAAGAAAAAAGAATAAAAAGAAATTAAAAATTCTGTAAGAAATATGAGATCATGTAAAATGGGCAAACATAAGAATAACTGGTGTTCTTGAGGGAGAAGAAAAAGCAAAAAAGTTTAGAAAGTTCATTTGAGGGAATAATTGAAGAAAACTTCCCTGGCCTTGCTAGAGGTTTAGATTTCCAAATACAAGAAGCTAAAGAACTCCTCGGAGATTCATCACATAAAGGACTTCACTAAGACATATAGTTATCCATTTACCTAAAGTCAACATGAAGGAAATAATTCTGAGGGCAGTGAGACAAAAGCATCAAGTAACCTATAAAGGAAAACCTATCAGACTAACAGCAGATTTCTCACCAGAAACCTTACAGGCAAAAGGGATTGGGACCCTATCTTTAGCCTCCTGAAACAGAATAACTGTGAGTTAAGAATTTTGTATCCATCAAAACTAAGTTTCATGAATGAAAAAGAAATGATGTCATTGTCAGACAAACAAGTGCTGACAGAATTTGTCAATAACAGACCAGCCCTGCAAGCAATGATAAAAAGAGTTCTAAATTTTGAAACAAAAGGTTGATATGCACCAGAATAGAACCTTTTGAATGCATAAAATTCACAAAGCCTGTAAAACAAAAACACAGTGAAGAAAACAAAGTATCTAGGTAACAATTAACAGGATGACTGGAACAATACACTACATCTCATTATTAATGTTGAATGCAAATATCCTAAGTGCTCCACTTAAAAGACACAAATTGGCAGAATGGATTAAAAAAATCACAGGTAAAATATCTACTGTTTGAAAGAGACTCACCCAACATATAAGGACTCATATTAACTAAAGGTAAACGAGTGGAAAAAGATATTCCATGCAAATTAAAATCAAAAGCAAGCAGGAGTAGCTATTCTTATATCAGATTAAAACAGACTTTACAGCACAACAGTAAAAAAAATGAAGTTACTTATATGATAAAAGGATTAATCCAAAAAGAATATATTATAATTCTCAACTTAGATCTACCTAACACTGGAGATCCAAGATTGATAAAACATTTACTACTAGACCTAAAAAATGAGATAGACAGCAAGAGAATAATAGTAGGTGACATGATCTAGCTCTGTGTCCCCACCCAAATCTCACCTTGAATTGTAATAATCCCCACATGTCAAGGACAGGACCTGGTGAAGGTAATTGAATCATGGTGGCAGTTTTCCCCATGCCATTCTCATGATAATGAGTGAGTCTCATGATCTGATGGTTTTATAAGCATTTGGCATTTCCCTTGCTTGCCAGTCTCTCTCATGCCACCTTATGAAGAAGGATGTGTTTGCATCTCCTTCCAACATGACTGTAGGTTTCCTGAGGCCTTCCCAGACATGAAGAGCTGTGAGTCAGTTAAACCTCTTTTCCTCTTTGTAAATTACCCAGTCTCAGTATTTCTTCATAGCAGCATGAGAATGAACTAATACAGTGGGGACTTCAATACTCCACTGACAACACTAGACAGATTATCGAGACAGAAAATCAACAAAGAAACAAAGGGCTTAAGCTATCCTCTACAACAAATGGACCTGACAGATATTTACCAAACATACCACCTAAGAACTGTAAAATATATATTTTTTGTCATCAGCACATGGAACATTCTGCAATATAGACCATATGATAGGCCACAAAATAACTCTCAATACATTAAAAAATATCTAAATAATATCAAGTATCTACTCAGACAACTGTGGAAAAAACTGGAAATTAATTACAAAAGGCATCCTCAAAGCTACACAAGTACATGAAAATTAAACAATCTGCTCTTGAATTATTTTGGGGGAAACAATGAAATCAAGATGGAAATTTAAAAATTCCTTGAAATGAAGAATAATAGTGACAGAATTTATCAAAACCTCTGGGATATAGAAAAAGCAGTGCTAAGAGGAACATTTATAGCACTAAATGCCTACATCAAAAAGTCTGAAAGATCACAAATTGATAACCTAGTGTTGACTTCAAGGAACTAGAGAAACAATCATAAACTCCACTCAAAGTTAGCAGAAGAAATGAAATAACAAAGATCAGAGTAGAACTAAATGAAACCAAAACAAACAAACAAAAATAGAGATCAATGAAACAAAAATCTGGTTCTTTGAAAAGCTAAAAAAATGATATATCATTAGCCAGATTAATCATTACTAAAGAAGAGAAGAGATACATATAAACTCAATTAGAAATGAAACTGGAGACATTACAACCAACACCACAGAAATACAAAATATTATTCAAAATACAATGGTCACCTCTATGCACACAAACTAGAAAATTTAGAGAAAATAAATAAATTTCTGAAAACATTCAGCCCTCCTAGATTAAGTCAGGAAGAAATAGATACCCTGAATAGACCAATAACAAGCAGTGAGATTGAATATGTAATAAAAAAATTGCCAAGAACAAAAACAAACACCGTGGTCAGGTGATATATTAGGCCATTCTCTTGCTACTAATAAAGACATACCTGAGACTTGGCAATTTATAAAGGAAAGAGGTTTAGTTGATTCACAGTTCAGGAAACTTACAATCCTGGTAGCAGAGGAAGCAAACACATCCCTCTTCACATGGCAGCAACAAGAGAAACTGCTTAAGAAAAGAGAGGAAACTCCTGATAAAAACATCAGATCTTGTGATAACTCAATATCATGAGAACAGCATGAGGTAACCACCTCCGTGATTAAATTACCTCCCACTGAGTCTCTCCCATGACAGTGTGGAGATTATGAAAACTGCAATCTAAGGTGAGATTTCTATGGGAACACAGCCAAACCGTACTATTCTGCCCCTGGCTTCTCCTATTTCATGTCCTCTAATTTCAAAACAAAATTATGCCCTTTCAACAGTCCCCCAAAGTCTTAGCTCATTCCAGCATTAACTCAAAAGTTCAGGTCCAAAGTCTCATCTGAGACCAGGCAAGTCCCTTCTGCCTATGAGCCTGTAAAATCAAAAGCAAGTTAGTTACTTCCTAGATACAATGGGGGTACAGACATTGGGTAAATACACTCATTCCAAATGGGAGAAATTGGCCAAAACAAAGGGGCTACAGGCCTCATGCAAGTCTGAAATCTAACAGGGTGGTCATTAAACCTTAAAGTTCCAAAATAATCTCTTTTGACCCCATATATCACAACCAGTTCATGCAGATGCAAGAGGTGGGCTCCCATGGCCTTGGGCAGCTCTGTCCCTGTGGCCTTGCAGGCTACAGCCCCCCTTCCAGCTGCTTTCACAAGCTGGCATTGAGTGTCTGTGGCTTTTCCAGGCCCATGGTGCAAGCTGTCGGCAGATGTACCATTCTGGGGTCTGGAGGACAGTGGCTCTCTTCTTACAGCTCTCCTAGGCAGTGCCCCACTGGAGACTCAGTGTGGGGGCTCCAACCCCACATTTCCTTTCTGCACTGCCCTAGCAGAGGTTTTCCATGAGGGCCCCACCCCTGCAGCAAACTTCTGCTTGGACATTCAGGTGTTGCCATACATCCTCCAAAATCTAGGTGGAGGTTTCCAAAACTCAATTCTTCTGTGTGTCTTCAGGCTCAACACCCTGTGGAAGCTGCCAAGGCCTGGGCTTGCACCCTCTGAAGCCATGGCCTGAGCTGTACCTCGGGCACTTTGAGCCATGGCTGGAGCAGCTGGGACTCAGGGCACCAAGTCCCTAGGGTGCACACAGCAGGAGAGCCCTGGGCCCGCCCCAGGAAACCATTTTTTCCTCCTTGGCCCCCAGTCCTGTGATGGGAAGTGCCTCTGTAAAGGTCTCTGACATGACCTGGAGTCATTTTCCTTATTGTCTTGGTGATTAACATATGGATCCTCGTTACTTATGCAAATGTCTGCAGCTGACTTGAATCTCTCCCGAGAAAATATGTTTTTCTTTTCTAGTGCATCATCAGGCTGCAAATATTTCAAACTTTTATGCTCTGCTTCCTCTTGAACACGTTGCCACTTAGAAATTTATTCTGCCAGATACCCTAAATCATCTATCTCAACTTCAAAGTTCCACAGATCTCTAGGGCAGGGGCAAAATGCTGCCAGTCTCTTTGCATAGCAAGGGTGACCTTTACTCCAGTTCCCAACAAGTTCCTCATCTCCATCTGAGACCACCTTAGCCTGGACTTTATTGTCCATATCACTAACAGCATTTTGGTCAAAGCCATTCTACAAGTCTCTAGGAAGTTCCAAACTTTCCCTCATCTTCCTGTCTTCTGAGGTCTCAAAGTCTCTAGGACCTTCCAAACTTTCCCACATTTTCTTATTTTTTTCTGAGCCCTCCAAACATTTCCAAACTCTGTCTGTTACCCAGTTCCAAAGTTGTTTCTACATTTTCAGGTGTCTTTACAGCAGCACCCCATCACCTGGTACCAATTTACTGTATTAGTCCACTTTCACACTGCTTATAAAGACATACCTGAGACTGGATAATTTATAAAGGAAAAAGGTTTAATTGACTCACAGTTCATCATGGCTGGGGAGGCCTCACGAGACATCCAATCATGGTGGAAGGAGAAACAAACATGTCTTTCTTCACATGGTAGCAGCCAGAGAAAGTGCTGAACAAAACAGGGGAAAGCCCCATATAAAACCATCAGATCTCATGAGAACTCACTATCATGAGAGCAGCATGAGGGTAACTGCCCCCATGATTAAACTACCTCCCAGCAAGTCCCTCCCATGACATATGGGGATTATGGGAACTACCATTCAAGATGAGATTAGGTGGGGACACAGCCAAAACATATCAAATGGATTCACAGCTGAATTCTACCAGACATACACAGAAGAATTGTTGCCAATCCTTCTATAACTATTCCAAAAGACAGAGAAAGAGGGAATCCTCCTTAAATCATTGTACGAAGCCGTATCACCCTGATACCAAAACCAAGAAATGACATTTAAAACTACAGACCAATATTCTTGATGAATATAGATGCAAAAATTCTCAACAAAATACTAGCTAACTGAATCCAACAACAAATAAAAAGGATAATACACCATAATCAAATGGGTTTTAGCTCAGCTCAAGAAGGCAGGGGTCATTTAACATACACAAGTCAGTAAATATGATACATCATATGAGCAGAATTTAAAACAAAAACATGATCACTTTAATAGGTGCAGAAAAAGTGTTCAATAGAATCCAGCATTCTTTTATCATAAAACACTCAACAAGCTAGGCATAGAAGGGACTTATCTCAAAATAATAAAAGTTGTGTATGAGAAACCCATATCCAACATTATACTGAATGGAGAAAAGTTTAAAACATTACCCCTGAGAACTGTAACAAGACAAGGATGCCCATTTTCACCTCTTCTATTCAATGTAGTACAGGAAGTCCTTGTCAGAGTAATCAGGCAACAGAAAGAAATAAATAGCATCCACATTGGAAAAGAGGAATTCAAACTATCATTGTTCACTGATGATATGATTATATACTTAGAAAACCACAAAGACTCCTCCAGAGACTCTTAGATTTGATAAGTGAATTCAGTAAAGTCTCACATTATAAATTCAGTGCATAAAAATCAGTAGTACTGCTTGCTATACACCAAGAATGACCAAGCTGAGAATGAAATTAAGAACTCAATCTCCTTTACAACAGCTGCAAAAAAATAATAACAACATACCTAGGAATATACTTAACAAAGAAGGTGAAGGATCTACAAAAGGAGAACTACAAAACACTGCTGCAAGAAATCATAGATGATACAAACAAATAGAAATACATCCCATGCTCATGGATGGGTAGAATCAATATTATGAAAATGACCATACTGCCCAAAGTGATCTACAGATTCAGTGCAATTCCCATCAAAATGCCAACATCATTTTTTCCAGAGTTAGTAAAAACAATCCTAAAATTCACATGGAATCAAAAAGAGCCTGAAGAGCCAAAGCAATCTTAATGAGAAAACAAATCTGGAAGCATCACATTACCAGACTTCAAATTACACTATAAGGCTATAGTTGCCAAAACAGTATGGTACTGGTATAAAAGTAGACACATGGAACAGAATAGAGGACCCAGAGACGAAGTCAAATACTTACAACCAACTGATCAATAAAACATACAAAAACATAAATTGAGGAAAGGACATTCTAGTTAATAAATGGTACTGGGAAAATTGGCTAGTCATATGCAGAAGAATGAAAATGAATCCCTATCTCTCACCTTATACAAAAATTAACTCAAGATGAATCAAATGTTTAAATCTAAGACATGAAGCCATAAAAATTATGAAGATAATCTAGGAAAAACTCTTCTTGACATTAACCTAGGCAAAGAACTCATGACTAAGATCCCAAAAGCAAATGGAATATAAAAAACATAAGCGAATGGAACCTTATTAAACTAAAAAGCTTCTGTACAGCAAGAGAAATAATCATCAGAGTAAACAGATAACCCATAGAATGGGAAAAAATATTTGCAAACTATATGTCCAACAAAGGACTAATATCCAGAATATACAAGAAACTTAAAGAAATCAGCAAGAAAAAATAAATAATCCCATCAAAAATGAACAAATGACATGAACAGACAATTCTCAAAAGAAGATATACAAATGGTCAGCAAATGTGAAAAAAAATGCTCAATATTACAAATCATCAGGGAGATGTGAATTAAAAGCCCAGCGAGACACTACATTCCTCCTGCAAGAATAGCCATTATTAAAAAGTCAAAACACAATAGATGGTGTGGATGTGGTGAAAAGGGAATTCTGATATACCAGTGGTGGAAATGTAAATTAGTACAAACTCTATTGAAAACAGTACACAGGTTTCTTAAAGAACTGAAAGTAGATCTGCCTTTCTATTCAGCATTTCTACTACTGAGTTTCTACCCAAAGGAAAATAAATCATTTTATCAAAAATTCACCTGCATATGTATATTTATTGCAGCACAATTCACAATTGCAAAGACATGGAACCAATCTAAGTGCTCATTG